>NC_000003.12:61525151-61828181 GCF_000001405.40 Homo sapiens | reverse complement strand
AATAAATAAACTATGTAATGTACCTTGATAGACTGAGAAAAAAAGGGCATGTAGAAGACTAAAATCACATACCAGAGAAATATCGCAATGACTCAGTATGACCAGCAAAACAAAAACTAATTACTGTACGTGGAATTTAGGTCAATAATACATAACTGACTTGATCTAAGAATCAGCAGTTAATTTAAGGAAAAATATTTTAATGTAAGAAATTACCTAAACTTTCCAAATAAATACAGTAAGATTAAGTGTCTCTCTTTAGGTAGTATATATGAGCTAATGCACTATTTTATTATCTGTTATAGACATATTTAAGGTACTATATAATAAGAAAATATAATATCTAATCTCTTTAGATCTCTAAAGTAACTGTATCAGGATAGGGTCACCAGTGATGACCTATAGCTTAGAAAAGCTTGTATTTTATCTACTTGATATTAAAATGTATATCATGCTGTTTATCATGTATGTATAACCTAATGAGGCAAAATATTGGGCCTTCCCAGTATTTGAAAGATATATATATATGCTTCCAACCAGATAAATATGAAAATATAGATAGACACATGGTTAGATAGACAGAGAAATATGACTACAGCCAGGGGCATTTCCATGGACTGAAGGACAGATCAGGGATGTCACAAAATATCATGAGGTCACGAGAAGGACATTCACTGGCAGAAAGACATGAGATGATTTCTGACCTTGGATCCATGAGTGAGGCTGGGATCCCAGATTCTGTCCACCTTCCACCTTTCCTATAGTATGATGGGGTGTGATTAGGAACAAGGTATACAAAGGTTGGAAGTGAGATTGAAACCCTTCTCCGAAAGTGCATCTGATTACATGAAAGACTAAAAATCAAAGCCCTATATTTACCACATACTTCTCTGGGTGAACTACGTTATGCCGCAAACCAGTCCTCCAAATAGAATCTTACAACAGCAAGATGTTTTCTTGCTCATGCTGCAAATGCACCACTTAGGGGACTAGGCCCAACATCTCCCTTACTGGGGTACCCAGGCTGAGAGGGTAGCTCCACCTTCACACTTCCCTGACTATAGAGGATAGAAGAACACAGCAAAGCATGCCCTTACTCTGAAAGATTCCAACTAAAGGCAACAAACGTCTATATCCTCATTCATATCGATATTCTCATTCTAGTTGCCTGATTGAGTTTGAGAGTCATGCTCAACTTAGAAGAGGGCGGGATAAGTAAGGCTACCATACGCCTGGAGATGGAGAGCTAAAAATATTTCTAGAAGCATAGTAATTACTACTTCAATCACCAAATGATTTCAGGACAGGTTAGGTTTTGCCACCACATAATCGGAAAAAAAAAAAAAAAAACCTTTCCATTTTTAGAACGTTTTATATTTGGCTATCATGTCTAATGGACTCTAGACCTATGATACTTCACAGATGAGAAACAGAAGTCAGGCATCTTTGCTTACAAAAAGGGCTATAAAGGGAGGTGTAAAAAGTACTTGGTAGAGTAAGAAGCAAGTATTTTACCTCACTGTAAAAAATCATACTTAGCTCCAGGCTGCCACTAACACAAACACCAAACATCTGGCCATTCTTACATTTTTAACAAATTGGCCGTCATCAAAAGTAGGGAAGAGGGGAAATAGTACAAACATCGGATTTTTTTTTTTTTTAAGTTCTGGAAGATGTGGAAGAAAGGACTGGGTGACTCCAAGATTACTGTAAATCATTTTTGTGGGGTTGGGAGGGTCAGGTGAAAGGATAAATGCATTTCCCAATGATTCTCCAGTGAACTGGATTAATCAACAATAACCCGCATGTCATTATCTTGTCAGTTCCACTTAGCATCACTGCAGGTTGGTCCCCTGATGCCTCCACAGTTTAAATGTATCAGCATTGATATTCACTATATACTACTCACCGTAGGGGAAAGAGTCCCTTTTACAGAAGAAGGGATAAACATTTTTTAGCAGATACAGATCAAATTTCCACGAGAGAAACAAATCAGGAGGCTTCTCCCTACTATTCCGTGCAAAACGACACAACCAAATAAAAAAACATTTTAACTTAAGATATGTATTTTATCCTCCTAAAACAATAGGACAGCTGGTAATGATAATGAGAGTTAAGGATATTTGAGCAGTTTCTATGTACCATGCAGAGTGCTAAGTAGTTCCTATGCATTATTTCCATGAATCTTCCAAAATTGTTACTGTTATCATCATTTATTAACAAGATTGGCTGGGAGTGGTGGCTCACGCACGCCTGTAATCCCAGCACTTTGGGAGGCTGAGGCAGGAAAATTACTTGAGTCTAGAAGTTTGAGACAAGCCTGGACAACATAGCATAACCTCATTTCTACCAAACAACAACAACAAAAAGTAGCTGGATGTGGTAGGGAACAGCTCTAGTCTTCAGCTACTTAGGAGGATGAGGAGGGAGAATGGCATGAGCCCAAGAGATGGAGGCTGCAGTGAGCTGTGATCCTATCTCTACACCCCAGCCTGGGTGACACAGCGAGAACCTGTCTCAAAAAAAAAAACCTAAGAAAACGGAATAAGCCAAGTGGTAGAACTAAGACCTTATCTTGGTCTTATTCCAAATTTGTGAAATTTATTTAACTACCATACAATAATGCCTCCCATTTCATACCTAGAATCTAGTAACTAACTGCTAGTTCAGCTTTTAAAATCTATGATACGCATTGTAAAACCATCAAAACAATAGGTATGAAACTCTTATGTTTCCACTTTTCCCTCTTTGTATTATGTTCTGGTGTTTACAATTTCTATGGATCATAACCAGAAGCAACCTCAACCACTTATTTGCATTTTTCTGTAGTTTGTCTATTTAATCTGTGTTCAGTATGACCAGTCTTACACTTGAAGCATTTAACTTACTGGTCTTTAAAATAAAACATGGGAGAATAGTAAGCTCAATGGGTTTCCCTTAATTAGTAATCCCTAAAAGTGTTGAGACACATGAATGTGCAGAATTACTGAATTCTGTCCAATAACCTGAAAACTTTCTTCAGGCTTTGTGACTTCAGGAGTACATTTACTGATGTATCTCGAATATTCTTACCCTTTTCACAAATCACCCCTAGAGGAGAAAGGAGTCAGGGTTAAAAGACAATTCTTTACTTCTACTCTGGCATGTCACCTTTTGCTTCCCATTCTGCACTGCCCACATCTGATGGCAGCTTCAAGACCACACCTAGTTAAATTAACTGAATGTCAAGGAACACATATCCACAAGGGTTTTCTGTCCTAAGTGGGTTGTTAAATCTAAGGAAGCCAGTTGGACTTTGTATGACTTATCAACATGACCAGCAAGTAGTTGAAGGATTAGAGTTTATGTCATACAAAATTTTCATCACTGTGGAGAAATCACAGTTTGTTTTGACATGAGGTCTTGCTTTGTTGCCCAGGCTGAAGTACAATGGCAAGGTCACAGCTCACTGCAACCTTGACTTCCTGGGCTTGACTGATCCTCCTGCTTCAGCCTCTTGAGTACAGGCATGTGCCACCATACCTAGTTAATTTTTGTTTGCCCAAGCTGGTCTCAAACTCCTGGGCTCAGGCAATCCTCCTGCTTTGGCTTTTTAAAGTGCTGGGATTACAGGCGTGAGCCACCATACTTGCTGAGAAATCACAGTTTCACTTAAGGATTCCATTGAGATTGAAAATCCTCAAAGCAGAATTAAATTGCAGCTATGGTTTTCCCTGCTGCAAGGGAAGGCCTCTTAGATGTAAAGTTTGTTTTTCTTCCATCCACCTATCCTACATGAGTAACCTGGTGGTAGAAGACTGTGTGGGGTTTGTGAAGGAAGGTTGCTTACATTCTTATGAAACACCTAAGGAAACAAATAAAAATTTAACCTGGCTTCTCAGTCAAAATTAACATATTCATCTACAAATATGACAAGTCATTTCTGCAGGAAAGCCTAGAAAATATTTTAAACTAACTCAATAGGAATAGTCTAGTGTGGTTTGGAAAACTGTTCAAAATCTCTCACTCAAATCTCACAACTGTCAACTCATTTTTCATCATCTTTTTTTTTTTTGAGACGGAGTCTCGCTCTGTCGCCCAGGCTGAATGGAGTGCAGTGGAGCGATCTTGGCTCACTGCAAGCTCCGCGTCCCAGGTTCATGCCATTCTCCTGCCTCAGCCTCTTGAGTAGCTGGGACTACAGGCGCCCGCCACCACGCCTGGCTAATTTTTGTAATTTAGTAGAGACGGGGTTTCCCTGTGTTAGCCAGGATGGTCTCGATCTCCTGACCTTGTGATCTGCCCACCTCGGCCTCCCAAAGTCCTGGGATTACAGGCGTGAGCCACTGCACCCAGCTTCATCATCATTTATAACAGGGATATTTATTATCAGTATATTTGCTGGACAGACATATCCAAGAATGAAGGCATTTCTCCGTTGTCCTACATTATTGATTTCTACTTGCACTATAAATCCATGTGAACTTAAACTCCATGAAGAACAAGTTGTTTTTCCTTTCACCTTATTAAGCTAGTCTACAAAATTAAAAAATATATAAATTACCATAATAATCTTTAAGTTTTTCATCACTTTTGTTACATTAACATCTATTCTAAATGCATAAATTTGTTACACCCAAAATGCATAACACATTTAAGTTCTACTTGCTCCTCTGCAATGAGCAATATGATTCCACTAATTAATAACCCCTGTGCGGCCAGGCCTGGTGGCTCACGCCTGTAATCCCAGTACTTTGGGAGGCCGAGGCGGTGGATCACGAGGTCAGGAGATTGAGACCATCCTGCTCAACATGGTGAAACCCGTCTCTACTAAAAATACAAAAATTAGCTGGTTGTGGTGGTGTGTGTCTGTAGTCTCAGCTACTTAGGAGGCTGAGGCAGGAGAATCCCTTGAACCCGGGAGGTAGAGGTTGTAGTAAGCTGAGATGGTGCCACTGCACTCTAGCCTGGGCGACAGAACAAGACTCCATCTCAAAACAAAAACAAACAAACAAACCTGTGCAACTGGCTCATCATCAATTTCAACTCCATCAATCTCCCAAAGTAACCGAACTTGCAAATGCAAACTACGCATGATGGGATGGAGTAGATGGTAAAAAATATTCAGCCCAGGGTAATTAAGTGCCCCAAGAACTCCTAACCAGGAAAGGCAGCACAATGAGTATCAAAGGGATGTTGGCCCCCAGTCAGAGTGGAGAATTAACACTCACTTGTTCCTCTCTTTCCCAGAAAACACACACAGGGAGGTGTTTTCAAGTCACCATCGGCCATGTAACGAATCAGTCTCAAAACAAATATTGCCTTTCCTCTGTCTCCTTTTTTGGGGAAGGTATGAGGACTGTTAGAGAAGAAATTCTCCTACTGTGTGTGGTTGGAAGAATAAAACATTTGACTAAAAGGGTAAAGGTTGCTACACCAAGGACCAGAAACTATTTTTGCACCAAAAATACCCCATTAATGGCCATGTAAAAATAGCTTCACATTGGAAAATTCCTCCTTGCTTAAATTGGAAAGAAAATCTCTAGGCTATGAGAATTTTCACAAATATAACACTCTAAAGGATGTAGCTCCTTTCCTTCAAATGCTTGATTTATTTTTCTTGTCCATTTGGTTTTTCCAAACAGGAAAGATCCCTCTGAGGACAGAAAGCATTTTTTTTCTTTCCTTTTCTACAGAAGGTCGCTGTTCTACATTCATTACCAGAGTTGGCTGTGAAAGCTTCCATTAGTGAATTACTGCAAATAAAGTTCAGAGACAACACTAACATGTTAGTCCTCATTAAAGAAATAGTTAACTCTGAAGTCAGGGACACGAGGGAAATTCTCAAAACATGAAGCCAACATTCCCAACAGGCCAGAATTATTTTCAGGCTGGCTTTTACCTTTTCCAATTACAACGTGAAACCCAACGGCTACTCACTGCATATTTGGGGATGTGGGTGGAAAGAGAAGAGCTGAACAATTAAAAACAGACACAGAAGTCAAAGAAACAGTATTGAATAGGCAAGAATGTTGCCATAGAGGAGCATTTCCAAAAACAAACTCACTGAGCAAACTCATAATACTTCCAGGTCAGAAAAGAGAGATTCTCCACTTGGCTGTGCCAGTGACTGAAACTAATTACTTAGGCAAGTTACTTACATTGTCCATGGTGCAGTTACTTAATCCCTGATGATGAAGGAGGAAGATAGATTACTATGATGCATTTGAGAGGCAGTTAAATTGCTAGCTTATGCTTCTGCACGCACTTGGCAGAGCCTGCCCAGTGCACATTACATAATATTCTAACAGCTCTGTTTACTCATCTGTAAAATGGAGAAAATAACTGTGACTACCACATAAAGGTGCTGTGAAATCCAGTGATATAATACTAGTAAAGCGCTTAGCATGCATCTTGGGCGGATGTTCTCAATCATTATCATATTCAGTATTGTCATCGCTCATACTGCTATTCATACACTCACCTCACGACCCCTTACCCTCTACTGTTTATATCTCTTTAACTTTCATATTTCCCCTCTTCTTTTGCCTCTGTCTTCTATGCTTAGGGTCATCCTAGCCTTCCTTTATTAGCTTTATAAGTCACAGCACATTACTTATCATTTAAGCCTCAGTTCTCTGGCATGCAAAACGAAAGAAATACTATTTCCCATAAAGGATTAAGAAATGTAAAAACTGTAAAACTCCTTTTCTGTCAACTTAAGAAGAGCAGACGGCAGTGCGCGGTGGCTCACGCCTGTAATCCCAACACTTTGGGAGGCCGAGGCGGGTGGATCACGAGGTCAGGAGATAGAGACCATCCTGGCTAACACGGTAAAACCCCGTCTCTACTAAAAATACAAAAAAGTAGCCAGGCGAGGTGGCAGGCGCCTGTAGTCCCAGCTACAGGGGAGGCTGAGGCAGGAGAAGGGCATGAACCCAGGCGGCGGAGCTTGCAGTGAGCCAAGATCACGCCACTGCACTCCAGCCTGGGCAACAGAGCCAGACTCGGTCTCAAAAAAAAAAAGAAAACAAGAAGAGCAGACAAATGAGAACTGATCATAACTAATATGATTAATATGTTTTGTGCTGTTTTTATTATTGAAAAAGTTAAACTCATAAAGCTGAAGAAGTAGCCATTAAAAGGAGAAATCTATGCTGAGGAGAATACTGCAAAATGTAGACAAAGTCCAAAAGAAACACAGCATTTAAAAATCCTGGATAAGGAAAGGAATATTTGAAATGCTTGGCGTAATGAAAAAAAATCCATAAATGTTCACAGTGAATCAAAAAAACACCATGTCCAATAAAGGTGTTAGAGGTAACAAGTAATCAAGCTCTCCAGTGTGGCCAAAGAACCCTAGGAAGTCTCACTCATATACAATTTCTCACTGCGGTCACAGAGGAAGTGCAAAACAGGAACCCCTGAAGATGAATGCTATAGCTAGCTGTTACTCAAACAATCCCCAGCAGCCAGGCGCCTCTATCTACCCAAGAGCAAAACCTGCTTTCTCCATTTTAATGAACACCGTGATTCAACACCAAAATTACTGTTTTATCCCTAAAGCCACAGTAAAAAAAAAAAAAAAAAAAAAAAAAACAGAGACACAGGAACAAGAAATTAAAAAGGGGAGTGTTTTCTGAGATGATGGGTATTTCTGTGTGTCAACTTGACTGGGCCATGGGGTGCCCAGATACTTGGTTAAACATTATCTCTTAGTGGGTCTGCGAGGGTGTTTAGGATTCAATAGACTGTTTAAAGCAGATGGCCTTCCTCAATGGGTGGGCACCACTTAATACGAGTGGGTACCTCAATGTGGGTAGGTACCCATTCAGGGCACCCTGAGTGCCTGAATAGAACAAAAAGGCAGAGGAAGGGAAAACATCTTCTCTCTGCCTGAGTGTTTAAGCTTAACCAGGGCCATAAGTTTCTTCAGGCCTCCAAGAGAGATGGGAATTTACACCATTGGCTCTCCTGGGTCTCTAGCTTACAGACAGCAGACTGTGGGACTTCTCAGCCTCCACAGTCACACCAATTCCTTATAATAAATGTCTTTTAAAAATATATCTCCTTTTTTCTGCTCCTCTGAAGAACCCTAACTCACATATCTACTAAAATTTCAAATGAGTGATTCAACATCCTATGTTCGCTTACTGATGACTCAAACCCTTTTTCTCCAATGTATTCTTTTTTATTATTAATAAAAACCAAAATGTCAGGAAACACTTAAAAAATATGAATGATCCGTTCCTAAAAATCCAATATTCACATACATTTTCCCAACTAGTTATAATGTTTTCCATTTTACAACGTGTTTGCTTCAATCAGGATCCAAATAAGGGCCATACACATTAAGATAAATCAAGGTATTCCTTAATCTCATTTAATCTATAGGTTCCCCTTTTATCTCCATTTACCCCTTTTTGTGCTAAAAACATTTTGTACCCTCTGTTGTATAAAGATTCCCATGTTATGGATTTTGTCTGTTTTGCTGATTGCATCCCCATGGTGCCATTTAACATGATACTCAGTTTAATTTCTGTAAATTGATAGATGTAGAAGCTTGATCAGACTAAAGTTCCCTATTTTGTTGGCAGAACTACCTTATAGGTAGTACTGCATTCTCCTATGGAGAATTATATAAAGTCTAGGTGTCTCCCCCATTTGTGATGCTAGTGGCCATTGATAATTATTGCCTAGATACACAAATTTATTCAGGGCCACAAAACTGTGTCACCTCTAGTGCTATCCTTCCCCAAATTCACTGGACACTCCAATTATGATTATCTGAAACACTACATGGTATCCTTAGTAGATGTAAAGAGAAAGAACAATTAGCAATCATTTACCGACCTCTACTTATGTCATCAATGCTTCCTCAAGCTTTGAGGTTATCTGAAGCTTGTTCTCCACTAGTTCCTTCAAAAACAGCTCATGGAAGTTATATTGCCTGATTTCTGGCACACTCACAATCATATGATCTTCATAGTTGAAGACCATTTTGGAGAGTTATAAAATTCATGGTTCACATTTTCTATCCTTGCATATCTTAAATATGATACTCCATTGTCTTTTTGGCATATAACACTACTGTCAAAGAAAAAAAAAGTTTCACAAGAATCCAATTTTCCTTTCCTTATAGTGACAGAGTCTTTTTGCTGGGATGCTCAAAGGATTTTTGTTTTTCCTTTTCATGAATGACCCATACTTTCTCTATATTATTTATCTGGGATGATTTGAGAAGATTTAGTAAGGAACATAGTGGCCCTTTAAATATAGCTTTAAAGGGCCACTATTTCACTATTTCACTATTCACTATTTCACTATTCACTATTTCACTATTCACTATTTCACTATTCACTATTTCACTATTTCACTTTAAAGGGCCCCTATTTCAATGACTTTTTCTTGTGATTTTTAATATTTTTTTTCTCTTTACTTTCAATTTCTTCTTACAGGACTCCTATCACACATATTTTGGTTCTCCTTTAGGCAGCCTCTATACAACTTTTTCTTTTCTCCCTTTTTTCTGTTTGGAGACAGGGTCTTCTTGCTCTATTGTCTAGGCTGGAGTACAGTGCCACGTTCATGACTCACTGCTATCTCAAACTCCCAGGCTCAAGTGATGCTCCCACTTCAGCCTCTCAAAGTGCTGGGATTACAGGCATGAGACACCACACCCACCTAAACAACTTTTTCATTATACATTTTATAGGACTTTTTCATTATTATATTTCTCTTTGATTATTAAAATCTTCTCCTCCTCTACTTGCTCTTGCATTCTTTCTAATTTATTCTTAATTTCTGAGACATTATTTTATTTCTACTTCTTTCCCAAATCCTGCCATCTTTCTCTTCAATTCTGGCATTTCTGAGTTTCTCTAAAACTAATGTATAACGTTCTTTCATACCATCTATCACATTCTCATATTTTAGTCTTATTTTAAAATATCAGGTATATAGTGTTCAACTCTTTTATGAGTGCTGCTCCGTATTTCCTTTTTTTGGAATAACTTTATATAGAGTTCAAGTGTAATGCTTTTCTTCTGCTCATTTTTTAATGTAAAATAAATATTCCCAAACGCTAATCATGGGGTTAGGGTGGGGGGTATGGTGGAGCTTTTCTAGTTCTTAACATGTAGATCTCCCACTGTTATTTTCACAAAGTGATTCCAAACACTATGACCTTCTGCTTTCACAGACCTGTCTTCTCAACTTCCACACTGTTATCTGAACCTTGTCTATACTTGACTCTCACCGCCCCATCTTGTTCATTCTGACTTCTACCCCCAGCAGTTCTTCCTCTTGCAAGTTTTACCTTAGAAGGCAGATTCAGGTTATTAGTTTGGAAAATGATAGAGCCCCAAAATCACCACATCTTGCTCCACTGCAGTCTCCTTGCACTCATCCAGGAACTAGGTATGCTATGGAAGCATGCCTACTCTTCAATGCACATCCCAAGTAGGCCCAGCACACTTTCCCATGGGCATCTGCAATATGCAGCTGATTTGAGACTTCAGGTCCTCTGTCTCTTCCCTCTGGGGCCAATTCCACGCAGGTCTCGTAGCTGTAGGTGGTTTGTCCCATCCACACATATTCTGAGACTGATGGAGATACCTCATAACCTAGTTTCATTACAGATATTGTTTGTGAGTTTATAGTTTAGCTTTCCTAGTTGCTTTATTTTTCCATGGAAGAATTTGGGATTTAAAAACTGCCATTATTGGTTGTTTTCTTCTCAGAATTCATTGAAAACTCAACTATAATGATTCTAAAGCCAACAACAATCAACTAAATATTTTATTTTTCTTAGAAATATGAAAAGGTACATTAAATTACCAACTCCCCCCAAAATAAAAATCTCCCCCTACCAATGTTTTCTATAAAATTGTTGAACCATTTAAAAAAAAATTTCAGTGATTTAAAAGGTTCAGCACTTACTTTTGATGGAGATTCCCAACAGCTCTCTATAAATATATATTTATATATATTATTATATTATTATATATATTATTTTATATATTATATATTATTATATATTATATATTATATATATGTAATATATGTATTATGTGTAATACATATGTAATATGTAATATGTAATAATATGTAATATATATTATATATAATATATGTATTATATATTATATATAATATTATATATTATATACTATATATTATATAGTATATATATTTATATTATATAATATATATATAATATATATATAAGTGATTACTGAAACTCTCAGGTACTACCAAAAAGCTTCATAGCATTATATTTCATTTCATTTTACCAGTAAATTATCCCTACCAAAAAGCTACATGTCAATACAAATTTTCAACTGAAACTTTTCTCATCAGCACAGTGAGACATCACTTTTATCTCACCAAGGTCTTCAAATCTGGTCACTTCTCTATTATCTCCTTCACAATCATACTCAACCAAACTTTCATCATATCTCATCAAGACCGCTGCAAAAACAGCCATCCATGTGCCTCCTCAATTCATTTTCAAAAACTCCATAAACAATTTGAATACATGTAGCCATTGGGATTTTTCTGTGGGAGAAGATGTCCAAGGAATTCTAGGCCAAGTAAAGCTGCAACCATCTGATAGCTGGATGGGATAGAGTTAACATTCCAACATTTTTCCTGGTGTTTGTTTGTTTTTGAGAGGGAGTCTCGCTGTGTCACCCAAGCTGGAGTGCAGTGGCGCAATCCTGGCTCACTGCAACCTCCGCCTCCAGGGTTCAAGTGATTCCCCTGCCTCAGCCTCCCAAGTAGCTAGGATTACGGGCCCCCACCACCATGCCCAGCAATTTTTTTTGTATTTTTAGCAGAGATGGAGTTTCGCCATGTTGGCCAGGATGGTCTCAAACTCCTAACCTCAAGTGATCTGCCCGCCTCATCTTCCCAAAGTGCTGGGATTATGGGTGTGAGCCACCACGTCCAGCCTTTTTCTGGGTTTTTGAAATTCTGTTCAAGAATGCCAAGACACAAAACAACAGCATGTCACAATTCCTACTTTGAATGGAGTTGCCTTGCTATTTGAACTTCATCCCTGGATCTCAATTTCCTCACCAGGTAAATGTAGGAGCTTGACTAGATGATACTGAAGTCATGTTACAGATTTCATAACAAACTTAAAAGAGTTATTCAACAGCAGGCAGGGAAGACCTAAAGTCATCAGTTTTGCTATCAAGAGATCTTCACTTGTAGTAATATTTTCAAGGGTTAAAGATGGCCAGTCACCAGTGACTTTAGGAAATAAAATAGCCTAAAATGAAATAAAAATGAAAATAATGAGAGGTCCATTCTAGAATTTCCAAACACTGGTTATGTTTTTAGGGCAAATGAGGAACATGTTCTGCTGTATTCATTCCTATATCCCCAGTGCCTGTAACAGTGCACAGCATGTAACAGGTGCTTTACAGATATTTATTGGATAGATGTGTGGGCTTCCCTTAACCTAATAAACAGCCACTGTATCTTTCAACTTGCTTAGTAATGATTAAGATCACAGAGCAATGAGGTTCTCAATAAGCACTCACAATAAAAAACGGATAAACTACTTTTGCACAGTAAAACAATGCAGCCCCCTCATCTGGGTCCCTACAATCTTGTCAATATATAACCTCGTATTCTCTGATTAGATCAAATGAGAGATGACACTGAGACATGGTTATCCCCATTATAATGTATTCCATCTCTAAGACTGCATTGGAAACAGGGTTAAAGCCAATCAAGACAGTAAAATGAAACAATAAGATTTCTTTTATTTTTATTTTTAATTTTAATTTTTGAGACGGTCTCGTTCTGTTGCCCAGTCTGGAGTGTGACAGTCAGGTCACTGCAACCTCCACCTCCCAGGCTGAAGTGGTTCTCCCTCCTCAGCCTCCCACGTAGCTGGGATTACAGGTGCACATCACCATGCCCAACTGATTTTTTTTTTTTTTTTTTGTATTTTTAGTAGAGACAGGGTTTCGCCATGTTGCCCGGGCTGGTCTTGAACTCCTGAGCTCAAGAGATCCACCCACCTCGGCCTCCCAAAGTGCTGCAGTTACAGGTGTGAAGCACTGTGCCCAGCCAGATTTCTTTTAATAATAAACAAAACTAAACATGAGAAAGCAGCAGCCACTAACCACCTAATTAGCAGGCAGCTCACAAAAAACCTGAGTCTGAGGCAGCCCTGCAGAGGAGAAAATGTACTAGATAGGACACTAGGCAGATATGAGTTTAAATCCTGTCTCTACCACTGGCCACTCTAAGCTTCAGCATCTTTATTTATGAAATAGCAATAAAAACTGCTAGCTTCCTGATAGAGTTGCTGCCAGGGGTAAATGATACCAGGTATGCAAATCACTTAACAATATGCTTGGCACAAAGCAGCCATGCAACGACATTTATTTCCCTGAGCCCCTCCCAGTCATCCTAGATGAATACAAAGAAGAAAAAAGTGAGATAAGATAGAAAGCAAGAGCAATATCCTATCATGGCACACAAGTTTTTATACAGGTTACTTCTCCTTTTGCTTATGCATGAAATAAAGCAGCAGCACACTAGGTAGCTACTACTGACATTTAAGAATTCTAAGCAGCCTCCCATGTAACTCACAGTTACCAGAGGTCTGAGAAAATCTTCAGAGCAGATCTTCAAGTATAAACAAACAAAAAACAAGCAGAAAACATACGGGGCTACTAGAGAGAAGCTGAACTACAGTAAGTCAGATATCAACAAAGCAAGTTACCACTAGACATAGGTCTGCAGGTGGATTTCAGATTTACTCTCTGATAAAAAACTAGCAAAGTCTGTCCTTCCAGCTGTTCTTGTATACGAGAAGTGGAATACTCCAGTGGTTATGAACTATAAGCTCTTTAGTAAGATGGTGAAAGAGCGAGAGGGTCTGGTTCAAATCCTGCTCACCCGCTTGTTAGGGATGTGAGTTTAGAAAGGCGCCTTAGCTTTCTCCCCATCAATATCTTCACTGTAAAAATAGTATCTCAGCTGGGCGCTGTGGCTCACGCCTGTAATCCCAGCACTTTGGGAGGCTGAGGCGGGCAGATTGCCTGAGGTCAGGAGTTCGAGACCAGCCTGGCTAACATGGTGAAACCCCATCTCTACTAAAAATACAAAAATTAGTCAGGCCTTGTGGCACATGCCTGTGGTCCCAGCTACTCTGGAGGCTGAGGCAGGAAAATCGCTTGAACCCAGGAGACCAAGGTTGCAGTGAGCCAAGACAAGATTGCGCCACTGCACTCCAGCCTGGGTGGTGACAGAGCGAGACTCCAACCCCCCCCAAAAAAAAAAAAAAAGCCAGTATCTCATAAGATGTCTGTAAGAATTAATGTAATATGTGAAAAGCATGTATTACAGCACTACACAAATGTTTGGAACATAAACAAACCACTTCGAGACCTTGCTTCTTTTGTCACATGAGAATATTAACAGCCCCTTCATCATAGGCTTGTTAGAATAAATCAAACAAGATGTTCCATGGAAGAGCCAAGAACATAGTATACATTCAATAAGTTATTATGACTACAACTACAACTACTGCTATTAAAGGCATCTAGAACTCTTCATGGCTGAAAAATAAGCCAGTACAACTAAACACACACACACACACACACACACACACACACACACACACACACACACAGATTTTCTTTTTTCTTTTTTTTTTTTTTGAGACGGAGTCTCATTCTGTCACCCAGGCTGGAGTGCAGTGGCACGATCTCAGCTCAACGCAACCTCTGCCTCCCTGGTTCAAGTGGTTCTCGGTGCCTCAGCCTCCCAAGCAGCTGGGATTACAGGTGCATGTCACCACACCCAACTAATTTTTCTATTTTTTTTCTATTTTTTTTTTTTTTTTTTTAGTAATCATGGGGTTTAACCGTGTTAACCAGGCTGGTCTCCTGACCTCAGGTGATCCACTCGCCTAAGCCTCCCAAAGTGCTGATATTACAGGCGTGAGCCACTGTGCCCAGCCATACCCACAAAGATTTTCATTCTAAAATACCTTACTCTTTCTACAGCCTCAGACCCCATGCTCTACCATTCCGTTGAGCCCCACATAACCTCATGCTAGAGAGAATCTGTACTATGTTCTACCTCACTCACCTGTTCTAGTATTTCAAATACAACAGTCTTTCCCAAACAACAATTGGTGGGAAACAGTTTCAGGTGATCTACACAAGTATTCTTTGCATGTAACAAAACTGTTTACAGGATTTAAAATTTTAATTGTCTCCAGAAAGCAAGGGGGCATTTAAGACCCTAAAAGTAGTTATGCACATTTAGATGAACCTAGCATCCTAAACCAGTAGGAGCACATTAAATATTCATCAAACCAGCAAGACAGTTGTTCACAGGGTTTTTCTCTGCCGCAATGCCCTCTATCACTTCCCACACTCTTAACTGCATCAGAGAATTATCTGAGAGCTGGCCCAACATGGGCAGGGAGACTGAGGGTGAACATCTGAGGAGCCCTCGGGGCACACATTCTTCTTAAAGACTCTTGAGTCATTTTGCTGGTCTTGTTGTCCCTTAAGAATCTCTACTGTGGAAAGCAGCTAACGAGGAGTTATCTGGAAACCTAGATAGGATGAATCTGACTTTTGGTGAGCAAAGGCATCCATTTCTGTTTCAAATAATCTTCAACCTCTATTACAAAAAAGGAACAAATAGAGGCAGTATGTGGAAACTTAGGAAGTTTAATGACAAATCTGGGCTTAAACTGGTGGGTTTTCATTACACCACAAAAATGTACATACCCGTTTTGAATGATCTTCAAAGTGTGAAAGATTATTACATACAAAAGAAAAATTGATCACATCCTGAAAAGAAGGTGGAAAATAAATATTTGCTGAATGGCTCACAGATGGATTGACAAAATGAATGAATGAATGAATGAATGAATGAATGGTCAGGACCACTGCTAAACTACCCTCAAGACAGTAAATCTAAAAATCATCGTTTTCACACACACACACACACACAATCAACTGTAGATACCAGGAAGAAGTTGCCAGAAAACTTGTTATTTGCAGTAAGAATGCGTTATATTGGGGTACAAGCATCTCTTCATCCTGCAAAACCACACGTTTATATCCTAGCAGTTCTACCTCCTGAAAAACTAAGGCTTAACTCATGGTGCTCCCCACTATGTCCTCAAGCACATTTTGAAATAAAAGCCTTTTTTTGAAGACAGGCCTACTAATAAATTTAATTATTTCTGCTATGCCACAACAAATGGAGAGAAAGCGCAGAGCTCAAGATGAACAATAATCTAAACCGTTAGATCTGATTTGTAACCTAATTTTATTCTGGTACTGGCAGAGGAACAAAATAAAACTCAAGCTGTAATAACAGGCAAGGTATGCTGTCAGCACTCTTGAGGGAATTTTTATATTTTAAGCCTGTGGGAATTTGGAAAAGGTCCATGGTACTATTTTTTCCCTTATCTGACTCGCATGGCTGATTACACCTTTAAATTAAGTCTAATAATGCATATTGTCTTTGTTAATCAGGATATGAAAGCTGAAGTTGTGTTTTGTGAAAAAGCAGATCATTTTCCAATATAGAACTCAGGCATGATGGAATGGACACTTCAATGAAATTCAGCTTTGGTCAAATGGAGGGCAAGTTACATGGCCCTAGATGCAACTAATTCATTTCCATCATCACTGTCCATTCTGGCTCTTGTTGGTTTTCTGGCCAAAGAGCAGACATATTAGTCAACTTGTCTGCTGTGTTGGTCAGATTTCTACTGCAACAATACTGTGGGACCAAAAGCAAGAGGGGAAAAAAGGATTTTGGTATTGAACAACAGTAGGCATTTATTTCTTGCTCACTGGTGTTTGGGTACACTGGGTGACTGAGAGTTAAGCAACAGGTTGGGGCCAGGAAGTTCCACCTGTGAATCTAGGACATGCTTTTCTCATGGTACCTAGCAGAACAGAGAGGCCAAGTAAAGTCATGCAAGCACATTCAAGCACTCTATTCATGGGCCTTCCATGACATTCCACTGACCAAAGAGCATCACAAAACCCAGCCCAAAGTTCAGCCAGAAGTGAGATGTCCACAGCAGGCCTAATTGGGAGGCACAGCAGAGTCACAAACTAAAGGGGCTGCTGGGCTATGACAGGGAGAAAGTGTCACATTCGAACAATCATCAGGTCTACCTCACCTGGGCTGCCACATTCACCCTAACCTGCCCTCCTGGTGACAGCCTTGCACTCCCCAACACAGGTAGGCAAGGGGGAACCCTCATTGGCTGGCAGGTAGCCAATCAGATACTCATTCTTACATCATATGATGTCACCTTGATGGTGGAACGCTAAAGTAAAAGCCCACAAAAGCAAATTCAGCTACCCTCATTACAACCCTTCTTAAGGACTGGATTCTCCATTTGTCCCGAATTACTTATAAAAAATGCCTATTCATTCTAATTAGTTTCTTTGGATCTCCATGACTTCTCTGTCAAAGGCCATTGTAGGGACAATTGCATTACACAGACAGAGCTGAGAAGAGAAATCTGTCCAAAAGAGGTAGGAGTTGGGTGGCCAAGAGTAGGGGTGGGTAGCCAGACCTGGGAACTTGTCTTCTAGCTGGGTCTGCATCATAAACACACTGCTGCCTTTATTGAGGTCATATGCCTATGGAGCAGATAAAGAGGTTTAAACAATGCTAAATAAGGTATCCCTTCGCACTGTCGTTGCTTATACAGGGCACCTAAAAAGAAATCATTCCTTTAAGCTTGTTATCTGGTTCTTGTCCATTCCTCTCTCATCCTTCCTTACCTCAGATTCTTAGGGTTTTACTGTCATCTTCCAAATCAATGATTCACTGATCAATACTTTCAGTCCTGCACTCTAATCCTAAATTACTCCTGCCCATGCATCACTTCTTCCTGGATATCCTACCTGCACCCTAAACTCATTTTTGGTCTAGAACTGAATTTGCCAGCTTTCATACAAACCTCTACCCTTTCCTCTATTCTCTGTACCAGTCGTATTGTTCTTATTTTATCCTGCACTCCCTGTAGAGTACACTTTGGCCTCCAACATGCTATTATGCTCACAGTTGCAAGTATCACTGGCTTCCTGGCCACAGACCAAAAGCCATTTAGGCTGTGCAGGCACAGCCCACTTCCAGCTACAGAGGCTCAACAGGCTAAACAGTTTCCCAGCCCCCCATTGCAGCTATAAGGTGGGCATGGCCACAATTCCAAGAACACACCTGAGGTGAAGTATGCAATGGGACTTCTGGGAAAGCTCTGCCTCCCTGATACAGGAGCTGGGGGAAAACTGTTCTGCTTAATCACCTTGAAATCAAGAGAGCACAGAGCTTCAATAGCTGTGCACCCGCTCAAAAAGCTTCCGTGGCTCTCAACTGTCAAGTGAATAAAATCTAAGCTCCTTAGTTCAGGATTCAAATGCCTTAATTATCTGGTCCACATTTATGTTTCAAGTTTATGTCTTTCTATTCCCCTTCATATTAATACAGAATAACTATATTATTTTCTTTTCAAGCTTACAACGTGCCAGATAACCTGCTAGGTACATGACATATAGTATTCACTGTCCACACTGGCCCCTATGTGGTCAGTGTTATAATACTTATTTTACAGAAATTAACAGGATCAGAACTCAAATGTAAGTTTCTCTCCATAAAGCCTCATGTTTTTCAACCCTTATTTCTTGGGTATCTTCTGTGTGTCAGACACTAGTACACCATACCACTTCCTCTTCCAGTTGGATTTTCTATCTGTCCCACTCCTTTAGGGTTATTCTTCTGGGCTCAGCTCAGAAAACTGTTTCATGGGCAATGTCTCCCCTCAAGATGCAGCAAAAAGCCATCAGTGATCACATTTTTCTCTGAAAAAAGAGTGCATCTTTATTTTCTTCTTTTAATCCTTCCTACTTCTAGTATGGTAATATAATTATACCTTACTCCAAATTTGAGGATGCAAGCTCTTGACTAAGGCAAAGTCTGCTGCTTATTCATTTTGTAACTTTCCCCCACTAACCTCCCCCACCGTGATAATAATAAGAAACAACAGTTACTGGGCCTTCACTATGTGGAAGGCAGTGAACTAACACTTTACACATTCTTTTACTTATTCTTATGATAACTCTATGGATTATATTACCCCCATTTTACAAGAAAAGAAAAAAATGTGGCAAAGTTAAGTCATCTGCTCAAGGTCACAAGCCTACTAGATAGCAAAAACAGATTAAATCCAACAGGTTCAGTAGAAATAATTTTTTAAAAATTTTAATGGTATACTACACCTCAGTTTTTATCAACAAAGATACAAAAGGTCTAAACTTTAAAGCACTTGGATCAAAAGGCCCCATTAGGAGTTGACCCAAGTTGTAAAGCCTTTTTTACTGCCAGATTTGAACAACGGGGATGGGTTTAAGAATAACCTTCACTGAGCTTCTCTGGCCAAATTCTGTGTGGGAGGGCAGGAAAGGGAGGAGTTTAATTCAGTATTATCTAGGCCAAGGGATCCGTGCCCAGTGCAACGTATGTGCCAAAGATTTTAGGCCTAAGTTGAAATCTTTGTGCGATTTTGCGAAAGGGATGGTGTGTCCTACATAATTAAATGTGCCTTTAGAGCCAGTATCATATTATGGAATTTGAATGGCTTATATTCAAAGAAATTGATTCCTGCCTGGGAAGGTTATGATGAGGTTGATAACTTCTTTTACGGGTTCCCAAACTGGACCAAGAGCCCACCTACATATGATTTATCTGGGGTGGATGAAAAAAAAATGTATAGATTTCACAGTTAAGGAATAGGGGTGAGTGCCACGTACAAAGTTCACCAGGGGTTTCTGATGAGCTGCAAGATTTGAGAGCCACTGGATTCCAGTTCACTCCACATCTTAACAGCTAACACCTTTGTAACTTCTCCACTTAAAAATAACCAAACAAAAAATCGGAGGGTTTTCTCCTAGTTTCTGGCTTTAGTTTCCAGTAACTGCAATTTTAAAAAGTTCCAGATGATGATTCTTAGGTCTCCTTCAAATGTGGTTACACACACAAAAGGTCCAATCCTAAAGAATCCACTCTCTGGATTTCAGTAATGCCTATTGAGTTTTGTTTGTATAACAATATCAGCTCCGTGCCTGGATAGGATTACACAGAGTCAGGGAGAGCAAGCACGTTCTGAGGAAAGCAGCTTGCCCTTCAATAATCTGATAAACAGGCGTTAACAGAAGCACCACAAGTACTGGATGCCCCGGTCTGCGAGCCTTTGTTGAACCATATGTCAGAGTGCTCCTAGCTCTGCAGAAGATCAAAAATATGGTTGCCCAGTTAAAAGTCATTCTCTGAGCTGCTTTGCAGGAACAAGAGGGAAAGGAAGGGCTTTGCTTATAAGAATGGAATAAATAGTCTCAATATACAATTTGACATCTGAAAGGGCAAAAAAAAATCATCCCAATACGATTCAATAATACATATTTACGTACACACACATACCCTTACATGAACACATTTATGATTCTGTTATCAAGATGGCATTTACACAAGTGTACATATGTGTATATATGTTATTTTCTAGCAGTCTTAGATTATTCCAACAACTTGAATCATTATCAGCTAAAAAATAAAGAAAAATATAAAATTCAGCTAACTACTGGAACTTGCACTGATCAAGACCTCTGTCACCAAATTGACCACAATGTTAAAATACACATCAGCTTCTACATGATGAAAGAGGAATCAAGAGGGAGTAAAAGAACAACGCACAGCTCTCAGGGTCAAAACTAAGTTCTGACAATGTCACTGGCATACCATATACGCTGGCCCAGAGACAGACCGGATGTAAACTTGAGTAATGACAAGTAACTTTAATTAAACTCTCCAACTGCTTATACGTCTGATGAACTTCAAAATGTACTTGCTCATCAAGTTAGGGTCTCTCAGAGTGGTAATCCTTTCTTATCAATCTTTGACAAACTATTAAATTTCCCATTTTTCCCCTGACCAATGGTAGAATGCCCTCTCTCCTTGTGATTTACAAGTCGTCTCAGAAATTAGAAAATGATGTACAGCTAGTGCAATTCATTTTAATAGGAATTTGAATGGCTTCTCTTTCCCTTTTTCGAAATACAATATCCTGAATTGTCCTCTCCGTCCATGTGATAAATCACTTGGGTGCAGAAAATGAAGAATTTTTAAATGGCAAGATAAAAGGCATGATTCTGTATTCTCTGTTTATGAAAGGGCTGCTCTTTGAAGTGACAAAAGCTGTGGTGCTGCTGTGTTTCCACCTGTAAAACTCCTATAAAATTTAATAGAACTTAGAGGGGTACACAAGCCACGGAGTATGAAACCTAATTTCCATCCCAGTTCATTTGATTTCCTAAAATTACATCAACAGCAAAATCAGATAGATTGTAGACACTGGTTTTATGAGGCTTCTAATAGGCAAAACTCTTATTTCAGTATTTAAAGAATAATTACCACTCTGTAATTCAGCCATGGGCCCATCGGAGCCTATTTCTGTCATCTCCTTTCATTTGCCAATAGGTATAACCAACACAGGTTTGCTAACTACCCTATCACATATTTTAGATAATTTAAGAAGAAAAAAAATGATATTCACTAAGATGCAATATAAATCCAGAAGTACAAAAATCACAAGAAAATCCACAAATCAGAAACCAAAAAGACTTAATCATTAAATTCAATTTTCCACTCACTGTATCTAAAATGAGCCACAGACCCGACAGGGCATGTGTATTCAGAACCTGGATAAGGATGATGGTGAAATGAAGTCTTTAACCCATCCATTACAACTACCTTTTGAATCATTCCAGGGAGGCTTTACCTACATGCACTTGTGTAACAGATCTACAGATTCTGTAACTTTAGAAACTCAACTTTCTTTCTCGCCAACACATTATTTCCCACAAGGTTCATTCTAAGATCATTCAATCAAGTCAGGCTTGCTATAATTGGATTCTCCCTCTCCCCCTCCCTCCACTTTAAAAGACCAAAATGATAACACTGAGTTCAGGCTAAAAATGGTATGCAAGTTTTGGAAGAGACCTAGGCACAAAAAATTATATTTAGTATATTCGATGCTTATCAATTCAACAAAAATCAGCTACAAAGGGCCTGTTCCAGAACTTTAGCAATCATCCCACCAAATTAGGTCACCATATACTAAAATCTGACAGAGGTTTGTGCTGTATTTTTCTTAAATGGCAAAGAGAGAATATGATCGAGAGCTTAATAGAAAACACAGCCCACAACATAAGAACAAAAGGTCAAGTCATATTTTGCAAACTCCAAGATTTGTAAATCCATCTCCCTGCCCCACTTCACTAACATCTACCATTCTCAAGAAATCACATTACACTAAAAAAACATGAGTTTTGCTCTAGGTAAGAATGACTAAAGGGAAATCTCCCTTCTGTCCTTCCAATCACACAGTAAATACAGCACAAGATTTAATTGCAGTTTATACCATCATACATCCCAGTGGGGTGGCTCATCTGAGAGCTGAATCAGTGACGCCCTTTAACTTAGACTCCATGACCTTCTGGGTTGTGGTAATTACCCTAACCCAGAAAACAGTCCTCAGAGGGAAATGTCATCAGTGGATAACTTGTGCCATGGGGCACTTTGATTTTTTTTTTTTTTTTTTTTTGTCTTTCCCATTTTCGGGAAGAGTAGGCCTGGGATTTGTTTTAAAAGGTAATTTATTATGAACATACTGCATGGCTTTTGCTTTGGCAGCGTTTTTCTTTTCTTGAAATAAAGAAATAAGGAGAAAGACACATACAGGCCACTGTTTAAGCCTAGAAAACATCCCTTATGGGAGGGTTTCTTAACCTTGGCACTATCAACAATTCAGGACAGAACATTCTTTTGTGGGGACAGTCCAGTGCATTGTAGAATGTTCAGCAGCATCCTTGGCCTCTACCCACTAGAGGCTGGTAGCTCCAAGTCTTGCTGTAACAACCAAAAATGTCTCCAAACATTGCCAAAAGCCCCTTCTGGAGTAAAATAGCCCCAAATTGAGAACCACTGCTTAGGGAGGGGAAAAAAAGAAAAAAAGTTCCCTTAGAATGATGAAGGTCAGCCCTGGCAAGGTCAGAGAAGTGGTGCAGATCCACCCTGCCTCTGGGTTTCAGGCGCCTGTGTCCTCATCACCAGTGAAGCTGGGAGCCACCATAAACAGGAAGTACATCAACAGATCTTCATCTTAAAGGATCTGTCAAACTCTTTGTAATGTGCTATCATAAAACTAAAACTCAAAAGAGGAAAATGCCTGTGTCTGCAAAGGGGGGAAGAGAGCTGGCATTTATACATCAGGAAGGGGAAAAATCCTATGCTTCAAAACTGCTGCACTGGCAAATGCCTGATGCTGTGAGGCCTATTTTTAAAAGGGGGACCGGGGGCACAAAGAAACAGAAACGTGAACTTTTGTTTAATGTTTATAACATCTTCTTTATCTCTTTGACACATCAAGGTAGATTTTATTTTTTTTTTTTTTTTGGAGAGAGAAAGACACAGGAAAAGAAAAAGTAAATCCTACAGTAAAAATAAAGAATAAGCATAGGACCAAGTGAAGTTAACAATCAGCACTTTTATGCTATCCTTAAACAGAAAGACACTGATGAGACAGATCTATGTTAACCCTTTCATACAAAAGGTTGCCGAATACAGTCTACCACAATGTACCATTGGAATAAAGAAGGTTCCGGTTCCATTTGGGGATATAAAAGCAAACCAAGCCTGGCAGCTTGAAAGCTAAGATTTGAGATTACATCCCTTTACAAAGAAATTGGTTACTCAGGTGACAGAGCTCACATCCCAGTAAGGAGGATACAATCTAGTTCTGACTATTAACTCCAGATTGCCCCTCCAAGTCCACATCTTTCCAGTAAGAGAACAAAGGTAGTTCTGGGCAGTCACATCTTTATCCATCAATCTTAAACAACAATGGAGACCTGAGATTAATACTGACTTGGCTCAGGGTAATTAACACTACTCTGCTCCCCTGCTTTTGTGTGAAATATGCTAGAAAACCAATAGAGAGGACTGCAGATGTTTACTTACAGAAAGCCCAAGGGCATTTAAGTGACCAAAGCTTTTTCCCAGGAGCCCTGGAAATTATTTTTCTTTACTACGAACCTGCATTCCACTCTTTCTCCATGAATGAATGTGGTCTTGTTTGATCTAAGCATTTTCCAGAATATCCCTCTGAACCATAAATCAACTCTAAGGGAAAGGTAGTGATTAATACAACAAATGGATCTTGCCATGGTAAATTTTTCATACCTGACAACTATGTCCTAGAGCAAGTATAAAAGACCCTAGCGTTGCAACTTTTAACTATCCAAATACTTGGTAATTATTCTAACAGACCCAGAAGACCCATGACAAATAGGTATTTTTCAATCTCTTGAGGAAGAAATTACTTTTGAGCACCTGAAAGCTAGTATATGGTGGTGTGTCACCCAGTGAGAGAGCCCAGCCAACCACCAGACATTCACATTTCAACATTGTTTTATTGTAAAAGTGCAACATTCAGGAAGCAACAACAACAACAAAAATCCTTTGGGGGAAAAAATAACTCATCAAGTATGCAGTAAAACGTGAACATAAGTTGAAATAGTACTGTGGGTTGCAGTGTGCTTAGCAGAATGTTTGAGGCATTACATGTTGTCCATGTTGGACAACATGGACAACATGAACCATGTTGTCCAAAACAATGGCTACCAGGCACATATGGCCAATTAAGCAATTGCAATGTCCCTTAGTAAGAAATGGGATGGGCTTACAGAGTATAATACACATCAGATTTCAAAGACTTCGCAGGAAAAAAAAGAATGTAAAATATTTCACTAATAATTTTTTTTATCGATTGCAGGTTGAAATGATGCTATTGCAGAGATAATGGGTTGAATAAAATAAACAACTAAATGTAATTTAATTTCACCTTTTTCTTTTTACTTTTTTAGTATGACCACTAGAAAATTTTAAATTACATGTGTGACTGGCATTGATGGCTCACAGATTTCTACTCACAGCAAATTTTCTGTAAGTGCCTGACAGGAAATATTTTAGGCTCTGGCTCTGTCTATGGTGCTAAAGCACCCATGGATAATATGTAAACAAATGAATGTGGCTATGTTCCAATATTAGTTCATCAGACAGCTGAATTTGGCCTGTGTGCCCTAGTTTGCCTACCCAGGGTCTAGAACATTAACAGTTCCCTATAAAGAAGAAGATGAACCTACCAGGTGCCTGTGATCTGAATTTGGCCAGCAAATGTGTTTTTGCATCCAGCGTGGGTTTTGCACAGATCTGAACTTGAATTACCTTTATACTGGGCATGGGTATTCCAGGTCCTCACAGTCCCCATGACTCCTGAAATCTAACTGGCCTTCTCATAATGGCCATGTGCACAAGCACTCCTGCTGCAGAGCTGGTGTCATACAAAGAGGCTCTCCACAGAGACAGACAGTCAGAAAGTCAGAAAATGTGCATTTCTACCCAGGACTGATAAATGGTCCAAACCAAATCAATTTTGAGAATGAAAGAATGGACATAATTAACAATTATATCTGGATAATAGGCTCCAATGAGAATGCATACAGTTATCCTAATGATGAAGCAAACTAGGCCTGCAAGAAGAATACTGGCCAACTTTACCTAAGAAACCGGCATAACTGTTTGACAACACTTCCCCTGTAGCACATTGTATTAATGTTAAACAAACCTTTCCTCTAACATATCTAACAGGGCCAGAATCCCTTGATGTCTACATACTGAACACTGTGCAACCAGCATTCATTTCATCTTCTCTTTGGCCAGCTTCTCAAGCTCTATTTTGCCATCTCTGGAAAATAATGCTGGTTCTCGTCTCAGTGGTCACACCTTCCCTATTCAAATCATGAACTGGTGATTTTTAAAAGTTCCACCCAAACTGGCAATGACTACACCAGGGCTCATTCTCCTACTCCTCCTACTTTTGTATATTACTGATAATTTCCATTTTTAAAAATTGATTTAAGGTCCTAAACAGACTGTAGGGTAGGGTGCAGCATGTATCTTGGTGCTAAGATAACCAGCTGCACAAATAATGGAGCTAGTTAGGATGCAACTGACATGACCTGAAACACTGAGTCTTTTTTTTTTTTTTTTGAGATGGAGTCTTGCTCTGTTGGCCAGGCTGGAGTGCAATGGTGCAATCTCAGCTCACTGCAACCTCCACATCCCGGGTTCAAGTGATTCTCCTGCCTCAGCCTCCTGAGTAGCTGGGACTACAGGCGCACGCCACCACGGCCAGCTAATTTTGTGTGTGTGTATTTTTAGTAGAGCCGGAGTTTCACCATGTTGGCCAGGCGGGTCTCAAACTCCTGGCATCCGGCCCTCTGGGCCTTCTGAGAAAGTTCTTCCAAACATTCCCTGCTGTGGACAGTGAACAGCCCACCATAATGCAGAGCCAGAATTAGGATAATGCTAACAATATGGATGGCAGAGCCCAGAAACAGAGAGAAACAGTCCCTAACCGTCTTGAGAAGCGGAACCCAACCCTCACTGAGGCCAACACAGACGTTATTCTTTTCCATTTTTTCCATTATGACACAAGCCGACTTGAGTTTCTGTTGTTGCACTCCACATAGGTTATTGCTGTAGACATCACCCTCATCTTCTCCTCCCCTTTCTTCCCCCCTCCACCCCTCTTCTATGTATGTGTGTAAAAAAAATTATATTTATGTAGTCCCAGCTACTTGGGGGCTGAAGTGGGAGGATTACTTGAGCCCTAGAGGTTGAGGCTGCAATGAGCCATGATCGCACCACTGCTCTCCAGCCTGGGTGACAGAGCAAGACTGTCTCAAAAAAAAAAAAAAAAATTACACACACACATATGCGTGTGCGCACACCACCCTCCCCAGTGGTCTGTACCTGGAGAGCACCTGAGGGCGTCTGTGTGCATAGACCACTGGGGGGTAATCATGAAAATATGTGTGCTTTTGAAGCTAAATTAAGCAGTCAGAAGCCATTTCCCACCTCACAAGCACTCCCCTGGGCTGCCAGTGCATCTGTTTTGCAGAAGCAGCTGGTGACACACTTTTTACCTTACCAGGAAGTCACTTCCCAGAGGGAAGCTACGGCAGGCGGTGCCAGGGCAGGGGCTTCACCAGAGAGCACTGCAAAGCTTCAGCAGATTTCTGCTTCCTTCCACCTTTCTTCTTCCTTAAAGGTACTGTGCAGAGTTCTGGCCGGACATGGTGGCTCACGTCTGTAATCCCAGCACTTTGGGAGGCTGACGGCGGGTGGATCACCTGAGGTCCAGAGTTCGAGACCAGCCTGACAAACATGGCGAAACCCTATCTCTACTAAAAGTACAAAAATTAGCTGGGCGTGGTGGCGGGTGCCTGTAATCCCAGCTACTCGGGAGGCTGAGGCAGGAGAATCACTTGAACCCAGGAGGCAGAGGTTGCAGTAAGCCGAGATCATGCCACTGCACTCCAGCCTGGGCAACAAGAACAAAAAAAAAAAAACAGAGTACCGTGCACAGTTCTGTCCCCACCACGGAACACCCTTCTTTCTCCACACCTATTACCTCAGGAAACATGACTTTCTTCACCCAACTTGAAACACTAATCCTGAGAAATCAGACTAGGGATTGTGCCAACCTCATACGGAAGTCTCTGGCATGGAGGTAACTTGGACGCCATCAAGAACTAGCAACAATCTCTAACCCAGCCAAGGCACCGAGAAGCCTCCTTGGGAAACTCTCCAAGTTCTTGTACCTACTAAACTTCAAGTAAAAACTCTTTATCCTCTACTAGTGCTCAGGGTATTTTTGACCCAAAGAATTTTTTTTGTGTTTTCTGTCTTTATTTTTGAAATTGGAGCTGTAATAACATGTCACCTGTCTTCAACTCACCTGGAAAACCTACCACCTTCTAGAACACTGGCTCTATGAAAAAACATACCAAATCAGCTTAAAACCAGTAATATATCTGTCACCATCCTACCCTCCCACCCCACAACGAGCTGATGGACACAGTCACACAATATTTATTCAGTAATTACAATTTTCCAGGCACTGGTCTAAGCATTGTACCACAGAGTCTTTATTTTTCACTCTATTTCCATTGTTAGATCCATATGATAGATGAAGAAAGTGAGGCAGAGAGAGTTTAAATTACCTTCCAGGTACACAGCTAGGAAGTTAGCAGGGTTGGAATTCACACCCACCCTAGTCTGGCTTTAGTGTCCATACTCTTAACTGTGATAGTACAGCATCTTCCAAATTCAGAATTCAACCCCTTGAACAATAAAATAAATACACTTACTGTTCTGGGGAAAAATGTTATGTCCACACTCTCAAGGGGTTAGTGAATAACTCCCACCTCCTAAAGTGTGAGCTGCACATAGTGACTTTGTTACAAGGAGTACAGTATGGTGGGGGGCAAACTTACAGTGGAGAAATCTAACAAATACCAACTCAGTCCAGGAGATCAAGGTCATAAATTGTGTTGAAAACAAGTACCTTTGATAGGTTGTGATCAAAATGGCACTTTACCTGTGTTATCTTCTACCCCAAAACCTATAAGCCCCATGTAATTATGAGGAAAACTTTAGGTAAATCCAAATTGAAGGACATTCTATGAAATATGTGACCAGTACTCAACATTGCCAAGGTCATTAAGAACAAGGAAAGTCTGAGAAACTGTCGCAGTCCAGCAGAACCTAAAGAGACATGATGACTAGATGCAATGTGGCATCCTGTATGGGATCTTGGAACAGAAAAGACATTAGGTAGAAATAAGGCCATCTGAATAGCCAAGGTTTCTGGTTCTAGTAATGACGAGAACTCTACTCAGGAAGGGAAGGCTGGCTTTGTACTGCACAGATTAAGTATGAACTTTAATCAAAATGTATTAATTTTGGTTCTTTACTGGTGATAAATGTACCAACCTAATGTAAATGGTTAACAATAGAAAAAACTGGATTTGGGGTATATGGGAACTCTTTATTTTCATAATAGAATTTCATACTACTATTGGAAAGACAGTTTATTCCTGTAAGAGATAATTCATGCAATTATCATAATAGTATTTCATAACACTATTATGAAAATAGTAGAGTTCTATAAATCAAAAACTATTTTAAAATAAAAAAAAATTTTTAATGTTTATGTCCCTAACAGGTGGAGAGAAGGTGAAAAAGACCAAGAAACCCTCAAGGTTTCAGGTTCTAGTAATGACGAGAACTCTGCTCAGGAACGGAAGGCTGGCTCTGTACCGCACAGCTCTACCCCATCAACAGGAGGCCAAAGACTCACCATGCCTCTGGTCTGTTCCACTGACCTTCCTTTTCTACTTGCTGCTTATCCACAAAAGCAGAACATTTCATTCACTAGTCAAGCCCTTGTCTCCGACTCTTGAGTTATCAGATGGGCTGTTGTTGAGCCAACTTTTATTGGAAGATGCTACAGATGAAAAGACAAGACCTTCACTAAGGGTCCCTTCCAAAGGTAAAAGTGAAAAGATTCAAAATAACTCAAAGGGTTTAAAAAAAAAAAAAAAAAAACCAGCAGCAACAACAACAGCACTTTGAATGCCTGATGAGGTGGTAAAGAACAGACTCTTTAAAATGCAAAGTGACTGTGAAAAAATTTTTATTCCTTTCAGGGAAATGTTTTGGATATAAGTCTCAGAGGAAGCATAGTGAGTTGGCAAGTGATTCTGATAAACATTACACTGATAAAGTAATTTCATGCCTGATATTACTGTCCATACCCTAAAAGCCCTTCTTAACCTACCAAAAGAATTAACTAGTTGTCATTTACTGTCACATACGGGATTTTGGTGGGAACCTACATAGTGGTGAAGTGTGTGTTGGGGAAGGGATCCTAACATGCTGAGTTGGTATTTTAGCATTTATAGCTACAGTTGTATCTATTTTCTTTCCACAATCATCTGAAGTGTTTATTTCCTATATCACAGCTAATAAACTCTTTAAAAGCTCCCCATGATACTGGGCAGGGTTAATCTTTGTGGAAAGAGAGTTTATTCCTATAAGAGATAATTTATGCAATTGTCTGTATTAAAATGCAGACGAGCATTTTAAGAATGAAGAAAAAATTATTCAACCATAACTGTCTCAACAGTATTACTACATGCTTGGATTCAGCAGGCAGACTCAAGTATCTCTCTGCCTTCTTTAATTTTATGCTGGGAAGAATAGTCCATTGACCTGGTTTTTTAAAAATTTCATCCTCATCCTTCTTGTTTTTTTCATTTTTTTCTCCTTCTCTCCCACTCTTTTCGTCCCTCCTTCATCTTTCCTTCTTTTTGACATTAAAAATTAGAGTTGAGGATCAGGTAACCCAGGAGGGGAAACTGAGGGCACTGTCAAGTCTCCTTCTCCACACCACACTCCGGGCAGTCAGCATGATCTAACACCAGCATACAAACTCAGGACTTGGCTTTACAACTCTACTCAAGCACAGAGCTCTCATGAGCTACTGGTAATCAGTGGCACTAGATGGAAAACCTAGTTTCATACCTGAAAAACCAAAAATCTTGATTTACAAAGGAAGGCGGGAGGTGGGGGGGTGGGGGGGGGTGTGGAGATAAATGACTCCAGGCTAGTGACAACACCAAACCTGAAAGAACCCAGCCTCCCTGTTCTTCTCACACCTGTGAGCCTTCCTTTCACATAGTGATGTTTGTATCAACATTTTTTTCTTAGTTATTACGGAAAAAGGTTACTAACATTTAGTATACACCTAAGACCAATGCGGCTCCCATAATTACCTTATTTCATGAAGTCAGACACCAATGATTTTAAGACTCAGCCCAATCTCAGTGATGTTCAAATATGGGGGAAAAAAATCCAACAATTTTCAAACATTATTCAATGAAAAGTATATTCCGATTTCAGAGATATTAAAATGTGAAGAAGAAATTTCTGCATCAGTGAGATCTGTTAAATGGTTTAATCCTTAAGGGGAGCTAGAACACAGTAAGCATCATTTCTGTATTTCACAGATGATGGAAACCTGGCTCAAAGAGCTCATGATGAATATCTTAGCTCCTGGGAAGAATACGAACATTTCTGTGCCGGCTGGCCTCTAACAACCTCGCAAAACCAGGAGCTGCTCTACGTTTTCCTACAGTCCCTCACTTGATTTCTTATTTCCAAATATATAAAGCTGAATCCAACAACTAACCCTTCACCCGGGAGAAAACAGATGAACACAATGGTTTCATGAAAACATATGGATTAAGCCAACAGCTGGCATTCAGCCTCTAAAAATTTTGGAGTGGTTAGTATGTGCCACCACCAGGTCTTGGGTTAAGCCAGAAAAGAGAGTGAAGAGAGAAACAAAATCTTGCCTTGTGTCTGGTAAGACAGACAAAAACAATAAAGTTAACAGCAACAATATAAACATATTAAGGGGCAAACGACCTCTGTAGAGGCCACACTTAAGAATCAACACAAAATCTATGACCTAAAAAGTCAGAAGGATTCATCCACAAAAGGAAGCAGAGAGAATCCTGCACACAAGGGCAAAGGTGCGGGCAACAAACACAAAGGGGCAACCCCCTCCCCACCATGCTATCCTATGACCTTGCCACAATGGTCAACTTGCACACAAAGCACCACAGAGCGTCATGCAGACTTTGTCCTTCCTAGGCAGCTGCTGTCTCAAGGAACCAAGTTCTGCCCACTCAGGCTCTGGAGCTGGCAGCTATCAGCTCTCCTGGCTCCTGAGTGCTCTTTAATCACTCCAGGAGTCACAGCCGTTATTTATTACATTCCTTTTTGGTTTTGAGTCATGTAAGAGGAAAACATATCAATAATCTTTGCTGCAGGGCAAGTTTCTACAATCTCCTTTTCTATCTCTGCAGCCAAGATTAAGGGGGATGCTCAGGAAACCTAACGAGTTATCTGCGTGTGGACTAATGGATTAACACCACCTACCATCAGCCTCCTGGGTGATCTGTCTCTTTAATCTTGCTCAATAGATAACATTTGGGAAAAGCTCCCTTGACTCCTAGAGACACTATTTTCTGTTATAAGCTATGAGGACGTCCCCTCTGGTCATCAAATTTAATGGGATGATTATTAAAGGGAATTTGCTAATATTAATGCCCACTTTCAACTTGAGGGCCTGAGCTACAAATTTCTCCCTGCTTTGGCTGGTGGGGAACAGGCCAAGGACAAAATCTGAATAAAGTTAAAGAGGTATCTGCTGCTGTTCAATTATTTAATATATCATGTAAGGCAAAGGTAGTGATGCACTATCCACCCAAAGATATGATTACACTCAAAGCCATACGAACTTTTACTATGCAAAGGCCACTTTGTAATGGGGGTGGGGAGACACAGTATATACAAAGTTCTAAAGTACTAGTAATCAATAGCCTTAAAAATAATAAAAATAGCCGGTATATACTAAGCACTTATGCCAACCAGGCATCTATATTTTCTCATTTAATCTCTCAACACTGTGAAGGTAGATACTATTCCCACTTTTTTTTTTTTTTTTTTTTTTTTTTTTGAGACGGAGTCTTGCTCTGTCACCCAGGCTGGAGTGCAGTGGCACGATCTCGGCTCACTGCAACCTCTGCTTCCCAGATTCAAGTGATTCTCCTGTCTCGGCCTCCTCAATAGCTGGGATTACAGGTACCTACCACCATGCCCGGCTAATTTTTGTATTTTTAGTAGAGATGGGGTTTCACCATGTTTGTCAGGCTGGTCTTGAACTGACCTCAGATGATCCGCCCGCCTCAGCCTCCCAAAGTGCTGGGATTATAGGTGTGAGCCATCATGCCCGGCCTATTCCCGCCTACTTTTTACAGATTAAAAAAGTAAGATTTAGTGAGGTTACTACTTCTTGACCTTCACCAGCCTGTGCTCTTAAGCCCTATACCACAATGAAGAAATGCAATACAGTGGTCAAGCACATGAGCAATAGACTCAGATCACCATGACTGAAATCCCAGCCCCACTACTTATTAGTTGTATGACCTTAGAAAAGCTACTTATTCTAAGCCTCAGTTCCCTCATCTGTAAAATGGGATACTAAAAGGGATTAACAGATAAGGCTGGCAGGAGGATTAAATGAGACACTTGACACTGTGTCAGGAATATATTAAGTATGCAATGAACGCTGATCATTGATACTGCTGCTTCTGTTGCTACTACTAGTAACAGTGAGGTCACTTTCCTAGTTGACTCTACACCACCACCAACTTAGTATTCATTTATTTTAACCACTCATATTATGACTAAATAAGTCCAAATACCATCATCAATATAATATGAACCAGAAGTTATAGAGTATAAAACACACCTAAATTCCTTTCTCATTCTCAGGTGGGAGACCGACTCTATCCACAGGTAAGTTCCCAAAGTTGAAGACCAATTCAGGGAATAAAAACACCAGCTTTCAAACGAAAATCTTCATTATAACCTGATGAATTTACTCATTTTTCAGAATACACAACCTGTAGATTATGGTTAAAATGCATAAGGGAATGTTCCATGTTTTAAAGATGTTTGCATATTCAACTTGTAAGCAGCAATCTGCTCTGGTGTAAGCAAAGCATGCTATCACTGACGTCTTATATTTCAATTTTCTTTACACCAAAACAACAAAATATTTAAACAGTTAACATCTGCTCAAAGACCTAAGAGATGAAAGACTTCGGAAGGCATGGGCGGTATGTTGACTACTGAAAAAGTCAAATTACATAGGGACCAGATTTTTGAAAGCCTGACCTATTGTGTCAGAAAAGGAGAGCCAAATGCCAGAAAATATATGGAGGGAAAACCAAAACCATAAACAATCTGAGAATATTTAAATGAACAGATGGCAATAGAAAAATAAAGACAAGAAGAATTTTTTAAATAATAGTAATTCTAACACATCCTTAAGAAAAAGATACCCCCCACACACAAGTCCATAATAATTATACAAATTCTATTCTGATTTTTTTTTAAAGTAAAATGGAGATGGGGGTGGAAAACAAGGAAAGTAATGGGAAAGACAGAATTTAGATAAAAGCATTCATGCAAAATGGCCTTCTGTGCTCAAGTCAAGGCAGTTGGGCAAACGAAACAGAAAAGTTCGCCTTTCTCCAACACTAAGCAGATACTCCAAAATCTGTGACATTAACTTCCAGGGATGTCACTTCCTCTACAGCAAAATCACTTTGCTCCAACAAGGTGTTTGGTGGAAACAACTTCAACATGCCATGGAAGAACTTCAGGCTAGTTCTAATTTAATAATCAAAAAGATGTTTATTTCTGTATGGCAGGGAGAAACAGAGAACAGATGATTCTCACAGTGTCATTTTCACCACCTAGCCAAACTTGGAATTAACTTTGGTCCTTTTAGCTCAAGGAAACTGGCAAGGGGTGGAGACAGTGGCCAGAAAAAAAACAACAACAAGTAGACAGCATCCAGAAAGCTGTACTGGACTGGACTTCTGCCAATTTGCAAGTTAAGGTCTTGGCTGGTAAGAATAGCTTGTTATTATTATTTTTTTATCAATAGCTTTTTGTGTCCCTTTCCCCATTGTATTGCTTATTTTTTGATAGAAAAGAACATAAATGTAAGTCAAATAAATAAAATAAGGAATTGACTCAAATAATTAAAAAGTTTAAGGTACAAAGCTCCAGATACAGCTGGTTCAGGTATCATCATAGCTCTGGTTCTCTTTCTACCTTCTAGGCCAGGAAGTTGCCATCACAAAGCCAAAAATGCAGCATATTCTTCTTTGGATGAGAAACACATCCAAAAGAAGATAAATTCTGTTTGGGAGGGGACTAGCAAACTCAGAAAAGATGCTCATTAGCCTTGCTTTGAGACACATAACCAGTCTTGAAACCACCACTTTGGCTAGGTACACCACAAGCCCAGGTGACATATCCATTCAAGTGAAAGAGACTGGGCTGGGTAAGTGGTCCACTCCCATTCTGGTCACGGTGACAGACAGCCATAGTAGAACTGTGAGAAGCAGGGACAGACAGGAAGCGACAGGCTGGACCAATAAAGAGACAAATCCTGACATGCATCCAATATTCACAATCATTCACTGAACCTTGGAGACCTTTCCTCCACTTGTTTATATTTCCTATCTTATATTTCTTGTGCCACTCTCAAAGCCTTTCTATTTACAGGCTCATGCCTGTAATCCCAGCACTTTGGAAGGCCGAAGTGGCCAGATCATGAGGACAGGAGATCAAGATCATCCTGGCCAACATGGTGAAACCCCAACTCCACTGAAATACAAAAAGTTAGCCAGGCGTGGTGGCACGTGCCTGTAGTCCTAGTTACTTGGGAGGCTGAGGCAAGGGAATCGCTTGAACCCAGGAGGCGGAGGTTGCAGTGAGCCGAGATCACGCCACTGCACTCCAGCCTGGCAATCGAGCGAGACTCCATCTCAAAGAAAGAAAGAAAGAAAGAAAGAAAGAAAGAAAGAAAGAAAGAAAGAAAGAAAGAAAGAAAGAAAGAAAGAAAGAAAACCCACAAAAAAGTTATGTTTTCCATGGGAAACAGAACTAAGAAAAATGTGACATAGCACACCTGAGATATGAACCCAAATTCCTGAATTCATTGGTGGAATGGGCCAAGAACTGAGAAGAATGTGGCATAGCCCAACGTGGGCCCACTAAGTGTAGGCTCAACGGAGAAGTAAAGCCATTTAGGAGGCCAAGGAGGGAAAACTGCTTGAGCCCAGGAGTTTTGACACCAGCCTGGACAACATAGTGAGTCCCTATCTCTACAAAAAACTTAAAAATATTAGCTGGGCATGGTGGCGCACACCTGCAGTCCCAGCTACGGAGGGGTGACGGGGGTGGGTGCCTGTGGAGCTGAGGTGGGAGGATCACTTAAGCCCAGGAGGTCAAGGCTGCAGTGAGTTGTGATGGCACCACTGCACTCAGCCTGGGTGACAGAATAAGAACTGGTCCTTCCCCCACCCCCAACTCCCCGCCTCAAGAAAGAAGTAAAGACATAAAGTCATGTGCCTGCCAGAGTCCCCTTTGGTGACACTACACCAACTACAAGATTACAGATCTCTCATCTTCCGTGCTCCCCTAAAAACTCCTACACTCTGAGGTCACAGCAACCCAAGCAAAAAGGGGAGCTCTAACAAGTGAGGCATTCCAGTGTCTAGAACTAAAGATTCTACAGGAAGATGCATTAAACATGTACTTTTCTGCCTTCCATTTCTCTTAAAACTCTGCACATCATTAACAAAATCTAAAAAGTGAGATAAAAATAAATTCACTAATAAACGATACCTCTGAAGGCAAGAAAGGACCTTAAACAACATCCGAACTAGCACAGACACTTGTAGTTTATAGATGTCATTGAATAAATATTATAAGTTTATTAGAAACAGGCCGGGCCTGATGGCTTATGCCTGTAATCCCAGCACTCTGGGAAGCCGAGATGGGCGGATCACCTGAGGTCAGGAGTTTGAGACCAGCCTGGCCAACATGGTGAAACCCCATCTCTACTGAAAATATAAACATTAGCCAGGCGTGGTGGCACATGTCTGTAATTCCAGCTACTCAGGAGGCTGAGGCAGGAGAATCGCTTGAACCTGGGAGGCAGAGGTTGCAGTTACCCGAGATAGCACCACTGCACTCCAGCCTGGGCAACAGAGCAAGACTCCCTCTCAAAAAAAGTAAGTAAATAAATTTATTAGAAATACAGCATCTGAAACAGTTACAAATACGTACCCAACTCTTGCCTCAAACAGGTTATCTAAGTAAAAGAATCATTTTGGTTCCTAAAGTCACTTGGTAAGTTTGACTCAAAGGCTGGAACAGCATGCCTCAAGAAACCGTTGCAACAGAAACTTATTTCCCAGACTCTGTGGGAGTAAGCCTAAATGACAAATCTAAGAAACAATACATTGTAAATACCTGAGATAAATGCTGACTTTGTTTTTCCAGCCCACTAAGAAAGGACAGTTTCTTGCTTCTCAAAACTATTCTCAAAGCTTCAGCTCTAATAGCTTAGGATCAATTATACATAAAAACAGGTGCAGAAGTCAAGTCAAATAATAAAAATTATACCATACTTCTTCCCTGTTTCATTAATAATTTAGCAACACGGCAACCATTGATTAGACTATTGTTTTAAACTGTTAACCGACATCTTTACCTTAACCACAGTAAAAGGAAAAAGGAGGTGCTGACTGATAATTCATTTTAATTACAAATATCCTTGCTAACATACAACAGATCAAAAACTCAGATTTTATATATACTTTAATCTTATTGATATTCAAAAAAGTATCAACAAATCAATCCTTGTACCTACCTATGTCAGAGATGAATGACTTATTCGACATATTTTCCTAGATGAAATAATTAAATCACAAAGTGAATAACTGAATTTCAGGAAAAATTACCAAACCAAAAAAAAAAAAAAATCACAGAAGTCAAAGAATTTCTGAAATGAAAGGGATTCTGAGACTGAGAATTTCTCTTGTAATGTTTCAGTGAAGCTATTTGTGAAACCAAGGGTAAAGTAAATAGCTATAAAGTTCTGCTTTAGTACTTCCTCATGTGTATACATAGGGAAAGTATACATCTATAAACTTATACACAAACTTAGCCAAGAAGCAAAACACATCAGCAGCAACTCTGCTTTCCATGGTTCTTTTTCTAACTCCAAAAGCTCTAGTACACTCACTATTGATGTTTTCAGTAAAATAGAACATGGTCTGAGTTTTGTTATGAACTTTGATTTTAATCCAAACCACTGGACTAAAACATTTTTGTTCAATTCCAAGTTTGTAATAAATAGATGCCCAAGATAGTGATGAAGACAAGATGGTGTTCCCGAAGTACTCTGTGCTTAAGGAAGGGACAGACGGAGAAGAGAAGGCAACAACTCGAATGGTTCACCACCCCAGCAAGTCCAGCAACATTAGGGGACAAAGATTTTCTAAATTAACAGAAAAACCATCTAGCCTCAGGGTTCCTCCAGTACAAGTGTGAAATGGAGAGAGGGCAACCACCCTCTGTACTCCACTGCCCATGACAGACACGGCTAAGTGATCACACCAGTCTACTCCACTGAGCTAGGTACAGCCTGTGAACTCTGCAACACAGGGAGAAACCACCCACTGGAATAAGCACATCAGCTGAATCCCACGGCCATGCCGACCCTGATGGTACCAGGAAACAGCTGCTGAAAATGAAGCACTAAATCATGTGATGCACAAGATCTCAACCAGGACAGGATATGCCAGTTATGGAAATTCACTCCATGCACAAAATTTACTGTCCCCAGATTAGAGGACTAGGTTTTAGGCATTATTTTTTATCTCACCTCACTTACAACAGAAGCCTCAAATAACAATCAACTCGTGAAACAAAGTACCTCCAAAGCAGTAAGTTATCATTACCTGTGAATAAACTTCCATTACCATATACAAACACTTAGGGTTTCAGAACTCTTCATCCTTTTCAAATAAAATACTTACTTAAATACAGACACATTGATCTTTAGATATATCAGGTCATGGAAAGAAAGGAACACTATCCATATAAAGTACTGAATGCAAAGTACTGAAAAGTCCCATGAGGGAGGAATACGTTATTTTTGTCCTCATTGTTCCAGCAACACTTTATGCTGCACTACTGTAGCAATTATAACACTATATTTACACTTACCCATCTGTGTGTTGGTCTATTCAACTAGTATGAATTTCTGTAAGGGCAAGAAGTATGTCTTAATCATCTCTGTATTATAAGAAACTAGAGGCTAGGCACAGTAGCTCATGCCTGTAATCCTAACACTTTGAGAGGCTGAGGCTGGAGGATCACTTGAGATCAGGACCAAGAGTCTGAGACCAGCCTGGGCAACACAGGGAGACCCCGTCTCTACAAAAAATTTTAAAAAATGAGCCAGGCATTGTGGCATGCACTCATTGTTCCTGCTACTCAAGAGGTTGAGATGGGAGGATCACCTGAGCCCGAGACATCAAGGCTACAGTGAGCTGAGATCCTGCTACTGCATTCCAGTGTGGGTGACAGAGTGAGAGCCTTCAAATAAAGAAAAAGAAAAAAAGAAAAGAAAAGGAGGAAAGAAGAGAAAAGAAACTAGACATACCAGCGCTCAGTAATGATTGTTAAATTAAATGTAAGAAAAAAGTATTAAGACACAGCACCTAAACATGAGAAAAGACATGCAAAATAACAGAGAGCAGCAACAATGACTAAGTCCCAAAGTGAGAATTTGTCAGCCAAGGTAGGGAGCCAGTCTTGGCAAGAGGAGCCTTCATCTAGAAAAGGGTTCAGCAAACTAGGACCAAATCCAGCCCTCTGTTATTTCTAAATAAAGTTTTATTGGTACTCAAAAGTGACCACTTGTTAAGGTATGGTCTATGGTTGCTTTCATGTAGCAGAGCTGAACAGCTACAACGAAAACTATACAACTCACAAAGCCAAAAATATTAACCATGTGTCTCTTTATAGGACAAAAATATCTGCAACCTCTGGTCTAGAACAAACTGTAGCTAGAACTCCAGTGATCTGTGAACTTGCATTGAAAAAGAAACAATCTTTATTTTCAACAATCTCAAACTGGTTGCTGAATTCAGCATTTAGCAATTCCTTCAATTTACCAATGTAGGAAAATCCACAGTACTATTAGCAATATTTGAGAATTTGTCATTGTGAGAAATCACTCACATTACAGTTGCTGCAGGTATCTCAAAATGTCACAGGCATTCATGACAACTTTAATATTATGATAGTTGTTATACGTGCTAGTAGATCTTGTAATGTGTTAATAAAATGTTCACGCATTGCCAATCACAAATTTTAATATTTTGATAACTCAATAAAATTAGTTCCCTCTGTAACCCTGTGTACTCTGGTTGAGAAGTGAAACATATTTATTATACATCTAATAGTCCTAGGCACCTGATCATCTTCCAAATACCCAGAAATGAAAAGTGAATCTCTGCTTTGATACTTAGAAGACGCCATGCAGCACACGTTGATGCTGAAAACCAGTCTCAACCATGGGAGTAAATCACTTTTAAACTGGGAAAAGGAAAGAAGTTGGCCGTGTGTCCTTTGAGGACAGGTAGACACAAGCAGCAGGAGCCTCTCTAACTGGGAGCTACTGTCAAACTGGGAACATTTTGAATACTGCTACAAATCCTTTATTTTCCTCAGACAAACTCACAAGTTTGTCTGAGATAGCGGGAGCCATCTTCAAGAAAAAAAGACACCACTGGAGACGATATCCTTGAGGGAATAAATGGCCTAATTTCAGGAATTTTAACAGGACTCCACTGGGTAACGAGGGGTATCACTAAAGCCGTCATGTTCACAAATGTCTACCTAAGAAGGTAATTCCCGTAATAAACGGAAACTGTTTTACAGCCCATCAAGTCAATAAATCGGCCTTTTAAGAAGTTTTTAAGAACAGATTGACTTTAACAACTCCACAGGAACCACTGTGATATAATTGTGTCCATCATACCAAAATTAAAGGCTTCCAATAAGGAATGAACATTAAGGTCTGGGGTCAGTGATCAAGCATTTATGGGCTTCCCAGAAGGACCTAATAAAGCGGACTATGGTGATTCAGTAACTGTACTGTCCCGCATTACTTAGGGGCTCTTTACTTCACAGATCACTGAAAAGCGAAACTAATGATACCACTCGGAATATTTACCATTTCAGATGCCAATGAGATAACCCATCCACTAAAACTAAGCATAGCAAAGTTTTTCAAACAGAGGCAATGTGATGCTACCAAAGTTGCCTTAGATTCATTCAGGGAAAAGGCAGGAAAGGAAGTAACAGCATAAATTAAATAATTCCTGCTATGGAGTTTCTCTTGTTTCCGGATTCTTTCCAGAGTAATTATCCTTAATCATTTACAGGAAATACAAACGAACATTAAAAGGCCATCAGGAATTATTCATCACCATAATTCCTTCTTTATCAATCACTTTATTTGGGGTTAGGACGGAGAGAAGAACAGACACATCTTTCAACTCAACGAAATATTAATATTTGCTTCTTAGGTTAAATAACTTTTTTTTTTGGCACACAAAGGATTCAGCTTTGGGGAAAATATAAGCGATTCTTTTAGCCTACGTTATGAGGAGCTTTTAAAGAAGGATACCAGATCACCAACTATTTCCCCTTTCAGGATATATGTTAAAAACCAAAACTGTGTTTTGCTTAGAAAAACTAGCATTGACACATGGGAGATCATGGTGATAATTAAGAAAGAATTCAAAAGACATCTATTTTCTCTTTGTCTTTAAGCAGTTATGGTGCGTAAGGCTTCTATTTCCAGTGGGACATTTCAAAGACACAATGCTAATTTTCCTCAAATTTAGCATATTCTAAATCTACATGATGTAATCAGAGAATGATCATTTAAAGACATATTAGTTTCAAAACTTGATAGACATATGTCATTTCTGGCGTCTTAAAAACATCATGAGACATAAGTATAAAAATAGAAGCACAAAGGTAAAAGTAGGTCTTTTCTCCAAAAATAATACTCCTGCCTGTTTCTGACACTATCAATGATACATACCCAGTCTGGGGGTGGATTTCTTTCCTCTTTTCTAACTCTTCGCTACGTTGACTCTCCAACCACCCTTGAATTCCTATAATAGTTACGATAACCAGCCTGGCTCTTTAAAAATTTTTGTTAAGGCCCTTGAAAGATAAAGAACCATAACTAGCGACCAACTGATGAAATAACTCATGAGGCTCAAGGTATCAAGTCAAGCCACGGCCAAATACAGTACTAAGTCAAGTTTATTCGTATCATGTGCTTCCCATGCCATGAAGTAAGGCCAAGCCACAATCTATGTCCTTTACTCAGATTAAAAGCTAGGAATAATCAAAGAAGAAGAATAAAATGAATTTTTTAGAAGCTAAAGTGTCCATTGGCCAATGCAAATTGCCCTCTTTTAATTTCTGAACAACCACCATAACAGGCACATCTGACACTACCTACTCTACCCTCCAAAGATTATGGGGGAAAATATGTTTGTTTGTCTTTATTTCCATAGTAAATGATGAGAAAAAGGCCAGAGGCACGTATAACTTGGGAAACCTACACATGATGTTCATTTAAGGTGGCTTTTATTTATAAGTCTAATTAGTAGTTGTCGCTTCCTGTTTAGAGAGGGGACTACAGAAAAAGTGTGACTGGGGAGAAGGGATGGTTACTGACAGGCCCAGGGAAGTATAGGAATCCAAGGAAAAGAACAAACAGGAGAGAAGTGGCCCTACTTCCCTAAGCTAAGTGTGTATGTGTCTGTGTATTGGAGGCATGTGTGTAAGGCAGGCTGTTCATTAGTGTATTATCATCATGACCCTACCTATATGTTCAACCCTGCTCAGGTAACTGCTTATGAGTTCTCTATTGTTGTCAATGTGTATCTGTATATAAAGATTTTATACTGTATTTCTAAGAAGATTCTAAGAACATGAGGACCCTCATGCTTTCAATTCGACACAGAATATTTTATATTTCCTATTTTATTTTCTCCTGAACAACATCTGTTTATCAAGTGGGCACTATCATTTGAAGCCAGGTCTACGGCAGCAGAATAGAGCAAGACTGATGCAAAATATAAAGCTAATGTGACACCCCAAAAATCTGCTTTTACCAGAAGCATGCAGCTAATGAAGATCTAAGGATTTGGGAAGGTCTTTAATTAGCCTGAATTATCTAGATAATTACATTGATTTTTGCTAAAGTCAATTCATTCTTAATTGGTGATGCTAATTATATAAATATATCTCTCTTCTACAATGTTCTAGATTTTTCAAACCAAACAGTTTTCGGTTTAATTTTTCTAGATAGGTGCTAAATTGCACGTTTCATTTTACATTTGTATAAACAAATCCCTAGTGTGGACATGACCTTAAAAAGTATGTATATCTCCTGAATTGTCCTCCCCCTAAGAGCATCATTCTAAAAACCAAATACGGCAGAGGTTAATGTGCAGAACCTATACTTAATTCACAAACGTGGCTTGGAAAAATGGTTAGCAGTTGCCTGTTAGAAGCACAGCCACGGAAATTTCTGTAGCATTTCTGCATGTAATTAGCCTCTTTTTTCCCTTAGCTATTTATAAATGCATAAATATACCTGTGCTCTACGTAATGATGACAGACAGTGACAACATATTGATATACAGTGCCACTTCGTACTTGGAAATGAATATTTCATTAGCTGAGTTATCACTGCTGGGTTACGACCTTCAACTCTCTAATTTTAAATTCATCCGTTTTCAGACTATTAAGCTGTTCTTGAGCACACCACAGAAATTACAGACGGAGAGGTAAATTTTCAAGATAATTTTTAATTTCAAAAAAGGTCAAGGATATGCATACTAAATTCTTTAAAAGAATTGTAATTCATAATGAGAGCAAATGGGTCATTTTGGTTGGTAACGATATTTGCTTCTACATGTAAAAATGGAAAGGCAGAAGAAATAGATCATGATCACTTAATGAAATTATCAAGCTCCTAATCTACCAGCGTTATGCATACCCAACTTAAAGAACAACTATGCAGATGATCAGCTAACTAGATCTGGCTTAAGTCTTGTGGAAGCTTAAAGTGAAACACAGATGTCAGCTGCTAACTTACCCTCAACATCCTCAACCACAGTCCGTACTCATTCCAGGAATAAACTCTATGATTCATTTGACTCACTCACACAAACTCTCTCCCCCACCCAATTAGGTTAAAACTATGTCTTTATAGAATCAAAAATATTTACATATTATGGTGTGCATTAAGAAATAAGTATCTGAAAAAAATGAAGGAAGGGAAAATCATTAGTTAAATGACGGCTGCTTCTCGCTCAATCCAACATCACCTAACCCCGTCCCCCAACCCCACTGCCACTCAGCATGTAGCCTTGCCCTTCAGATCAGCTGCTGGGAATAGGATGGCAGGCTCCTGTGAGTGTGGCCCCGCTGACATCACCAATTATTCACCTCCTTCCAAATTCTGCAGCAGTTTCTGGCTCACCCACTGCTCTTAGGTCCACAGTGTAGTTTTCACCATTCCTAGCCTTCTCTATGCAGGTTCCTCTTGGTTTTTCAGCTTCTTTAATATTGGTGTTTCTCAGGGGATATTGCTCTATAATTTTCCTTCAGTCATCTAAGCTAATCCCAAACCTCTGACCCCATCCCATGCTCAGGTTCAAATGCCCAATGGCCAGATGAACTTTTCCAACAGTACATCCAGCTAGCACCTCCAATTAACTCAGTCAATCACTGCACAGATCCCTGTCATGTCTCCACTTTAGAGTCCAAAACTTGGCATGAAGGCTCTCCACGACAAGGCCCCGATATGCAACCCAAGTTCATCTGTCTCCAGTGCCTGCCTTCACATTCCTTCCAGGGCTTAGGACCTCACTGTGGCCCTCCACCCAGCATGAGCTATGCTAGTCCTGGCTTCCACCCCTTGTTCATACTTTCTCTACTGCACCAAACATGCTGCTGCCAGCTCCCCACTCCCACCCCAACTCAACGTCAATCTCAACCCGCAGCACACACCATCTCAACCCTCCTCAACCACAGCACACATATCACCCAGACACACAGACATCTTCCCTGTCCACCAAGCCACACCCTAGGACACATTATAGCTGGTTCCTATAGCAACCAATGCATTTCTGCATTATTGTAGTTATCACATGGTGATACTGTGTGAACTGGCATCTATATCTACTCAACCCTAAATACAATGAACACTCTTTAAGTATTTTAGTTCCTAGGAATGCTTGGCATGAAGCAGATAATCAATAAATACACTTTTTTCTTTTGACACGGGTCTCACTCTGTCACCCAGGTTGGAGTGCAGTGGTGCAAACACAGCTCATTGCTGCCTCAACCTCCTGGGCTCAAGCAATCCTCCCACCGCAGCCTCCCAATTAGCTAGGACTATAGGCACATGCTACCATGTCCAACTAATTTTTATTTTTAGTGGAGACAGGGTCTTGCCATGTTGAAATATATTTTAAAAAGTGAATTACAAATGGAATACTCAACCAAACTGAGCTGGGTGTGCTGGCTCATGCCTGTAATCCCAGTATTTTAGGAGGCTGAGGCAGGAGGATTGCTTGAGGCAAGGAGTTTTAGACCAGCCTGGACAACATAGTGAGTCCCCATCTCTTAAAAAAAATTTGTTTTAATTAGCCAGGTATGGTTGTACACACCTGTAGTCCCAATTACTTAGGAGGCTAAGGCAGGAGGATCACTTGAGCCCAGGAGTTTGAGGCTTCAGTAAGCTATGACTGTACCACTGCACTCCAACCTGGGCAACAGAATGAGACCCTAGCTCTATTTAAAAAACAAAACAAAACAAAACAAAACACGATACTCATCCAGACTCAAGCAATTATTACCATGAATGAAAGAGCATATCATAACCTTCAGCTTAAAACGAAGGGTTCTAAAATGCGCCAGGTCAACTAGGTTAAACATTCGTCTTCAGTTTTCTCTTTCAGCCCTTGTTTCATCAGAGCACTCTGCCTCAATTAACAAAATCAATTACTCTTGTCCTTAAAACTTCACAGTTTCTGGCTCACCTAGCACTTTTGTTTAGCTGTACACCAGACGTCTTTATACACATGACATTTTAAAATCAAAGATTAGTGAAATTATATGTCCAATGTCTGTCTTTCATACCAAGTTTTGTGAAGGCAGGGTTCATCAGCCTGGCTGATGGTTCACACTCAATTTACTGACCGATTTAACACACGACTAAATTGATGAATAAAGCATTGTCTTCATCTATTATTAAATTAGCACTGATTGGTTTGTCAAATTAGCCAAGTGATACCTTGGAAAATAAACAACATCTGACATTGAGGAGACAGTAGAAGAGATAACTACACTAGAGTAAGCTCATCTTTAAGCAAGTTTAATGCAAGCCAAAGGAAGATGGAAATATAAAGTACCTTGCCCCTTGGCCTTAAAGGTCTCAAAGTCACAGTGGAGCTCAACAGTGGTGTTTCCCAATATTTTAAAGTAGCTGCACAAAATAACAACCCACAAAGTATCTCCACTTAGATCTGGGGATTATACCCATTCAATGAGGTTGCAATGGTCATGTCCTGCTGAGCTGAAGCTATGACAGATTTAAATCATGTTTATTAACAAAAGATCGGTGGGAGGTTGAGGAAAGAGAATTGCTTGAGCCCAGGAGTTCAAGACCACCCTGGGAAACATAGTAGTATCCCATCTCTACCATAAAAAAAAAAAAAAAAAACTGGGCATGGTGGTGCATGCCTGGGGTCCCAGCTACTTGGGAGGCTGAGGCAGGAGGATCGCTCGAGCCTGGGAGGCTGAGGCTACAGTGAGCTATGATCTCGCCACTGCACTCCAGCCTACATAAGAGAGTAAGACCCTATCTCAAAAAAAAGAGAAATTAATAAATTCTGTTAATTTAGTAATCAACATCTCATAATAATTCAATTGAAAAATCAACTGTCTACATTCAGAGCTGAATAGTATTATCATACTGATAAAAGCAAAATATTTGTTGACCAAATCAGAGAATCAGAGACAAATCTGGTTTGCCTGTGATTTTGCCTCATGTAGGAAACTCATGATAGATTAAGCATTCTCAAATTTTTATTCAGTGGAGAGGTCAGGATGTAGGAAGTGATGATATGTATCCCAAATTCACTGATCCACACAAAACAGAGTATTCCTCATTAGTTTCAAAAAATATATTAAATTATAAATAATAATCAAAGGACAGTTGTCAAACTTAAATTATGTTTTTTCTCTTTTATATCTAGAAAAACAGACTAAATGCTCATATACCTAGTCATCCCTCAACGTTTTATCTGAAAAGCACACACAACTAAACCTATTTTATGTGAAACACTCGGCAAATTCTATTTCATTGGCTCTTCTACTCCTAAAGGTTTATGAACTTTTTTAATGCAGGTGGAAAGATGGGAATCAATATTAAATTTCCCAATAGATTCAGCCCCAAGGCATCTTTCCTCCTACAGAGGCCATCACTGAGGCTATCCTATCCAACTCCTTTTAATATATCCATGTGTTGCCTCAATTTTTGGCAGATACTCTCAAGTCATGTGAAATTAGCTAAGATAACTAAAGAGACCCAAGTCAAATACTCTAAGAGCTACATAATTACCAAAATTCCTCCCCATTCCCTCTGGAGGCCTGTTGTAGGAGAGCTCTAAGCTAATCATGTTTTTGTTAGCAAAATCCCATTAACTTATAATATCACGCCATCAAGTACATCGCCCTCAAAAGCAAAGAATATGGACATAGGCACACATTTTAATTTCATGGACATTTTATCTTCCTATTTAAAGCTCATTGGCAGGAGTGCCTAAGAATTAAGTTTTTCAAATGGTTAATGAACTGAAAACAAATTCTTAGATCATGGATGCAAATACAACTGTCTCATGGGGTGTGGCAGATCATATAAATGGCTAAGTTCACAATATCACTCATCAGTAGGGACTGACTAGGAAGAGACACTGCTGTCAGGGAAGAATGCAGGCTCCCTGTTGCCCAACTGCCTGACTTTACTGTTTCAATTCAGAATGTGTGCACTGTGATTTAAGGAAGATATTAATACTGACCTTTTAAATTAAAATCCCCAATTTTTAAATATTGGGAACGAATCCAAGGATGTTAAAAACACTGGGTGAACAAATACAATATTCACAGACTAAATACAGCCCAAATCAGAGACAAATCCAGTTTTCCTGTGATTTAGTCACAAGCAGGAAACTCATAATGCTTCATTAAGCATTCTTGTAATTTCTTCCTGGGGGCCTAAGTGGCTGCCTGCCCCCCACTCAAGTTTCTGGTATTTTCCAGCTTCAAAAAGTGATCCCTCCCATGAAACAACAAAACAAAGTCTGATTGTCATTACCCAGAGCTGCTGATTAAATGACTAATTTCAAGTAACTTGTCATCACTTGATTAAACTTTATATAGTAACGCTGACTTTGTCTTATTCAGAGAAACACATTTGGGTTTCATATGTGACTTCCACGTCTGGCAATGAAGCTTTTTGGCCATTAACTTCTTACATCAACTTTTCTTAAGGTAGTGTGTCTTAGTCTGGCTTTCCCAGGAAACAGGTCCCAAGACAAAGATTGAGGTACCAATACTTTCTTTGGGAGGTGACCCAGGAAACAATAGAGGAGTAGGGAACAAGATAAGGGAAGGTAATATCTAACTCTGATCAATTATCGCCTCAGAGCTGCTCGCTATCGGACATGGATTCCCCCAGCCCTTCTGGATGGCAACATGTCATCTGTGGCCCCATAGAGCCCTTGGGGAAAGAGTTGCAAGTGCCAGCAGGAGGACAGCAGGTCAGCATGCAAAAAATAAAAATATAAGTGCTTGAAAATAAGAAAATGTGGGTGGGATATTAACAGCATCTATGCAACATAAACTTCTTGGAATACTCCACTGATTACTAAACAAGAGCTAAAATATGAAAATTTAAGAAGCTAATCTTCCTAAAGCTGAAAGGTTTGGTAGGATATCTACCCTCTGAGGTGGAACATGCCTACCTAAAATGCCTAAAGGACCATTCACATAACCTACATCCCTCCATCTTCACTGACTGGAGGACTGCAAAAAAAGGCTCACCTTAGGGAGATATTTTAGCCCTATCTCCCCGGGGTCAAGTCATCTGTGATGTACAGTGCCAGGCACCAAGCCTGCAGCTCCCAACACTGCCACGTGTCATTAGGAAGGCAATTAGAAGCAATCACACTCTTCCAGCCAATTACTGCCACTCATAGGGGGGCTTACTCTTAAAATTAGACTTGGGAGTCAAAACCTACTTGTATAGCATTATATCTTCCACTTTTTCCTCCCCGAGGATTCATCTGATGTTTCCCCAGTTTGCTCAGCTTCAAGCACTCTCAGGAGAATGTACAACTCTGTGCAGCTTCTTAATGCATTTTAATCTATGGCCAAAATGAGGTATCTCAAAAGAGCAACATGACTGACCATGAGAAGTGTTCAGTAACTTCAAAGGTAAACTAAAATTTTGCAAACTTCCCTCCCTTAGAACGTGTGTGTGTGTCTGTGTGTGTGTAAATCCTCCTGAAATGATTATTTTTCATCATCCTTAGGATTTTATTGTCTTTAATGCATCCTACATGACTCTGCAGGATCCAGCTCCTTCCTTCCTCCTTCCCTCCCTCTCAGACCTCATTGTCACACTATTCCTCTCTCTCTCACTTTGCTTTGCTTCCAGGGTCTGCACTCAGATGCTAGAACAAACCATGTGCTTTTCCCACCACGTGGTCCTGATACTTGTTGGTCCCTCTGCCTGGAATTCTTTCCCTGACTCATCACATGACTGGGAGACCTTCCCCTCACCATTGCCTAAAATCAATCCTGCTGCTGTTATCTATCTGAGATCCTTCACTCCTTCAAGGCTACAGTAGGTCAGTACTATCTATTGATGTGTTCACTAGTTTCTCACCTGACAGGCCAACTAAGATGGGTCTCAGGATAGTAGCAGGGACCAAGTTGAGGCAGGAGAATAGGGTCTGGGGGCAGGGAACCTAAGGCTGATTCACACTGACTTCCTAGAACAAAATCAAAAGAAAAACCCCAACGTTCCGGGCCTAAGTAACAAGAGGACCAGAAGCTACTCCCTTTGCAAACCCACCCCCATCCCAAGTTTTCTGCATAGCAGATGGAAAATTGAAAGTATCTCTGATTAGTTGCTTTTCCCCACCCAATCAGACGTTTGCATAGGAGTGCAGCTTTGTAACTTCAGTTCAGCCTCTGATTGTGGGCCACTACTTCATTTACATGGCGTGAACACCAAGTGGCCAATAAGAAACCTCTAGGGGGCATGTGGATCCCATGAGATTCTATAACAGGAGCCCTTGAGCCCCTGCCGCTCCCACCCTGTAAAGTATACTTTCATTTTCAATAAATCTCAGCTTTCATTCCTTCGTTCTTTTCCTCACTTTTCTGAGCGTTTTGTCCAATTCTTTGATCAAAACACCAAGAACCTGGATAACTTGCAGTTGAGACCCTCTACCAATAACAAAATGGGTTACAACCTCCAGTGGAGCCACAGTGCTTGGCATGGGGCAGGCCTCCAAGTATCCTGTTACATGAATGAATGAATGAGTGAATGGCACGTATTGTACTAGGCACTGAAGAACCAACTATAAGCTAAATACACTTGGTATCTGAAACTCTGGAAATTTAACAATGTCAGGGCTTAGAGTCAAATAAATGGACAAAGTAATAGGACTTCACTCTGTCTTTTATTATGGGAGACTTTCTTCAGAATAAAAATATGGTGAACAGATGATGTGATTACCCTCTGCCATGTTTCACGTTATCTAGAAACAGATCAACCACAAATGGCCTCCCCACTGAGGGCCCATAAAATATGTTCTTGTCACGTAATCCTCCTGTGTGATACCCTCCTTGACCTCTTTAAAAGTCTTCCCGGATTTCCACGGTTTTGGCTGAAAATGATCCCTGGCTTTACACCACTCTTTTCTAAATGTCTCCGATTCCCTGCTAACCCTAACAGCACTGCATTTACTGTCCTGTGTTAATGAATGATAGGATCCTGTTGATCTCTCTGCAGTACCGTGACAGTTGTCTCAGTCCTGGAATTAACCAATGCATCTTGGTATTCCCAGGGCCTAGAAAATGTATTGCCACCTAATAGGTGCTTAATAAAGATTGCTGAAATGAAAGAGGAAAAGATCAAGATTGAAAGCTTATTTCTCTGCCTTTGCTGTACAATATGGTAGCCACTAGCCACATGTGGCTATTTAAATTTAAATTTAATTTAATTCAAAATTCAGTTCCTCAGCCATACTGGCAATATTTCAAGTGCTCCATGGTCACATGTGGCAAGTAGCTGCTGTGTTAGACAGCACAGCATAGAACATTGCCATCATTGTAGAAACTTCTGTTGGACAGCACTTGTATGGATCTTTAAAAAATAAAGCTACCGAGTAAAATTTTATTAGGTATTGACTAAGAGAAATGTCATTTCTGATATTCCAGAGACACACAATTCAACGAAATGCTTCAAATATTTATTTGAGAACTTCATATGCAGTACTGATCTAGGCCCAGGAAAGATTCAAAGAGGAATGAGACTTGAACCTCGACCCCCACAAATTTCACAAACCAGTATGCAAAGAAAACATACCAGTCAATAGTTAGCTACAGTTCAGTGCAGAAATAGTAAGTAAAGTTATACAGGCGTGCAATAATTAATTCAAATTAAGGGGTGGAGCAAAATAAAAAATCTGGCAACACTTAGGCAAAGAAGTAGTTTTTAAGTTACTCTTAAAGACAGGGAGGACTTTAATACACAAGAAGAAGCACAGTTACACACAATTACAGAATGTGTGCAAATTAGCATTCAGATGGAGAATGTTCAAGAATGACAAGACAGACCGTGGCAAAATATAAGGCTACAGATAATTGCAAGCAGAGAGCATTAAGAACCCAGATGTTCCAGTTAAAAGGATAGAATTTCTTGTGTAGTAAACTAGGTGCCGCCCTAATAAGTTCTAGGACAGAAAGTACTTTCCCAGTTCACTATGGATGTACTTTCTCCTCTGAAATTTTCTGAGGCTGGGGAACTGGTCTGACCAAGAGAAAATAATTAACAACAGACACAAACGGGTTCTTACCATAAGCATAAAGTGACACCTGGGATTTCAAAGAGTGTTTCGCACAGCAGGGGAAAGCGCCTGTGTTGATTTTAATCTATGCGATACAACTAATTTTTTTATTCCAATAAAAATGAGAACTTGGGGTCAAAAAAATCATCTAACCTTTAAGGAAGTAAGTCAAGCTCATAGGTCTCACTCACCCAAAGAAATAAACTGACCAAAGACTTCTGGATTGGCCAGCAGTTCCATTCCCTTAGCAAACAGTATTCTTTACGCTCCCACTCACTCTTGATGCTAACATTCTAGATACAAACCTGGAGATGTGGGAGGGGTCAGACCAACCTGACCAATGCAATGACTTATACCAGAACCTTGAATTCTTTTTTTTTTTAATTTTATTATTATTATACTTTAAGTTTTAGGGTACATGTGCACAACGAGCAGGTTTGTTACATATGCATACATGTGCCATGTTGGTGTGCTGCACCCATTAACTCGTCATTTAGCATTAGTTATATCTCCTAATGCTATCCCTCCCCCCTCCCCCTACCCCACAACAGCCCCCGGTGTATGATGTTCCCCTTCCTGTGTCCAAGTGTTCTCATTGTTCAATTCCCACCTATAAGTGAGAACATGCAGTGTTTGGTTTTTTGTCCTTGCGATAGTTTGCTGAGAATGATGGTTTCCGGCTTCATCCATGTCCCTACAAAGGACATGAACTCATGGTTTTTTATGGCTGCATCGTATTCCATGGTGTATATGTGCCACATTTTCTTAATCCAGTCTATCATTGTTGGACATTTGGGTTGCAGAACCTTGATTTCTTAGCCAAGACCTTTGGTGTTTGTTTTACATGGAAACAAACTATTTACATGAAGCTATTTCTAGGATTGTTGAGCATTTCCTAAGACTCAGTTTGTCTTTTAATATCGACTAAATTATCAAAAAGAAGATTTCCATTATGAGGTTAGCATTTCTCCCGTAACATTATTTTAATACGATTAAAAACATCTGCCCATATTCAGGAACCAAAGCAGGCCATGTTGCATTGCAAGCTTTGCTACATACAGTCTTGCAAGCTTAAAATTACTGAAAGGATTTTATTTAAGGGGCCTGGTGCAGTGCCTCATGCCTATAATCCCAGCACTTTGGGAGGCCAAAGTGGGCAGATGACTTGAGGTCAGGAGTTCGAGACCAGCCTGGCCACCATGGTGAAACCCCATCTCAACTAAAAATACAAAAAGTATCCCGGTGTGGTGGCAAATGCCTGTAATCCCAGCTGCTCAGGAGAGCAAGGCAGGAGAATCAATTGAACCTGGGAGGCAGAGGTTGCAGCGAGCCAAGATTGTGCCGCTGCACTCCAGTCTGGGAGACAGAGTAAGACTCTGTCTCAACAACAACAACAACAATTTTCTTTAAGGGATAAAATGTCACACACCATCACATACGAGTCAAAAAAATTAACTGGGGTTGGGAAGGAGGTCACCTGTTGGGAATTCAGAAGTATGGAAGGCACAGAGAAAGAGGTGCAACTTGAAGTGGATACAGTGGGCATTACAAAAGAATACATTCTCCACTTTGGGAAAAGGTCAAACACAGTCCAATCTCTGGGTCACTCAGTCGTCCATTCCCATCTTGTTTTAACTAATAACCTTTTCAAGGCTGTGTTTTCTTAACAACCCGAGAAGCTGCTCAATAGCCATATGTGGATGAGGAATGAAGCAGAGACACCGGTAGGCAAGCATCCTTCACTCCCTGCTGCCTGCATGCACTAATCCATGCAACATTCCTCTCAAGTCGATTATATTGATGCTAATTATAAAACAATAATTTTAACTTTGAAATCTCCCAAGAGAGTGTGCAAGACACATCCAGCCTTTTAAACAGAAAACAAACTGGAACAGACTTGAAATTTGCATCCAACTGAAGTTGCCAGAGTCTTTGTGGCCTTCTTGTCCTCTGGTGCTACTCTGGTTAGGCTGCAATTGATCTCACTGCATTTGTAAACTATTTGGACTCTTATGCAACAGTTCCAGTACCAACTCTCACATTTCGTATATATAAGACAGCCAAATTTTCAAGTGCCAGCAAGCAAACTCCAAATGGGGTACTTATATTCATGCAATCGTCTGCAAAAATGATTAGCTGAATGCATATAAATGAATAACTACTACTCCTGGTCCCAGGCACACATTCCCGGTGTGCTGGCCAGAGTAGCATGAATGTCTCCCATTCTGGGAACCCCTCAGTCATCAAACTCATCTGCACTTTGTACTTGAGAATTAACTCGATTTTTGACAAAATCTTTCTTCAATGTCATGCTTTGCTGTGTTCTATGCGGTCAACTTTGGGAAAGGACTGTAGTCTCTTAGATACTCTCTAAGCCTGGAATGAATGAAAAAGTCTGGGCTGGCACAGTGGCTCACACCTGTTATCCTAGCACTTTGGGAGGCTGAGGCGGTTGGATCACCCAAGGTCAGGAGTTTCAGACCAACCTGGCCAATGTGGTGAAACCCCATCTCTATTAAAAACACAAAAATTAGCCACGCGTGGTGGTGCACGCCTGTAATCCCAGCTAGTTGGGAGGCTGAGGCAGGAGAATTGCTTGAACACGGGGGACGGAGGTTGTGGTGAGCCAAGATCACACCACTGTACTCCAGCCTGGGTGACAGAGTAAGACTCTGTCTCAAAAAAAAAAAAAGTCAATGGGGGAGAAGGTTTTAACTTTTTTATTTACATGACAATTTTTTTTCCCTAAGCATACACAGCATCCTAGGCTCTTTTTTGAGATCTCAGGATACAGCAGTGAGCTTTGGACAAGTTCTTTATGAACCTCAATTTTCACAGCTATATAATAACAGCAGTAATCATACTCTCCTCTTAGGACTGATAGGAGGAATTAAAAGACATTACTAACCTAAAACACTTTTACACAAAAGAAATGCTCAATACATTATTATTTATCCAATAACCATGTCCAATCCCAAAAGTCTTTTATTTTGGCCACATGTATCGATCTTCCAAATCCACAGCATCCCTGAAAGTTTTCACCACTTCTTTCTATCAAATTGGAATCTTTTATTATTATTACATTGCTACCAATGGTCTGTAGTTAGGCGTTTATCTTTCCTCTTCCTCTTCAGCTCAAGCAACAGATCACTTTTATTTCTCAAATATTCTACCTGGTAAAATTTCATCTTCTAAATTTCTAATTAGTAATTAACTATCATTGTATGGTCTTTGTCACTTTTTTTCTGAACAATTTCCACCTGACTGCATCAATAACACACTCTTCCAAATAATTTATTGCATACATTCAACCCCTCTGCAAACCTACCACCACCCTACCCTACACCAGCCGATAACACACATATTTCCTAAGATAGACACCTGCATGTTTTGTTTTAAGTTCAGCAAACCAACATCTAATGTTTCAAATGTTATCTTGTCTTTCTTGCTTTTCAAATGTTGCCTCTAAAAGCAATTCCTTCATTGTTGATCAATTCACTTATTTTCAGTCTATATTATTATGGAGTTCCACTCATTTCTCCCATTCGTTGTGGTAGAAATAATCAAATCTGAAAATCCCCATACTGAAGGACACGGGAAAAAGTTACAGCATATTCTCTGATCTAGCAACCCTATTTTTGACCATCTCTCCTACAAAAATAAACGCACCAGCACATGAGGATAGATACTGCAGTGCTTTGGTAGTGTGAAAAAGCTTGATACAAAGTGAATGTCCATCATGAAGGAAATGTTTGAATAACATATGGTCTATCTACACTGCAGAACAGATGCAGTTATTTTTAAAAACATGGATTTTTATGTATTGACTCAGATGGATATCTACTCTACATTGTGAAGAGAATGATGTCACCAAAGGCAAATGCTTAAAAAAAGAAAAGAGTGTATGTACAAAGATTATAATCATGATCTCAGGAAAGTAGGCTTGGGGGAAAGGAATAGCAGGTTACATTATTCATTTTTCCACTGATTGATCAGCTATAATAAGAAAATCAATATTAATATTTTATACTTTATAAAATATAAAAATATTAATGATACAAAAATTAGACATTACGGAAAAGGAGTAATGTGAATGAGCAGGTTGATTTGTAACACATTTTGATAATCCTATACACACATCACCATGATTGGCAGCAACAAAGGCCAATCATTCCTAAATTCCTCATTCAACACTAAACGAGTGCTTCACAGATTCTGGTAGACAAAGTAGTCTCCAAGAACATATTTTACACCTCCCTGCTTAACGCCCTCCCTCAACTGTATAATTTCCCAGGAAGTCCTGAGTTTGTCCCTGGTTGGCCCCGATGGGAATTGGCAAAGAAGGAACATGAAGATGATTCAGAGATCATCACAATATTCATTCATTCTTTTTTTTTTTTTTTTTTTTTTTTTAGACAGAGTCTTACTCTGTCACCCAGGCTGGAGTGCAGAGGCATCGTCTCGGCTCACTGCACCCTCCGCCTCTCAGGTTCAAGTGATTCTCCTGCCTCAGCCTCCTGAGTAGCTGGGATTACATGCGCCTACCACCATGCCTGGTTAATTTTTGTATTTTTAGTAGAGACAGGTTTTCACCATGTTGGCCAGGCTGGTCTCGAAATCCTGACCTCAGGTGACCCGCCACCTCAGCCTCCCAAAGTGGTGGGATTATAGGTGTGAGCCACTGTGCCCAGCCTGGTCATCACAATTTTCATATCTGCTCACCAAAGCCTACTATGGTTCAGGAAAGAAAAAGGATGAGAGGAGATATATTTTTAAATTGTTCCAAACAAACACAGTTCACATAGGAACACATTAAGCCAAGGTAGGAAATAAGAGTTGCATAGTTACAATAATTATTTTTGGTTCAGATTTCTATCTCATCTCCAAAGTAATTTAACTGCAAAACACAAGTTAGAAGGGATGCCAAAGATTTCAAATAAAAAGTCTAGGCATTTGATGATCTTAAGTGACTGAACACATAGAAGTCATATGTCATGGTCAGCTTGTATGGTCTAAATGAAACTCAAAGAAACACTGAAATATAAAATTAGTATGCCTTTTGACTTACATAGAAAGTTTTTTTTTTTTAGATGAAAGTAAAGGACAAAAAGATAAAGCTCTCAACCCCCTGTTTTCTGCAACCCCCCGTTTCTCTCCTCTTTGGTGCCAGAGCAAACTTGAGCTGAACATAGAGTAAGAAACTTGGCAGATTTTCTGACCTACACACAACTCTATGGGAACTAAAAGCTTCATTACCAAAAAGTGTCAAAGATCCATTAGAATGCATCTTATTTTTTCTGTTCTGATTTTTTTGAAGACATTGTTCTGCATAAAAAAGGCAAAAATCTACCTTCTTTTCATTGAGCTCAACTCTCCTCACCTTGCGGACCACTCCAAGTACAAAAGATGAATAGAAGGAGAAATAAAGGAGGCCAAGGCAAATGGTGAGATGTAGCTGTCTTGGGAGGGAAACAAGAGCCAGAAGAAAGGATAACTCTATCTCTAGTGAAAGGTAAAGAAGGAAGGGAGAAAAATCCCACCAGAAAGAATTAAGAAGTCCAAGACACAGGAGAGCTAGAACAGAAAAAGAAAGAGCACCCTTGTCCGTGTCAAGGAAAAAGCATTCCTTGGCAGGCAAAAATAAAATAAAACAGCTTGCTGTCTGTCCCCAAATTAAAAAACCCAACTTTTAATTGTATTAAAATATGAATTTGAAAGTAAAAATAACAGCTATTAAATTAAAATCCTAGATAAAATTCTAACCCAGATAAATGCAATTTCCATTTTTAAGAGTCAGTCTCAAATCAAAGATCATTTAAATTATTTATGAAGCTACTTCCACAGAAACTAGACATAATCCAAATGAAACTAGATTAAATGCAGGAAGAAAAAAGTATATGCAAAGTTGAGAAAAATTATTTAAGTAATTAGTCCTACCACCACACAAATATATATACACTTGTGTATATATTAAGTTGGTGCAAAAGATTGCAATTACTTTTGCACCAACGTATGTATATTCAGCAGTTTAACATATTCAAATAATTAACATTATGACCTTGTCTAATGTTTTGACTTAACCTGGGCAACAACTTTAGCTCTTCACGTGAGGAAATATAACATGAAGCTCTGTCAACTATCATCCTGTTAAGGTAGCCAGTGTCTAAAAATGAACCCAATCATTCATCCCTAAATTATTCATTCACATTAAACAATGAATTGCACAAATTGAGGACCAACATATACCCCATTAACTAAGCAACTCCTGGCTGTCATTTTCAATCTGAGCTACAATCAACACCACCCAGGCTTTCCATGGCAGATATAGCACGAATCCAAGGGAAATAAAATCCATCTCACCACATTTAACAATTGGTAAGGAACACTTAAAATCCGCCCACTTTGCAATAAGGAAACTTCTGGAATTGGCTAAATAAGCTTATCAGGTCAAAAATCACAGCCACCTTTACCATGTAATAATTCTATACTCTTCCATACTATTACTATTTATTATTATTTCTTGCACGTTCTACAGCAGAGGGTTCTCTACCAAAAAGGAGTCTGCCCCTGACTCCCCAGGGGATAGGTGGGAACATCTGAAAACACTTCTGATTGTCTAATTGGGGAATGTGCTACTCTTTACAGTCAGAAAAAAACAAAAGGACAGTTCAAGAATCACATCACCATATTCACCATATTTTATTCTCTCCCCATACTCTCTACGCCCAGTTTTTTTCCTCTTCTCTCTTAAAATTTAATTTCCAAATGTAATATTCTTTGGTACCCTCACTGCTGAAGTTCAATCATGTGTGCTCTGGCTTGACTAAAATCTTCAATTCCTTATTACTGAAAATTCAGTTCTTGGGGGGTTTAATCCTTTCACCAAACCATTAGTGGGCATCTAAGTGTGGTGTCACACATTTATAATCCCACCACTTTGCAAGGCTAAGCTGGGAGGATCGCTTAAGGCCAGGAATTCGAGGCCAGCCTGGGCAACACAGTGAGACTCCATCTCTATGAAAAAGAACAAATTAGCCAGGCGTGGTGGCACACACCTGTAGTCTCAGCTACTCAGGAAGCTGAGGTGGAACAATCACGAGCCCAGGAGGTCAAGGCTTTAGTGGGCTATGACTGGGCCAAAGTATACTGCACTCCAGCCTGGGCGACAGAGTAAAACCCTATATGGAAACAAAAACAAAAAAAACAAACATTTGTGGGTGACAATTCTATTAATCCCAAATTCAGTGAAAGAAAACCATCCCACACTCCCATATATCATCACCCTCTTAAGGAAGGTATTACGCAAAATTCACGTCCATAAATTCAAATGTCATTGTTTCTAGTAAATATTTTCATATGGTGACTTAAATACATATTGTCATCACATTAAACTAAATGGCATTTTATCCCCCAAGGAACTCTTTCATACACAAATGCTCCATTTCCAAGAAATAAAGAAGAAAGGAAAATACTTCTAATGTAAATTGGCATAGTTTTTCCTTTTACTACTTCATAGGAGGTGTGTGAATCATGTGGAACTCATCTTTCAGACTGAAATTTCCCTGTGACCACACCTCACAACAGCAGCACAGCCCTCATAAAGCTGTGGGGAAATCATTATGATAGTAGACACTGAGCCAACTCAGGAGAATCAACCTTTCTCCTCCCCCATACCCCTCTTCCCTGGGCAAACACACCCTCCCCCACACAACTATTTTCCTCTTTCCCTCACTTTCTAATCGGACGTCTAAGTGCACAGTGAAGGACAAGTTTCCAATTCTATTAAGAGTGGACTATTAAAGGATCTGAGAAGTCTTGCAGCAAAGAAACCTGTATGACAATCTTTACTTTGGCCTTTCCCAATCTTCCATGGTCACAGAACCCTCCTGCCATAAAAAGCCTGTGAACAGCCTCCTCAACTAATGTTCCAGACACAGATTTTGAGAAAATGCTCTCCGAGCAACAACCCATACTTAGCTACTTGCCGGGGACTTCCTACACAGACTCAGTACTGAGGCTGGCAAAGAGAGACTCCAACAATTCTGTACTGATGACATTCTTTTTGTGCAGAGAAACTCTACTCCCAGAGGCTAACACAGAGAAACCAGGAAAATTATTTAAATCTCTAGGTAGCTAACAGTTAAATGGCTATAAAAGTCTCCCAATGTCTGAAATTAATTCCTGTAGTAAATATCCCTACCAAAAAAAAGACATACATCATACCTGTGAGTTACAGAGATATAAGTTCACGATTAGTTGTGATAAATGGTGGGTCTAGTGGCTTTTTGATGAATAACTCTCTGTCTTGATCAAATTCAAAGACCATAAACATGGATTCTAGTAACTGCATTTATGACTAGTATTTTACAGACAAAAATCTAAAATCAATTAATATATCTCTAATTATTATATTTCCTATCCTCCCAATGCATAAATCTATTCTGTTCCGTAGTGAGAGATCAAAATTAAATACCAAGATTTTTTTTTTTTTTTTTTTTTTGAGACAGGGTCTTGCTTTCTGTCACCCAGGCTGGAGTGCACTGGTGCAATCACAGCTCACTGTAGCCTCAACCTCCCAGGCTCAAGCAATCCTCCTATGTAAGCCTCCACAGTAGTTGGAACTACAGGCGTGTGCCACCATATCCAGCTATTTTTTTTTTCCTTTGGTACAAACGGGATCCCACTATGTTGCTTAGGCTGGTCTTGAACTCCTGGGCTCAAGCGATCCTCCCACCTCGGCTTCCCAAAGTGCTGAGATTATAGGCATGAGCCATTATGCCCAGCCAAATATAAAACATTCATCTTAACTTGCATTTAAAGCATTCTATAGTCCACCAAAGTGTCTTGGAACACTGAAAATGTATATATTTTCTACCTTTTATATTCTAGCTTTCCCTAATTTATTAAAACAACTTAAGACATCTAAATGCCAACCAATTAATATGAAAGAATATTTTAAACACATTTAATATCCTGTAAAACATATTCTGCCAAGGGCAGCGCTCAGCTGAGGTTACCAGTGGACAAATTATTTAAATGAGCATGTATGCATTTTGGATTTGTCTACATGGGGAAAATTAGAAAAAACTATTTACTACAAGGAAATCATCATGTACTAGAATAAGCAAAAACAAAATGAGAGTAAAAGAAAATGGTATGCCTTTTTTAACATAAAAAATTAGTTAAAAAAATGGAGTTTGATAATTCTACTTTCTTTTTTTTTTTTTTTTTGAGATGGAATCTTGCTGTCACAAGGCTAGAGTGCAGTGGTGCAATCTCGGCTCACTGCAACCTCTGTCTCTCAGGTTCAAGGAATTCTCCTGCCTCAGCCTCTCAAGTAGCTGGGACTACAGGCGTGCACCACCACGCCCAGCTAATTGTTGTATTTTTAGTAGAGATGGGGTTTCACCATGTTGGCCGGGATGGTCTCGAACTCCTGACCTCAAGTCATCTGCCTGCCTCGGCCTCCCAAAGTGCTGGTATTACAGGCCTGAGCCAGTGCTCCTGTCCTAATTCTACTTTCTAAGTAACATGTTTAATAATCAATGGCTGGGCTGGGCGCGATGGCTCATGCCTGTAATCCCAGCACTTTGGGAGGCCAAGGTGTGCAGATCATTTGAGATCAGGAGTTTGAGACCAGCCTGGCCAACATGGTGAAAAACCATCTCTACTAAAAATACAATAAACATTAGCTGGGTATGGTGGCAAATGCCTGCAATCCCAGCTACTAGGGAGGCTGAGACAGGAGAATTGCTTAAACTCAGGAGATGGAGGTTGCAGTGACCAGAGATTATGACACCACACTCCAATCTGGGCAACAGGGTGAGACTGTCTTAAACGAAAAAAAAAAAAAATTTTTTTTAACATTAATAATGGTGTTAAATAATACATGTGTGATACGAACAAAGTTTCCTTTCTATAATGCAGTCTACTAAAGAGAGCTGAAATTCCAGATCTACTCCTTTAATATATAGATAGAAATCTGGAAAATGTGATTATCAATTAGAGATGTTAGAATCAAAATCTAAGAAAGAAAACTTAACAAGAAAAAATTATCTCCAAAAATAAAGTCTCTTGTCAACAGCAGTGACTGAAGAAACTCTTTTGGAATTAGTCTGGGATGTGAGAAAGAATCCAGGGTAGGAAAAAGATGTTAAAATAATGCCAACATTTCTTTGGGGAGAAAAGTGGTTTTCACATGACCTTCTCCAATTTGAGCTCGAAACTGTATAGGAATGAAGGAAGATGGAATAACATTCACAGCTCACAATTTAAATGGATATATCAATACTTTTGGTATGATATTATCATTCCAATTTAAAGAAAAAGTATTTCTGAGCCACTCTGATGTATAAATAATCTTACACCTTTTCAAACTCCTCGTAGACCTGCAATAGGAGTATTGAGATAGATATATTAGACGTTTTTATGTTTAACCTACAACGTCAGTGGCCTTCAATGCTAATAAAAATTGGGTTTCAATAGAGAAAAGAGAAAGAGAGCCTTTGAGCTCCATAGAAGCGGTGACCACATGAATCTATCTTTATACTCAAATATCTACAAGAGGGTTTGGGAACAAATGAGTACAAACAGCCATCTGCTCTGTGGAAAATTCAGGCCACCATAACACGTGTAGATAAATATACATGCATTTATACCCCATCACAAGGTAGCTTTGCTTAATTTATACAAAAAAGTGAGAAATCTATTCTGGAAGATATCTGTGGCCATTACTACTACATTTATGTAACCCTTATCAAATATTAAGGTGCTGACACTTGACAAAAAGCTGGATCACGGTAGCCTGTCAATCACCATTCACAGCTCTGGTTTCCTTTCCACTCCTTTAGTGAAAAGTGATCATTTAAGAAACTGCTATTCCCTGCCAGCCCTGAAGTGACATGTCAAGGTTCACAACTGGGTAACTATAAATTTTCTCAGGGTGCTGTAGGGGCTTGGCCAGCTGATCCTTTAGGGTCCTTCATGGTTAGCAATACTAAGATGAATATTATTTCCTAACGGCCTCTTAGATCAAAGAGTTGACAAATGGCATAGTCACAAGAGACCTCAAAAATAAAACAATAATAATAAAAGCAATCTCACCACCTCTTTACTGCAGCACAATCAACATTCATCACCTCCATGTGACATTACGAGGTAGGCTTTTCACCACGACCAGAAGTGTGATTCATTCCTTTATGATTTCATGCACAGATTTCTGAAATGGTCAACTTGCCAAGCTTTCCATTTCTACTCTTTAATCTCCAAAGATGATTGAACACCATGACACTCACTTTATTCTCTAATACCTTAGCCACTGTGCACAACACACCTTGCTGTGTTTGTGCCACGTACTCATTCAATTAAGGACTGGCTAGAAAGGTAGAACCTCACAGCAGCATGGAGACCAACTGTGTAAAAACGATGGATTCTGGTGAGCCTTCAGTTTAGGGTTCGTCAATCTTGGCACTATTGGCATTTGGGTCCAGATAATTCTTTATTGTGGGGGCTGTTCTGTACATTGTAGGATGTTCAACAGCATCTTGTTCCTCTACCCACTAAATGCCAGTTGGCCACCCAACCATCTCCAATTGTCACAACCAAAAAATGTCTGCAGACTGTGTCAGATATTCCACAAAAAGGAAAGAGTCCCCACTTGAGAACTACTTCTCTAGAACAATGCAAAATTTATCCTAAGCAAGAATACAGGGCCAGAAGGTTCTAGAAGGAGGCCTAATTAAAATTCACAGAGTAGTTTAAGGTATAACATTGAACCTTTCCAAGTGCTATTATCTCCCCCGCTTCCCTCTACCTGCAATGCTTACCTCACATAGCCACAAGGCTCAGTCCCTCTGTGTTCAGATGTCTGCTCAAGTATCACCTGATCAGAGAGGTCTTCCCAGGCTAAAATAACAACTCTCTCCCCTAAATCCCTCTCTAGGCACCACCTCACTTTACACTTTATTTCACAGAATGATGTGATGATACTACATGTTACTTTGTATATGCTGCTCTGTCCACCTCCACCAGGTAGGAATAGAACTGTGTATGTTTTGTTCTCTGTTGTAGTTAGCCCTAATCTCGAACTGAGTTTGCCACCTGGCTTGTGCTTGATAAACACTTTTACTGAATGACTCAATGAATGAAGACTGGTATGAGGATGCCCTCATGCCTCCTCACTTCTACGCTCCACTCACTGTATTTCTCCAAAGATTCAGAACCTTGGTAAAAACAAGGCTCAGAAAATATACCCTAGGTCAACTTCTCAAGACCTCCAAAAGGAACAGGGAGGTCTACCTGAATTTTAGAAGCTTGTACAACTGGGGCACTATACAAGCTTTTCAGAAAGGTCTTATACCCACATCTTCAGTACTCAATAATATGTTACCTGCTGGTTCCTCTATAATGCCTATATCCTCTGAACACCACTGTCACATAGAGCTTCCTACAAGGATGGAAATGTTTCATATCTGTGCAATACAAAAGGGTAGTCAGTAGCTATGTGTGGCTCCTGACAACTTGAAATTTGGCTAGTGTGACTGAGAAACTGAATCTTAAATTTTATTTCATTTTAATTAATTTAAATTTAAATAGCCAAATGTAACTAGTAACTATAGAAGAGTACAGGGAAGCTAGGAATACCATAAAGGACTCCAAATTCATGGAGCTTTATTATTTTATTTGCAGTGATGTCAGGCTTTTGAAATCAAATTTTCACTTCAAAAGTAAACACATTTCTTTCCTAGAACATTTTCCTTTATTAAGTGCCATGGGGTTGTTAGCCTTTAAAACCTGAAAATGGGCTGGGTACAGTGGCTCAAGCCTGTAATCCCAACACTTTGGGAGGCTGAGGCGGGTGGATCACCTGAGGTCAGGAGTTCGAGAGCAGCCTGGCCAACATGGTGAAACCCCATCTCTAACGAAGGAGAAATACAAAAATTAGCTGGGCGTGGTAGCAGGAGTCTGTAATCCCAGCTACCTGGGAGGCTGAGGCAAGAGAATTGCTTGAAACTGGGAGGTGCTGTAGTGGCAGACAGTGAAACCCGTCTCTACTAAAAATACAAAAATTAGCCGGGTGTAGTGGTGCGCGCCTGTAATCCCAGCTACTTGGGAGGCTGAGGCAGGAGAGACACTTGAACCCAGGAGGTGGAGGTTGCAGTGAGCCAAGATCATGCCACTGCACTCCAGCCTGGGCAACAGGGTGAGACTCCGTCTCAAAAAAAAAAACACCTGAAAATGATGACAAGGGTAGGTATAGGTAGCAGCCACACGGGCTATATTTCCAGGACCTCTACTTCGGGGTAGATCCTGATCAGTCTAAGGCAGCAGTGCTAATCCCATTCCTGTTGCCAATAATTGGTTTAAGCATGAGAACACGATCCAAGTCTGGACAACAAAATATGAAGGCTGATTCACCAGGGGTGGGATGCTTTGAAGAACATGTTACATGCTCTTCAACAGAGACATAAGAAAGGGACACGTTCCCTTTCTCCTCTGAACTTTGTACTCAGTATTTGACATCTAGAATTCTGGAAGCCATGTTAAGAACACAGGGAAAGTGATTCTAAGGACCAAGCCTACCCACTAAGGATGGCAAAGCCTAAACAACATGGGGTGTACCTTAAAGATGGCAGGGTACAAAGGTGCTGCCCAGAGGTGTCCTACCCTAGGTGTGCTATGTAAGGCGATAAACTGCCCTTACGCTTAGGCCAGGAGAGTAAGGGGGTCTTTTCTAGAGGCTAAAACTGATCCAAAAACAAATCCTTATACTCATTCATACTCCCGGAAATGACTTCCGTGGGAATTTAGGAGAAAAATCCTAGTAATATTGCTAGCTATGGTGTACTCATACGTCAAAGAGAAGCAACAGTGTTGTTCTGCTGCCCAGGCTGGAGTACAGGGGCATGATCTCGGCTCACTTCAACCTCCACCTCCTGGGTTCAAGCGTCTCTCCTGCCTCAGCCTCCCAAGTAGCTGGGATTACAGGCACCCACCACTACACCCGGCTACTTTTTGTATTTTTAGTAGAGACGGGTTTCACCACGTTGGCCAGGCTGGTCTCGAACTATTGACCTCAGGTGATCCACCCGCCTCAGCCTCCCAAAGTGCATGAGCCGCCATGCCCAGCCAGAAGCAAATCTTAACTCGTTCTTTCTGGCACAGCAGGTATGCAGCTCAATTGGCCTTGAGTGTTGAAACTCCCTTTTCACACCCTAGTAGATGGTGAGAGAAAAGATAACTCATTAGGAAATGGTATAAGAATGTAAAAGCCATAGGACCATCAAAAAGTGTCAAAATCACTCCCCAAGAGGAGAGTGTGGACCATGTACTTATCAACAGCGAGAAGAAAATACCTCCCATTATCACAGTGAGCCCCAGAGCCAGAAACACACTAAAAATGCCTTCGCTCATCTTTGCAGGTGCTAGTCCAACAGCCAAGAAGAGCTTCATATTTCATTTTCCTGCTAAAATCTCTCAATGACCAATCAATACTCAGTGTACTAATGGCATGCACACTCTGCTAAAAAGAAGAACATCAGCCTAACATTTGGAACTAGGGGGAAGGGTGGGACAGAGAAAAACAGTTTCCAGGAGGAAAAGTGGCCAACAATAATTGGGGCAGAGCTACTAAATGATGCCTTTGGGAGCAGCAAAATTTCATGCAGCTTTAAGAAGAAGGTTGTTTTCCTCCCCCAGAAAAAGGCTTTCAAGCTGGAAGAATGTGGATCAACAGAAATAGGAAATCTGGATTAAGTGGCTTCCCGTGTCCAAGGAAACTCTCAAGATCAACTCAATTCAAGAAATGGGTTGCAGAAATCAAAACTACAGTGAGATACCACGCCATGCCAGTCAGGATGACGGTTTGTTTGTTTGTTTGTTTGTTTCTTTGTTTTGAGGCGGAGTCTCACTCTGTTGCCCAGGCTGGAGTGCAATGGCACAATCTCAGCTCACTGCAACCTCCACCTCCAGGGTTCAAGCGATTCTCCTGCTTCAGCCTCCCAAGTAGCTGGGTTACAGGTGTCCACCACCACGCCTGGCTAATTTTTTTGTATTTTTAGTAGAGATGAAGTTTCACCATGTTGGCCAGGCTTGTTTTGAACTCCTGACTTCAAGTGATCTGCCCACCTCAACCTCCCAAACTGCTGGGATTACAGGCGTGAGCCACCATGCCTGACCAGAATGATGATGATTAGAAAGTCAAGAAACAACAGATACTGGAGAGGCTGCAGAGAAACAGAAATGCTTTTACACTGTTGGTGGGAATTTAAATTAGTTCAATCATTGTGGAAGATGGTGTGGCGATTCCTCAAAGACCTAGAATCAGAAATACCATTAGACCCAGCAATCCCATTAATGGGTATACACCCAAAGGAATATAAATCATTCTGTTACAAAGATACATGCATGCCTATGTTCATCGCAGCACTGTGCACAATAGCAAAGACATGGAATAAACCCAAATGCCTATCAATGATAGACTAAAGAAAATGTGGTACAAATACATCATGGAGTACTATGCAGCCATACAAAGGAATGAGATCCTTCATTCACATCCTTTGCAGGGATGTGAATGAAGCTGGAAGCCATCATCCTCAGCAAACTAATGCAGGAACAGAAAACCAAACACTGCATGTTCTTACTTAAAGAGGGAGCTGAACACATGGACACAGGGAAAAGAACAACACACACTGGGGCCTGGAGAGCAGGGAGGGGCGAGGGAGAGCATCAGGAAGAATAGCTAATGCATGCTGGGCTTAATACCCAGGTGATGGGTTGATAGGTGCAGCAAATCACCAGGCGCACTTTCCCTTTGTAACAAACCTGCACATCCTGTACAAGTACCCCTGAACTTAAAATAAAATGTAAAAAAACAAAGGAATGGGTTGCAGAGTATAATACATATCCCAAAACCCTACCAAGTCAGGCCTATCACTCTGAAATTCCCTCCAAGTCATGATAAGCAGAAATGAAACTTAAATCATTTAACAAATCAGAGATAATAATCAGTCACAGCAGATGGTACAGAGTGGGTTTACAGGTCTAAGGTAGGATTTTTAAAAGGTCCCAAAATAAGAGAAGGAGTTTCCAGGGCAGCGAGAAAGGGGGAACAAAAGGGATTGGGCCAAGTATTTATTTAAAGATTTTAAACAATCTGTATGGTTATACCAGACCAGCACTTACAATGAGCCATAACTTTTGAACTAGGATACTATTTTCCTTCATTTTAAAACCAATTCTAGGAATTATTATACCCTTTGTCATTTTTCAAATCACAGATATAGTTTGATTATATGGCACAAAACAAGAGGCTTTTCAATCCTGCCAAAATGGTGATATCTCCTACAGAAAGACTTATTTTGCCATATTGGAAAGCCAGCTGTACTACTGCTTAGATAAAATTTTTCTTTAAACTGGCCCACTTTTTATAAAATCTCAAATATGACTTAATAGGAAATGTAACACATCAAAACGGAAAACTAACATGGCTTGCCAGACATGAAGGGTACCAGGGTATAATGAAATCCACGAGATCAAATTCTAAGATACTCTCCCAGCAGACTGAGGTCAGTCCTATCTCTTCTTGATAAAAAGAGGTATGAGCAAGTGACAGAGAGATGTTAAAGACCTATTAGTACAAAACTCACTTTCTCCTTGATTTAAAAAAAAAAAACCTCAAGAAGAAATGACTTTATTATGTGAAAGTCAAATATTTGTATCACAGGAGAGTCATAGAGTCATTTTTCACATGACATAAAAATGCCAATGAATACTACACTCAAGGAATACATTGTTAGTATTCTTATTATTATTATTTTTGAGACAGGGTCTCACTCTGCCACGCAGGCTGGGAATGCAGTGGTGTGATCAGGGTTCACTCCAGCCTTGACTGGGTTCAGGCGATCCTCCCACCTCAGCCTTCCGAGTAGCTGGGACTTACAGGCGTGAGCTACCATGCCCAGCTAATTTTTTAATTTTTTTGTAGAGACAGGTCCTCACTTTGTTTCCCAAGCTGGTCTCGAACTCCTCGGCTCAAGTGATCCTCCCACCTCAGCCTTCCAAAGTGTTGAGATTACAGGTGTGAGCCACTACACGCAGTGGAAAACATTATTATATACTATAGTGACATGAATGAAAAGTGAGAATTCCTGAAGTTATTAGAAAGCATTTCTCAAGAAGGCAAAGTTCTATGTTATATACACACCACTGATAAGTTTTTAACCTACACAAGTTATCAGTTACATAACAGAAAATGGGCCTTAAAGTAAACGAAACATAGGACAGTTAAGTTTTAATAGCAAGAAAGACAACCAAGAAGATAACCACCCTTCAGGTAGCTGATCTCAAACAGGGTCATAGGAGATTACCAGCTGAGAGAGAGAAGTGATGGTCATTTCAAGATCAGCCAAACACTGAAACTAACACCACCACTTTACACTCAAAGAACATGCCAGGTGGACTGAGCACAACAGGATCATATAAGACTATTGCATAGGGACAAGATTATACTTAAGCTTGTGACTGAGTTACTTTCTTCGCTTAAATGAACAGCGAGAAAATTCAGTCTTTAAGCATATATTAGACACTTATTCCAACTACATATTGGCAATTCTAAAAGTTCACAATCCAGTGAAATGGGTCCTCCTTACGTTCTTCTTACTGCTACCAAGACCACCCCACCAAGAGAAGGCACAAGATAAAGAATGAGAGTTCAACTCAAATTGATAATTTCAACATGAAGCCGAGCGTGGTGGCACTTTGGGAGGCTGAGGTGGGCGGATCACCTGAGGTCGGGAGTTCGAGACCAGCCTGGCCAATATGGTGAAACCCCGTCTCTACTAAAATATACAAAAATTAGCTAGACGTGGTGGTGCACGCCTGTAGTCCCAGCTACTCAGGAGGCTGAGACAAGAGAATTGTTTGAACCCAGGAGGCAGAGGTTGCAGTGAACTAAGATTGTGCCACTTCACTCCAGCCTGGGCAACACAGTGAAACTCTGGCTCAAAAATAATAATAATAAACTAAGATAATTTCAACATGGGAAATTTCAGCCAATAAAGTATTATAAAGTATGATATACACCAACAATATGTTATTTACCAAACAAAATTCTACGTAAGTAGTTTAACAATATCCAGAGGGAAAGACAGAAAGTCCCCGTTTTATATCATCAGAAGGTGGGTTTTAGGTGGGTACCCTGACTCATGCCTGTAATCCCAGCACTTTGAGAGGCTAAATCGGGAATACTGGGCTTGAGCCCAGGAGTTTGAGATCGGCCTGGCCAACAAGGTGAAATCTCAACTCTACAAAAATTAGCCAGGTGTGGTGGTGTGCGCCTATAGTCAGTACCAGGCACTTCAGCCTGGGTGACAGAGTGAGACCTTGTCTCAAAAAATGGAAAAAAAGAAAGAAAAAAGAAGTGGGTGGGCTTTATGAATCAAATCAGATGTAATGAAAGAGAACGTTTTGTTAGGTTAGAAAGGAAAACTGGTAGCCCTTAAGTAAATCACAGAGCACATGCAAATCACTGTGCTCTAATTATAACACATGTATTCAGCTAGGTATATTTTTCCTTTGAACCTTTAAATTAATCATGTCCTTCCACCCACGCGCACACCCCTCTCCCCAAAGAAGGTAGTTTCAAAGAAGAGAACATTGTCCTTTTAAATTTATAACCAAGAAAAAAGATGTTTGACTCTGATTCATCGCAGATATGAAAAAAATATTTATATACAACTTCTGTATGCCTTGTGTTGACACAATAAATTTATACATTAATGAATATTAGGATTTATGCTATGTCAAAGTAAATATTGACCTTATCTTTGGCTGGGTCAATATTTACTGCTTTGCTCAATAAATCTTGATGTTCATTTCAAACTAAGTCAATATCAGTTCATTAATTTCTGCAAGGTTCATATCAGCATTTTATAAAAAAATGAAATGCCACTGACAATGTTTCACCTAAAAAATTTAGATACAGCCAATTAAAGAGACAAAAAGGTTTTTGCTTTCCTTCTGGCTTCCCTTTTAGGTTTTTTTCTTTTTCTCCCCCTCAAAATTGTTACAAAGAAAACTGCCTGAATTTGATACCATTTAGCCATCTACTCTAAAATAAAAAGGTCATTAAAAAAAATTATGAATCTACTGGTAGAAGAAATTGAAATATTCTAGATATGCTTCTATAAAATATTAAAATATTATAGAAATATAAGTATTAAAAGGTAGTATCCCTCATTTCTCAATGATAACCGCAATTAACTTTTGGGTGTAGTCTCTGGATTCTTCAGCTTTATTCATTAATGGGACCATATTACCCATATTATTTTAATACATCCTGTAGTTCAACCTCCTCCATTTTGGTGGATGTTCAGGTAAGCATTTCATTGTAAGCATGTATTATAATTACCCAAGTCCCTATTTTGGTCACTTAGGCTGTTAAACACAATGCTACTTTGGAGACATGCACACGTGTTTCAGAAAGAGAAATTCTGAGAAGCAGAAGTGCTGGATGAAAGATGAGCAGTATTTAACATTTTCACAGATATTGCCAAAAAGCTCTCCTCCAAAAAGGATCCATCACCCCACTACCTTCAGAGTCACTTTAAAACCCAAACTCTCAGTATTCCATTTACCCATGTTTTAAATACCCCATCACAGCAACAATTGAAATCTTGTTACCACTGATATGTACCACTTGATAACAACACAGCACTAAACAGTATTTCATCTTACTGCTAGACTTTTCCAATGGTCACAAGGCCCCTAAGGAATGTATTCATGTCCTCTGATAATATATTAATGCATTAGCATCCATTAACTTTACAATCACTTGTGAAACCACCTCCACAGAGAAAATGCCAAGAAACTTTAGAACTCAGGTGCCAAGGATGAAAGTTTAAAAAAAATAAGAAAAGAACTCTAAGTAGAGAGAACAACGTCTTTCAAACACTGGAGAGGCAATTCCCAAACTTGGCCAAGTATTGAAAAATTCTCCAGGTACCTTAAGCATATGGCAACACATTTTTCTCCTTTGTACATAAAGTTCTGATTAGTGTGTGACCATATGTGTTTTTTCTTACACCATCTACCCTTGGAACCACACATGAACTATAAAAGAAAAATAGTATCTGTAGGAAGAAACAGTTTATTCTACAATTTGTTCTCTATCTTGAAGCCCTCCTATCCAAAAACATTTAGGTAGCAACAGGGAAATACAATGACTAATTACAGACAAAGGTTCTGTTCAAAGAGCATGAACTCTAAAGGGCATAAGAAATGCAGACAAAACACTATAACACATCTTAATAGGTTCTAGTCAAAATTCTTCATCTTTTCAACCAACCCACCACTCCTCATTTACTTATTTCAAAACAAATGCAATGCCATCTTCAATCATCTTGGGGACAACAATTCATTTTGCCTTCTCCTCCTTGTACAAACGATAATGAATTCCCATGAGCTCTTTTCTTTTCATTCTCAAATCCCCAGTGATACAGCCCCATCATTTTTCATCCTGCCCTCTTCCTCCCACTGCCCAGTCCTTAACCCTACAACCAGTGGTCTTAAACATAAAACCAACTGTAGTCCAATTCCAGGTGAAGCTCTTTAATTACTCCCTATCATCCTTAGAAAGAAGTTCTATGTCACTAGTAGAATAATATCATAAGGCTGTCCATAGTCTAACTCCAATCCTCTTCATTAAGCCCTTAACTTTCTCCACCCGACCACATGCTCTAGAGCTTCTGAGCTGCTTCTGGTTCTCTAATCACTGCCAGAGCCCTCCAGGCTCAAGGCCTATGTGTGTCCTGGCAAACACCTGCCTGTCTTTGAAGACTGGAATCTGGCAACAGCAATTTTATGGGCAGCTTCTCTGGCCCTTCACATTTAGCACAACACCTGGCACACAGTAGACAATTAGTAAGTGTGGTAAACAAATAAGTAAAGAAATTCTACTTTAAAACTGTAAGATTAATAGGGATATGTAGAAAAGATAAACATTAATTTTAAAAATAAATAAAGGGGAGACTGAGGAGTTTAGGCAGAAATGGGTCAGGCTAAGCACCAAGGCACAGGGAGCCTTTGAGCTGAGACATGGAGGAAGACTCTCAAGGCTGATTCCTCCTCAGTGGTGTGGTTCCTTCCGATCAGAAGGTCTCTATTAGGGCTGGGCGCAGTGGCTCATGCCTGTAACCCCAGCACTTTGGGAGGCCAAGACAGGCAGATCACTTGAGGTCAGGAGTTCGAGACCAGCCTTGCTAACAGGGCGAAACCCCAACTCTACTAAAAATACAAAAATTAGTCGGGCGTGGTGGCACATGCCTGTAATCCCAGACACTCAGGAGGTGCAGGCAGGAGAATAGCTTGAACCCAGGAGGCGGAGGTTGCAGTGAGCTGAGATCAGGGCGACAGGCGGAGGTTGCAGTGAGCTGAGATCTGGGCAACAGGGTAAGACTCCATCTCAAAAGAAAAAAAAAAAGAAGAAGAAGAAGGAGGTCTCTATTAGGAAGAGAATGTCTCTAAGGAAATGATTCCCTTAAGAGATTTTGGAGGAGGCTTTAGGAGAGAGGCAAATAACACAACAATATTAACATTAAATTTGAGGTCCTACAGTGCCTTCCATTCTTCTAATGACAAAAGCTGAATTCTGCAGGCACGTATATTTTGCTTTATCCTGTACAGACATTCTTAAAAATAGACATGAAAATGTAATTTTAGGAATTTAATTATATCTTAAGTTCACCAGGGGAGCTTGTTATTTAAAGGGATCCAACAGTGAAACCTTTTGCAAATCACCCACTAATTTATCTGAATTTCATGGCAGGACTCCCCTTAGTAAATTCCCAAGGACAGACTCTGGCTTGAGTTAATTTATCCGTGTATCCACTTGTCCACTTGAAAAACATGCACCAAATCTCCACAAAACAAGACACACTGGCACGCTGCAGGAGAAACAAGGAATTATAAGCAATAATCCTTGTCTTCAAGGATTCTACACTTAGCCGGGGAAATGAGACACACGCCCAGACACACACATGCATGTTATAAAACAAGATGTTTATATGAACAGTGTAGTGAGGTGGCATATAATGAAGAGCCACACAGGTAATACCTACTCTACTCCAGGGTGGAGGCCAAAAAGTACATACTACAGGTGCCAATATATATTACCTTTAATCCTCAAAGCCATCTCCATTTTACAGCTGAGCAATTCCTCAAATCCCAGGACAGTTGGAGAGGACCATGGATGGCCCCTGGCTATGGCAGGAATGCCTCTTAGAATAATCCTGCTTGACCTTCACCCAGCCCAATGCCAGAAATGTCTTACGGGGAATTTTGGTCACTGCCTATTTCAATTCTGGGTTTCTCTAACAATGAGAAATGGTCTCCTTGTACTGATTCTTAGAAGCTATTTCTACACAGGGGAAAATGAGATAGAGATTATTAAAATTGTGAAAAATGAAACAGAATTAAGTTAAAACAAAAAAAAGCAGAGGAAGGGAAGAAACTACCACCTGTTTTTCTCTAGTCTTTGAGTGGCAAGAGAGAAAATAACTTTATATATAAAAATGCCTCTGGCCGGGTGTGGTGGCTCACACTTGTAATCCCAGCACTTTGGGAGGCCGAGACAGGCCGATCACCTGAGGTCAGGAGTTCAAGACCAGCCTGGCCAACATGGTGAAACCCCATCTCTACTAAAAATACACAAATTAGCTGGGAGTGTGATTGTGCACACCTATAATCCCAGCTACTTGAGAGGCTGAAGCGTGAGAATTGCTTGAACTCAGGAAGCAGGGGGTTGGGGGGTTGCAGTGAGCTGAGATCGAGGCACTGCACTCCAGCCTGGGTGAAAGAGCAAGATCCAATCTCCAAAAAAAAAAAAAAAACCCTCAAATTTCTACTTGAAGTTACTCTAGATTTATGATTTATTTTTCATTTCTCTTTCCTGCATTGATGACCTGCCTAGCATGTGTTACTCTTTGTGCAATAATTATAGAAGTTCTGGGCAAACTCCAAAATTCATGAGCTACCATCACCTCAAGAAAGACAGAAATATACTTTAACTGAGTAAAATTAATAGAAAAGAAATTGTTTTATTATTTCCAATGAGATACTATTAAACTACTGCATTTTTTCAGTACAATTCTATATGAAACTTAACTCATTCCCATTTTTGCCTACTATGTTGGTACAAGGAAAAAGAAATCCAAAGATATAAATCAATCATCAAATTACATTGCTATTATTATGTCAACAATAACTTATATTTATGTTCCATTTCATACCTTCTATGATGTTTTCATGTCAAAATCAGATATTATGTCCCCCTTTTTTACTAGCAGATGAAATTTAAGATCCAGAGAAACAACAAATCTTCCAGTGACCACAAGAGAACTCTAATACATATCTCCAGGTTCCTCAATAAATAGTTCTCTATGCTAAAATTACAGGTATTCACAAAGGCATTGTTTGATAGGCCTATAAAGGTAAAGTTTAACATTTCAAAAATAAATAAGGTGTCTGCATTTTCCAAGGTGATGCAGTGAAGTGGAAATAAAGTAGGCTAGTCTTAAAATGAGAAGTGAAAAGTTATACCAGACTAACATCTGCTAAAAACCCAGGCTATATTACTATAAGCAGGAGTTGGCAAATATTTTCTTTTTTTTTTTCTTTTTTTTTTTTTTTTGAGACAGTCTTGCTCTATCACCCAGGCTGGAATATACAGTGGCACGATTTCAGCTTACTGCAACCTCCACCTCCCAGGTTCAAACAATTCTCTTCCCTCAGCCTCCCGAGTAGCTGGGATTATAGGTGCCCGCCACCACACCCAGCTAATTTTTGTATTTTTAGTAGAAATGGGGTTTCACCATGTTGGCAGGTCTCGAACTCCTGACCTCGTGATCTGCCCGCCTCGGCCTCCCAAAGTGCTGGGATCAGAGGCATGAGCCACCGCACCCGGCCAGCAAACTTTTTCTATAAGAGGCCAGATACAGTAATATTCTAGGCTTTTCACCATTACTAGATATTTAATATTCAATATTACTAGATATTCAACATTACTGGAATAGTAACATTCTAGGTCTCTGTCACAACCACTCAGTTCTGCAACTGTAGCACAAAAGCAGCCATAGATAATATGCAATGTGATGGGTGTGCTTGTGTTCCAGCAGAATTTATTTTACAAAACACAGCTGCAGTTTGTAGTTTGCCAACCACTGAACTTGAGGATAGTCTGCTTAACCCTCATGCCCAAATCCCAACTAAGCACCCCTTGAGAATTATGGCTGAGAGAATCTAACTTGTTCAGCTCTCAGAACTATCCAGTCATCACCCACTGTCAATCGCGACACTTGTGCATTCCAAAACCAACATTAATTGCAGCAAAAGTAATAATAACAGTCTCAAAAATAAGCAAGAAGTAATATTAACTACTTACTTTACGCCAGAGACTATGTTAACGTTTTCTTTTTTTTTTTCTGAGACAGAGGCATGCTATGTCACCCAGGCTGGAGTGCAGTGGGCGCAATCTCGGCTCACTGCAAGCTCCGCCTCCCGGGTTCATGCCATTCTGCTGCCTTAGCCTCCCCAGCAGCTGGGACTACAGGCGCCCACCGCTACGCCTGGCTAATTTTTTTTTGTATTTTTAGTAGAGACGGGATTTCACCGTGTTAGCCAGGATGGTCTCGATCTCCTGACCTCGCGATCCGCCCACCTCGGCCTCCCAAAGTGCTGGGATTACAGGCGTGAGCCACTGCGCCCGGCCTATGTTAATGTTTTCACAAATATCATCTCACTGAATCCCTGTAACAATCCTATGTGGGAAGTGCTATTAATATTAATCATTCCCATGTCACACTTTTCCAACATCATCAAGATATTAACAAAACTTCGCTTTGAACTATGGTTTGTCTATATGACTTCAAAATTCATACTCTCACACACTGCACCCCTAAAGCACCCATGGCATTATCTTAGGAGGAAATAAGACAAATCAGAGAATTTGAGGCCTCAGATTAAAATCTAGACTATTAAAGCAATCTTTGAGGAACTGCCTGCTTCATTTTGCTAAATTTAGAAACACTTCCCTCATAAAAAATGAGCCTTTTTTTGTCAGTCCCACTTTTCAAGCATTTATATCCAGAGGACTATGCCTGCAGCTAATAGTCCCACATCTCATTTGCTGTGGTTTTAAGGTGCTGGTCTGATGTACCCAAAGTAACAGGCCCCAACTCTTACTTCTTCCTGGCCTTGTTTACACATTGGCCAAATGCTAAGGAATGTCTGTGATGAACTCCAAGCCTTCTTGACATGAGAACCAATACTGCACCACGTCAGCATGAGCCAACCATAGATACTGTCGAATTGTCAGGAAGAACTGTTGCAAGCATAAGAACTTTATACCATCAGTTGATATCTGTCCCATTCTATTCTTCTTTTACTCTTATTTTTTCCATTATGCCTAACAAATGACTTCATTCAGTCTTCCAAACCAGTCCACATCCTTCCAAGCAATTCCTCAAATGACTCTCCTATCTGATTTCTAGGAAAAAAATCAACTGGAACAAGGGTTCACAAACTATATAACCTGTGGACCCTATCCAACCAGCCACCTGTTTTTGCACAGCCTGCAAAGCAAGAATGGTTTGTATATTTTTTAATGAATGAGAAAAAAATCAAAAGAAGAATATTTCCTGACACATGAAAATTATAAAATTCAAATTCCAGTATTCATAAGTAAATTTTTATCAGAGCACAGCCAGTCTGTCCAGAATTGTCAGTGGGTACTTTTAAGCTACAATGGCAGAGTTGGGCAGTTGCAACAAAGACGACATGGCTTTTGATGTTTGTTACCTGGATCTTTTCAGAAAAAGTGTGCCAACTCTTGAATTTGAACCATTAGTCCTTCTACTACTGGAGGCAATACCCAAATTCAGACACAATGCATTCCAGAAATACAAAATGGAGACTTCTGAACTCTACCAAAGTTAAAGACATCAACAATCACTCCATCACAAAGATGGCACCACTTATGGTCATTCTTAACTACATAATGGGAAAAGTTTAAGGGCTTTCATCTCTTCACTGCCATTTGCAATTGGACATGCTAATGGGATATAACTTCCAATTTCCTGACTAACAGCATTATTATTCTAAACTGATGAACTGTAAATAGCAAGCCACTTTGTGCCTCCTCCTGACTGATGTCAGAGCCACAGAGTACAAAATGATAAATTTTCTTTGGGTTTCTTGGCAAGATGCTATATATATGTAATTTTGGCTTTCATCTGCCAATTTCCTTCATTTATCAGAAATGGTGACAAAAAGCCTCTAATTAGATAATTCTAATCACAAGGTACTGGGTGTGATGGAAAACTTCAGAATCACTATCTGTTCACTGCAAAACAAAACAGATAGGATATTCTCCCTGCAGGGGCAGCAGATTTATCAATAGACAAAAGGATGCAAAAAGCCAATAGATAAGGTATAATTAAAGATCAGACCTATAAATTTTACACTGGCATAAATTTAACAGGATTTGCTGGGAGAAATTCAGGATTTAAACCCGAGCATCATTATGAAAAGAATACTTTCAGTTCTATATGCAACAACATTGCATAATACATAGATTTATTATTAAGACTAATACTCCATGCCTCCAAGCTCTTTCATAGAAGGAGTTTGAATTATTCAGTGCCAAAGTAATTTCCAAAGTGGTCTATCTTACTCAAGCATTCCTTAATTAGCTTTAATACATTTTCCATATATTTTTGAGCATCAAAAATCTCTTCTAGAAATAACAATCCACCTCTCATATTTTGGGAGTTTTGGGAAGCCTAATCCAGAAAAGTCTATCCCTAGTTTTCGGTCTTCATTTTTGTCCCCTTAAAATGTAAGAAAATTATTTGCAATGTAACATTCAACATAGTTAGAACAATGCTCTCTCCCTTCATTAGCTCAAAAGGGTAAAAGTAAAAATAAAAATGAAAAGGACTGCAGATTACCATCGAGTAGACAGCTAAAATATATTCAAAGAACAAGATGTGATTTAAAAATAAAGTTGCATTTCTTGGCTTAGAGCCTAATAGAGCATTCTGATATGTGATGTTTGTAATGTTTAGCAGACATTTAGCAGCTCAAGACTAGCCATATATTTTCTGCTCTCTGAAATCACAGCCCCTGAAAAAACAGAAAAGACAAGACTACGTCTTTCAGAAAATTACAAGTTTGGTACAATAACTCATTAACAGTAAAGTTCAGAAATAAACGCAAATTGAGGGGAAAACAGGTTGAGGAAACAGGTGGTAGAGATAAATTAAGGTGCTTATAACCTTGAGGAAAAACAGGCTCGAATATTTCAACTTTTAGTGAACTACGAAAGATTTGAGCAAACAGAACTCAGGCATAAAAGTGATTCAAAGTGTGCTTTCAAGTGAGTTGAATGGGATGTTAACTGGCCTGTGTGATCTCCATTAGAACAACTGGACTTACCAGAGTAGGCCCAGTACGGGTCGCCTGAAGCCTTGCGCCTGCGGATCTGCACTGCGCTGCCGTGTCTATTCTCGTGCAGGGCCCCAACGTAGCCTTCTGTCAACGCTGGAAGAGAGGAAAACCCACAATGAGACAAAGGCAGCACCCCACTGGATACAGGAAGGGTGTCAAATGAACACCATTGGGTGACTTCGTAGAATCATAGTCCTTGAGGATGACTGACTAGAACCAACTTATTTTACAAAAAAAAAAAAAACTATAGGAAAGTCCAGACAAATTATTATTATTAATATTAGGAATCGTTGACAAGGAACCTTTACTTTGTGCCAAGAAGTGCAGTACACTAAGCACTTCATATACATTATCTTAGTTGATTTGCAAAACACCACCAAGCAGTACAAACAGTGATCCCAATAATGGGGCCCTTTTATGGATAAGCAAACTGAAGCTTCAACAACAGAAAGAACTTTAACTTGACCAAGGTCATACATACAACTAACTGGTAGACTTCGGTTCCAACTGCATGTATAAGTTTACAACCTGTGTGTAAAGACCCTCGGGCTCCATTTGATCTTTACAGAGCCAGGGTCATTCTATCTCTTTTACAGATGGAGGAACTAAGGAGCAGAGACACAAAGTAACTGGCCCCAGGTCACCCAGTAGGTATGCAGTAGATGAGAAAACCAGACTTAAGAATCCCTGCATCAAAGCCAGCCACCCAAACACAGGACAATCTGAAACCTAGGAGACTCCTTGTGATTAGTACCAGTCTTCCACATCCTTTGGGCCACTAACAGTCACCTGTGGTGCCAGAAGATATGAAACAAGAAAGCCTCCAAGGCCCACAATGCCCACAAAAGAAACACTGATTAGTGATGTATATTTGAAATCTCAAAATCATTTCAATCCACCAAGCAACAGCAAAAATACTACTCTCACCCATTATGGAGAGCTTCCATCTGCCTGCTATAGCGTTCAAAGCCCTCTCTTCCCAGCTACCTCATGGATGCGGATTTCTTTTGTTGTGAGCCCACACCTGAAAACACTGATGTATAAGAAGACAAATGTCACAGGTGCCTCAAAATCCAAAATGAAACGGAATTACACGCAAACAATATACCCCAGCTGACTATGATAACATTTAAATGCACCTAAACAAAAGCAAGCCTGCTTTCAAAGAGAAAAAAAAAAATTTAAGAAAGTTTTGGGAAGCTGTATATTCAATTGAAGACAAAGATGGGACCAGGAAAACACAACGCATTCTGTATTCCAAATTAGTCAATGGAATAATATCGCCAAGATATTATTAGCCTTTTAGACAATGTGACAGTCATTAAAAAAAATTAAGAAACCTGTAGAGTACTTTATGCTTACACTTCAATTAAAAAGACTAGCATTAAAAGATGTAATGCTTGAACAATAGTATTCCACAGAGATGAGCCCTTTAGAGGGAAACAAGAATCCTATAAATTCTCAACACAAGCCTAAAAAGTAAACCTGATGTCATTTATGTCTGCTCATTGGTCCTCAAAGAAAATTCATGTCAAAATTTAAGCTTCCACTCATTTTTCAAGTACAAGGTAGGTTTAGGTGCCTTCCATCCAAACCATTCTACAAATAATTATTCCCCATTAATCCTTCCTCTTTCCATCAAAACAGTGAGTAAAACACTGTCTTGCTATGTTAGTAATAAATGTGGCTTCCATTAGGGTATGTGGTTGAGCCTCAATTTCCTTGACTGTAAAATGGACCTAAAAATGCCAGCCTTCTAAGACTGTTACAAAGATAACGCAAGTTATGGTGAGCAGAGCACCTAACTCAGCACTGGGCATACACTGCTTTTGGTTTTGTTTTTTTTTTGAAACAGGGTCTTGCTCTGTCGAACAGGCTGGAGTGCAGTAGCAAGATCATGGTTCACTGCAACCTTAACCCCTGGGTTCAAGCAGTCCTCCCAACTTAGCCTCTTGAGTAGCTGGGACCATCAGCGCATGCCACTATGCTCAGCTGATTTTTTATTTTTGTAGCTGATCTTAAACTCCTGGGCTCATGCAATCTTCTCACCTGGTCCTCCCAAAGTGTTGGGATGGCAGGTGTGAGCCACTGCACCCAGCCCTAGTGCTTTTTAGTGTCCGACAACATAGTGGAAATTTGCTGTAGAGGATCTGTTTTGTAATAACCATATCCCCACTCCAGCTAGCTGTGTATCACGCATTGGACAGCTAACCCGCCACCACCAATGTTAGCTCTAGGAGTGAGCCTTGTTTGGTTCAAGCCAGTCAATCACTTTTAACCATTCTCGTGGCCCCAGTGATGCATTCAGGTATGGGCACACTGGCCAGTCAGAGAGATTCTTCTTCCTTCCTGAAGGTATTAGACAAAGTGGAAGCCTCGGGGGGTGGTTGAGGACCAAGTAAGGGATTAACAGAGGACCTTAAAATTAGAACCAAAGCCAGGGGGACCAAAAAATCAATTCTGTTGACAAAATTTAAACTCTGCCAGCCTGGGTAACAAGGCGAAACCCTATCTCTACAAAAAATAAAAAAATTAGCGCGTGTGCCATCCTGGCTAACACGGTGAAATCCTGTCTCTACTAAAAATACAAAAACAAAATTAGACGGGTGAAGTGGCGGCACCTGTAGCCCCAGCTGAGGCAGGAGAATGGCGTGAACCTGGGAGGCGGGGCTTGCAGTGAGCCGAGATGGCGCCACGGCACTCCAGCCTGGGAGACACAGCGAGATTCTGTCTCAAAAAAAAAAAAAAAAAAAAAAAAAAAATTAGAGTGTGTGGTGGCACACGCCTGTAGTCCCAGCTACTTGGCTGGCTGAGGTGGGACGATAGCGTGAGCCAGGGAGGCTCAAGTGAGCCGTGATTGTGCCACTCCACTCCAGCCTGGGCAACAGAGTGAGACCCTGTCTCAAAAAAAAAAAAAAAAGAAAAGAAAAAGAAAGAAAGTTTAATAAAATAACTAAAATAAAATATTTAAACCTTCGACAAAGCTGATTTGAAGCTAGCCCTCTCTGAGGGTCTATTTTTACTGGGATCAGTTTTACCTGCTAAAGCACATTTTTCTGTCTTTTGTACCAAAGAAGATCCTCAAATGACACCCATCGTATGCTTTAAACCATCACTTGAAATCCTGGTCATAAATTTCTCCATCCATAAAAGGCCATTGTTGTACTAGAGCTCTCTTAACCCTGGGCTACTTTAAAACCAACCAACCAACCCTATGCCTTGGACTTCACCCCAGACACACATATACATCACAATGTGGTATAAGGAATTGGACTTGAGCAACAGGACTGCCTGTCTAAAGGTAATTCACTTAAGACAGAAGTAAAAGGTACGGTTCTGCTACATACGACAAGAGGTAACAGAAGGGACAGGGCCATCCCAAGAAGGTAGGTTAATCTTATCTTCCTCACACTACGCAAAGTATTGAGGTACAAAGTGGGTTTTCCACAGCAAGGTCAGCATGGGCAGGAAAACTGGCTTCTAAAGTACATGCTGCATGGCGTATGAAGGGCTCTAAGCTCCCTGGAAATAGGGCACAGGCATATTCCTGAACTACTACTGTCAACCTACCACTCACAATGGAAATCAGCGCATGGTGTGTGTTCATCAACAGTGAGGGAATGGCAGCCAGGTGCGAGGCTCACGCCTGTAATCCCAGCACTTTGGGAGGCCAAGGTGGGCGGATCATGAGGTCAAGAGATCGAGACCATCCTGGCCAACATGGTGAAACCTCGTCTCTACTAAAAATACAAAAATGAGCTGGGCATGGTGGCACGCCTGCAGTCCCAGCTACTCGGGAGGCTGAGGCAGGAGAATCGCTTGAACCCAGGAGGCGGAGCTTGCAGAGAGCCGAGATCACGCCACTGCACTCCAGCCTGGCAACAGAGCAAGACTCCGTCTCAAAAAAAAAAAAAAAAAAGTGAGGGAATGAATGAACACATGAAAGATCAAAAAGCTGATGGTTTCTGTGTTCTAGAGGGTAGTGATGGTAAGAAAATGTGTGTGTATCTATGCATGTTATGTACCTGTTTACATAAGCCACAGGCAAAACCACCACCCAGAACCTCACTGACTCTCTAGCCACTGCCCACCTATCACAAACAGCAAGCATTTAATACATGAAGCAAAAAGAAAATGGCCCTGAGTAACCAATAAGCAATTCTTTAGGAAGGCAATTGTTCAGAAATGAACAGGGCAGGACTTTTAACCTCAGCACCACATTTTATTTTTTAACTAGATAAACTACTCATTAAAGGTGACTATATTTAGTTTTCCCTTTTGTTCCATCTCTGTCAGTAATGTGTGACCTCTCCCCCTCCCCTATCTGTAAGAGCATAATCAAGTAATGTGCCACATGATAAAATTTCAGTCAATGAAAAACTGCATATATGATGCTGGTCCCATGAGATTATAATAAAGTATTTTTTACTGTACCTTTTATGTGTTCGGATATGTTTAGATACACAGATACTTACCACTGTGCTACAATTACCTACAGTATCCAGGACGGTAACACATTGTACAGGTTTGTAGCCTAGCAGCATTAGGCTACACCATATGGTCTAGGTGTGCAGTGGGCTGGCTATTCCATCTAAGTTTGTTAAGTACACTCTATGATGTTCGCACAACAAAAGCGTCTGAGGACTAATTATCATTATTACTGGCACTCACATAATTTAAAATAAGACAACACTTTAAGTCCTCTCCTCAAATGCATTTTAATCGACGATGCTGTGATTTTTTTTAAAAACCAACTTTTAAAACTATTATTTGAACAGCAGTCAAAAAGTATATATAGAGTATATTAAGCAACTTAATATTTTATTGGCAAGGAGCAGTGATTTGCAAATAGAAACAGTCTGTGGTTCCCAAGTAAAGATACAGAGTCAGCACACCAAAATTCAATCAATTTTAATACTCTTTGTACTCTTCTAAGCTCAGACAGACAACCAAAGGCGGTGTGGCAATGATATGGTATGGCTATGAATCATGCTATTGATTTTCAATATCTTCTGTGCAGAAAATTAAATTATGCAAATGAATGCCTTTACGGATCCTCACCTTAATGTGAAATTGCATACTTGCTTATGTCAGCAACTTAATTACACAATTAAAAATGGAGCATGCTTATGAAAATATGTAGTTTCACTCTTCAGAATAGACAATAAGTGTAAATCTGCCTATGGTTATCATGTGAATAACAAGAGGGAGGACATGGTGTTATGCACACATATATTCTACCAAGTGTTACAGCACCAAGCCCACTATGGTTTATGGAGGGGAAGTCGTTTTTCAGTGAAAAGCTTAGGAGGACTTTTAGTCATGTTATAGCACAGCGAGAAATTGGAATATCAGTTATGTAAGACACAGAGAAGCCCAGCAGTATATGCTGTACATTGCTGCATTCTCCTCCTCAAAGAGGTCATCTCTAATGACATTTTAACCAACACACACACACACACAGACACCCATGGCCTGACAAACCTGAGCATCAGGAATATCACATTTAAGTAGTCTGAATAGTGTAATAATGAAATGGGTTTAGAAAGGAAGAATACAGTGACTCCCATCATACAGGAAAATCTGAGTCTCTCGATTTTGACAAGGTAAGAGTGGAGATTTCAAAACCAATAGTATTAACTAGCCAATGATGCTTACGTCTCACTCAGCAGGAGGAATCTTAAGTCAAGTTGGTTGCTAGGCAGAGAGCTGAATGAGTGACAGGTATTTTCATCAGGGAGTTTCCATAAACTCTGTCTCTTCTCAGAACTTCTACTGAGCCTACCTCATTTCCAGCCCGAAGCAAAAAAAGATAAAAATATTACCAGACCCGCTCTTTTCCGGTTAGCGCGGCGTGAGAAGCCATGAGCAGCAGTCTCTCGCAACACCCTGTACGAGGCGGTGCGGGAAGTCCTGCACCGGAACCAGCGCAAGCGCCGCAAGTTCCTGGAGACGGTGGAGTTGCAGATCAGCTTGAAGAACTATGACCCCCAGAAGGACAAGTGCTTCTCGGGCACCGTCAGACTTAAGTCCACTCCCCGCCCTAAGTTGTGTGTGTGTGTCCTGGGGGACCAGCAGCACTGTGACGAGGCTAAGGCCGTGGATATCCCCCACATGGACATCGAGGCGCTGAAAAAACTCAAAAAGAATAAAAAACTGGTCAAGAAGCTGGCCAAGAAGTATGATGCGTTTTTGGCCTCAGAGTCTCTGATCAAGCAGATTCCACGAATCCTCGGCCCAGGTCTAAATAAGGCAGGAAAGTTCCCTTCCCTGCTCACACACAACGAAAACATGGTGGCCAAAGTGGGTGAGGTGAAGTCCACAATCAAGTTCCAAATGAAGAAGGTGTTATGTCTGGCTGTAGCTGTTGGTCACGTGAAGATGACAGCCGATGAGCTTGTGTATAACATTCACCTGGCTGTCAACTTCTTGGTGTCATTGCTCAAGAAAAACTGGCAGAATGTCCGGGCCTTATATATCGAGAGCACCATGGGCAAGCCCCAGCGCCTATATTAAGGCACATTTGAATAAATTCTATTACCAGTTCAAAAAAAAAAAAAAAAAAAATTCCAGACCCAAAGGCCCAATTTCTTCCTATAAAAATGTCCTAAGAGTCACCTACTACTGAAGATATCAACGCAACTGTTTCCTACGTGCCTCATTTAATTTCCCAGAGCCACCGGACATAGTTTATAAGAATAAATGTTTTTATTCCAGAATAAAAAAGCAGATGTGTATCCCATCTGCCTTAACTGTGTCTTCGGGAGGATTCTGTGTAATCCTTACTCTCAGTGTTTCACAGAAATATTGACTTCCGGGGAAAAAAAGACTTGCAAGCTGTGTTAACTCTTCTGTGTTAATTTGCAGTCTAAACATTTTTCATACAAAGAGCCCGGCTCCTCTGAATACCACATGAAACAGCATTCGTGACATAGATGTTTTTTCTTAAGTTTTACTCTCAGAGAGATGAAAGGGTCACTGAGTCTATATTGAATATGAATAAATGTTGTTACATAATATATCCATAGGGAATATTTTTCCTACAAGATTGCAAATTCATGATTGAAATTAGAGTACAATGAATGTCTTACTGTTTTTGACAAAGGTGGTCCATTTACATATAGATTTGTGTATATGAATGTCAATGGAAGTCTGAGGTGTCCACCAAGAAAAGAAGATACATGGCCACAAAGGATTCCAAAATAACCCCGGCATTCATCCACAACACTGGTTCATCTGACTGTATTGAACCAGCCATGTCGACTTGACCTCTGCTATGTCATTATCTCCTACAGGGAAAAGTGATTATATGACAAAGGTTATGCAAAGGTGAAAGCAGAGTAAGTCTGTGATGAGAACATCCCAAAGTTCCATCTACAATATGGCTGCACATCCTATGATCAAAGCAAAACAGCGTAGTAACACATAAGGGTATTTCTCATTAACTGTATGTCCAATTCTAGGTCATTCCAAAGGACTTAGAAGCCTGGGAGAATAGGTCAGCTTCCATATAAAATTGAAAACATCAGAACAAAGAAATTCTGGTTCTCCAGTGCCAAAATGAAAACTACTTAGGGTGATGGGTGGGTGGTTCTCATATACAGAGTCCTAGTTCTTCTCCCAGATATACTGCCAAAACATAAGCCAACTAAAAACAAGCAACAGGCACTCACATTGTCAAATCTAGAACGAAGATATCCAGAATGGCAGACAAGCAGTTAAGTAGGTTGTTTATATCTATTTTAATGGCACATCAACAAACAAATTAAAGATCCCTCAAGGATGGTGAAATCTCCATTGAGCACAATTTTCTCTAAATTTTAAAGAGCATTTAAGAACATTAAATCCCACACAATAGTCTAAAATGAAAATCTTTTTTTATGCCTACAATGGGCAAAAGTATCAAATTAAGTTAAAAGTAATTAAATATTCTGATCAACCTCTCATTTCCTTTGTGCCTGTATTTCAATCAATTGTAGTAAAATGTGCTCGGTGAGTGTCCCAAAAAGTAAAATGAAAAAGTGTGTTCCTTTGTAAGCACTGCATTATAAATGGTCCTTCTAGTTGTTTGTAATACTGAGCTAACCTCAAATACAATAGATTATATTACACTAGATTCCCTATTTTATCATATTCAAATATACTTACTGTTTCAACTATAAAAAGTTTTTTTCATCACCTTACATGAATAAAGAGACCTAATATAGAGCCATGATGTTTTTTAAGTAAAATAAAGTACTGAAACTCAGAGGCAATTCAAGGGAAAGAGGAATCACACAGCAATGTCGTATCCTAGAGGGAAAAACAAACAGAAAAAAAAGCATTGTAAAAATGAGCTATAAGCCAGGCAGAGAACAAAATACTGAAGTCCTCTATTATTTTACTCTTAAATAGTGTCAGTTACAAAGGGCAGAATCTATTAAAAAAAAATAAATAAGGGCTAAAATGGACAAAACATTGGAGTCATTCCTCTGCCATTAACTCTGTCAGTTTTAAAACTTCAGAAATTAAAAAATACACACTTTCCAACAGATCTCAGAAAAGATACACTTATAAAACTGATTTATAATGGAGCTCATTATACATTTGTGATGAAAATCTGAAAAATACCATGGTTCCCTCTTTCTCACAGGCACCTTCCTAAAAAAATTTGGGCTCACGGCATCAAATATCAGACAGAAATAAAATGACTACTCTTTCAGGCCATTTTACTACTGTTTGATTCTCAAGGAAACAAATCTCCTGATTCTATAATATTACCAGGAAAATGAAGATCAGTGACAGACAGTGTTGGTGTAATATCAAAGGCCACAGACCTGTACTTTCCATTTTACAATTGTGGCATCTCTTTATATCTTTAATGGCCAGCAGAAATGGCAAACAGCAGAGAGATTACATGCTGGTGGCCACCATGCTGAACACGGCCACCCATCTGAACTTTTGTTTCACCCACTGTACATGTATGCATGGGTGTATGCGTATTGCATTAGTTGCCAGTGTGGAAAACCCCAGGAGAGAACACCAATATCTGTATTTTCATTTTTTTAAAATGTGAGAGCTGGGTCATGTTCCCAAATGGCAACAATATGCTATGTGAATAGCAAGTAGCTCTTTAGAGAAGAGTCATGAATATCCAGCTAGCTGCCTTCTCCACCCAGTCCCACTTGTTCATTTGTATTTCTTAAAGAGTCCCTGTGGCCATCTGTGTTTGCACCCATGGCCTGGCCCAATCATAAGTTATTTACTAAATCAAGTCAATTATTGCCTATGAGGAAAGCATCATTAAAATTACCATCAATACACAGGCTCATGTAATTCTTCCAGTAGTCCTGTAGCTTAGGTACAATTATTCAGAAAAGGTATGTTACTTACATAAGAACACATAGGTCTGAACCAGATATTACTCTCAGTCCTCTATAACTGATACTACACTACAACTATACTTCACAAAATTGAATTTTAGGCATCATAAAAATATCTGTGAGTTAATATGAATAGCTACTCCACTTGCTCAAAGGTAAACAAACATCACAAGTGAAAAATTTCTACATGAGCCTCATAAAACTAAAAATGTAACAATTCCAAAAGAAAGAAGTTGTCTAGGTTAGTCTTTCCACCACTATTGGCAATTGTCTAAGATAAAATCATGTTCCCAATATTATTAACAGTAAAATGTAGAGTGATTTTTCTAACTTCCAATTACAACTACACAAACTTTGGTTATTGTCTATAAATAAGAAAGTCACTTCCAAGCCAAGCAGAAATATGTATCAAATTGATCACAACCAGGAACAGATTTCTTTGTTCTTTCTCCACTCCCACTGCTTCCCTTGACTAGCCTTAAAAAAAATTTTTTTTTTTCAAATAGGCCAAGTCCCATCACTTTGGAAGGCCAACCAGGGAGGAGAGCTTGAGCCCAGGAGTTTGTGACCAGTCTAGGCAACAAAGCAAGACCCCATCTCTACCAAAAAAAAAAAAACAAAAAAAAAAAAAAAAAAAGCAACAGAGCAAGACCCCATCTCTACAAAAATAAAAATGAAAATTAGCCAGGCAAGGTGGTTCCAGCTATTCAGGAGGCTGAGACGGGAGGATCACTTGTGCCCAGGAGTCTGAGGTTGCCATGAGCCGTGATGGCACCACTGCACTCCAGCCTGGGCAACAGGGCAAGACCTTGTCTCAAAAATAAAATAAAAATAAAGAAGTAAGCATTAAGTTACAACTTGAGTTAAGGAAGCAAATAAGAAAGTGACATGTTGATTAATAAATTATCTTGATTCATGTTATCTTTCATTTAAAATGTGTAATTGTGACTGCCTAACACATTTTTATCCATGAGAAATAAGCTTGCAGTGAGCCAAGATCGCACCACTGCACTCCAGCCTGGGCAACAGAGCGAGACTCCATCTCAAAAAAAAAAAAGCAGATTCATCCAGCAGTTATTTGTCAGTTGTATAAGTCGAATAGAGCACCATGGTTAGTAACTTTGTGCCAAACCCCAAAACAAACTATGTCACCTAACTTTGGTATTTGAAAGAAATAGGCCTTTTATATAGGCCTTTTATATTGTTGAGTCATTTTTACATGCACATTCCATGTGAAATATTGAATGAAATAGGTTTATATATATATATACATATATATATATATATATATATATGTATATATATATATATATATATATATATATATATGTATATATATATATATATATAAAAATGGACAAAGAAGCCCTATTTAAATGTGGTTGGGTACCCATTTTAAAACCTCAGCATAGGCCGGGCGCGGTGGCTCATGCCTGTAATCCCAGCACTTTGGGAGGCCGAGGCGGGTGGATCACGAGGTCAGGAGATCGAGACCACGGTGAAACCCCATCTCTGCTAAAAATACAAAAAAAATTAGCCGGGTGCGGTAGCGGGCGCCTGTAGTCCCAACTACTCGGGAGGCTGAGGCAGGAGAATGGCGTGAACCCCGGAGGCGGAGCTTGCAGTGAGCCAAGATCGCGCCACTGCACTCCAGCCTGGGCGACAGAGAAAGACTCCGTCTTAAAAAAAAAAAACAAAAAAACCTCAGCATATCCACAACCTCTAGCAAAATGTGCCAGGAGCAAGCAGGTGATTAATAATTCCAGAACTTAGAAATGAGTAAGCTTCACAATAACAAAAATATCCACCAAGATAATCCCTAAACATGGTAGATGGTAGAAAACACCCTGAATGCACAAGCCCTAGGACCTGCGTCTGGGGATCAAATACAGGGGACACTCCAACCATGACACCCCTTTGCTTAAAACACCGTATCATGAAGGGGGTGGACCTCATTCCAAAACTCTCCCCCGAGTAAAACCAAAGACCTCTGACTTCCAGAGCCAGGTTGAAGAAACCACTTGAACCCTAGCTGGTCAGCCACTCAATAGCCCATCGCCATCTATTCCCCAAGCTTTGTGCTTCTGGTCAGCAAACTATGTACTCCACCTCCAACACCCACCATCTGCTTAAGTAGCTCCTAACTCCTGCTTATCAAAAAGATAATTTCTAGGAAGTTTGGTAAGATTTAGGCAAGTTTTCTTGGTCTCTCCATGACAGGATGCTGCCATGGCATTCAACAGTATATACTCTACACCGTTCCTGCCCTCTTGGAGCTTCCAGTCCATGAGGAAGGCAATCAATAAACACATAAAGCAAAACTTGTATAATGACTGAACAACATGAAAATAAAGTGAAACACACATGATACAGCCACAGAGAATACAAGCAGGGAAAGAATGTACTTAGAGAGAGAGAGGAGGCAGGGAAAGAAACATCATTTGGAGAAAAGAAACATCATTTTAGTTGAGGGCATTGACAGGGAGAGATGATAGGGTTCAAAGACAGGGGAACAGCACATACAAGGATGTTGAGGCAGGAAAAAGGGTGGCATCCACCCTGGTAAATCTTGATGAGCTGGTGTTGGGGAGAAGTGGGAGGCTGAAGATGCACCAAGTCAGGATCCTTCAGGACCTTAAAGGAACTTAAGAAGGCAATGAAGAACCAACATGGCAGTCAATATGGTCTGATATATGCCTTCCTTTAAAGCAGCGTTATTGAGATATAATGGTTTTTAGTATAATTACAGACTTGCATAAACCATTGCTGTAATCTAATTTTAGAACATTTTAACCAATATATGCTTTGTAAAAACAACTCTGCTGGGCAGGGAACAGATTGGAGGGAGGCGGGCAAGAGCAGAAACAGTGGCTCCTCACTCCGATCCCCAGGGTGAGTCAAGACGAATCATTGTTAAGTGTGTACTTCCACCTGTGCACAGGGGACTGTGGAGGGAGTGCTCCTGGAAGAAAAAGTTTGGAAAGCAAAACAAATATTCAACTCATCTATTTATATTTACTTGGTCAAATGCCTAATGAACGTGTTTTTAGATTTCTTTTGATATTATTTTTACAAACTTCACCTTCACCCTTCTTCATCTGAATTAGGATTGTTCACAAAATGAACTGCTTAGACAGATCAATGGGGGAAAAAAAAGATAATAGTTAATGAGAATCAAGCCAAATACAAGTATTCACAGAGAAAATAAGGAAAAGAAAGAATATACATTATTACTAAATTTTCCCTTAGCTATATAGTACATAAAATTACACCCTTGATAATCATACAAGAAAAAAAAACTTCCTGCCTGTATGATACTTGTAGAGGTACAGAAGGCTCTACTATGGATTTCAGAGGAACCTTATGTCAGTGATGATTAAAAAATTAAAAAAAAAAAAAATGGCCGGGTGCGGTGGCTCACACCTGTAATCCTAGCACTTTGGGAGGCTGAGGCAGGCGGATTGCCTGAGCTCAGGAGTTTGAGACCAGCCTGGGTAACATGGTGAAACCCCATCTCTACTAAAATACAAAAAATTAGCCAGGCATGGTGGCCTGCGCCTGTAGTCCCAGCTACTCGGGAATCTGAGGCAGGAGAATCACTTGAACCCAGGAGGCGGAGGTTGCAGTGAGCTGAGATCACGCCACTGCGCTCCAGCCTGGGCAACAGAGCGAGATGCTGTCTCCAAAAAAAAAAAAAAATCATTGTTTTAACATGGATGTGAGCATGGCCTCAACCTCAACTCTGCCTCCCAAAACAATTCTAAAAAGAACTTTTCCGTAAGTCGGTGTGAGCACATCTAAGTAAAGGCTAATTAATAAATTAAATCTATGGTAAATTGTCTCTGCACAATGAGAAAGACTTTGTCTTTAGCACCTGTTCAGGATGGCTCTATAATCATGCATCTGTATTCAGGGACAAATATGCTTTGGGTAGAAAAATTCCAAATACACTGCTCTCTTCCTCACTCCAAGTCTGTAGGAACATTTCTTCCCCCTCAAACACAGGCCTCTCATCGGCTTTGTTTGATTCAATCAATGTAGGCCTGTCCCCGGCATTTCAAAGAAAAAAAAAAAAAAAACTCAAGGAATTGGGGTTAGTATTGCCCAGGCAACCACTTTAATGTTGCTAGTCAGAATATCCCAGGGCTACAGGTTCATTTTTGTTATCTCCATTTTTATTAGGTGTTAGATTTGCTTCCTTTCCAGCAAGAATGAGGCTGGCTTTGTTCTCTTCAATTGCAGAAAGAAATCATCAGAAGAAATATCTTGCATTTTGCTTTGCTTGAAGAGGAGTTATTAACTTGAAATAACACAATACGAGTCTCAAGGAAAATAATTTAAAAGGGCTATTACAATCTTAAATGAAGTGATTTAATTAAAAAAATTCTAACCACATAAAAATTTTCGCTAGAGCACATCAAGATGGCTAAAGCACTTATCTCTAGGTCTGTTTAAATAGCTCTAAAAGCAATTTCTTAAATTAATTATATGAGGAAAAATGTTTTGCCTTTTTGGGAAGAAGAGCTATTTAACCAAAGTCCTTTCCTGATGAAGAAACTGCAGCTATTAAAAAAGTGGGGTTTGTTTCCTTTCTCTTTTTTGGCTATGCTTTTTCAAAAACCTCCTCTGGCTCTGACCAATTATGCTATAAGATCCATCTGAAGAGTCAGACGGAAAAGCAGTTTCATGACTTTGGAAAGCTCACATTCAAAATTGAAAGTTTCAGTTCAGTATTATTCCCCCCCTCTCAATATCTATTTATATACAAGAAGCTAGGTGAAATCAATTTCAGGGAGACTTTTCAACTCTGAATATAAATCCTTTTATGACTCTGCAATACGGTCAATCAAACTTGGGATAGGAAGGAGAACAAAAAGGCAGTTTCCTTTTTTATTTTTAATAAATACACTAACGTTGAAGAGTCATTTTGTATCTTTGGGGGTTTCCCTATCAGGCAAAATTAAATGAAACGAACTCTTCCTTTGATTTATAGACAGCAAACGAGAAAGACATCGCATATGCAGTAAAATACTCTGGAACAAATTGGGACAACCGGGTGCCAAAGCCAAAGAACCGCAGATCACAGAAATCCTGGGTGAATTCTGAAAAATAAACACTCCTTTAAATATTACTTACAAAGGTTTATTAAATGGATTTGTTCTTAAATATCACCTCTGCATAATCAGTAAGTGAGTATTAAGTGAAAAGGTGAGAGAAATAGATGGTATTAGGAGCAACTGGAAACCTCCAGTTTTTCTTGCATGCCTGTCCATTCATATTCTGGTTAATCTATTCTTTGATATTTAACATAATGGAACCAAAAAGTAGGAGAGAAAAAAGCCTGCAGATTTTAGGTATTTCAGAAATCATACATGATATCTGAGGTTTATTCAAGAACCAGTGTTTCAGAAAAAGCGAGAAAGAGAAAAAGCACTTTGTAAAATGCATTTAGGAAGTTTCTCTTTAACAGTCATGCTCTAACCAGAGAGTTCTTATTAAAATAATTTACCCAAAGTGAACAGATGTTGGCTGGGCGTGGTGGCTCATGCCTGTAATCGCAGTACTTTGGAAAGCCGAGGCAGGCGGATCACTTGAGCTCAGCTTGGGAAACATGATAGACCCATCTCTACAAAAAATACAAAAATTAGCCAGGTATGGTGATATGCACCTGTAATCCCAGCTACTTGGGAGGCTGAGGTGTGAGGACCGCTTGAGCCTGGCAGGCAAAGGTTGCAGTGAGCTGAGATTACACCACTGCATTCCAGCCTGGGTACAGAGCAAGACTTTGTCTCAAAATAAAATAAAACAAAACAAAAGTGAAGAGTTGATCAATCCCAGGATGAAACAGTAGAAGGAACAGGGAAATGAGACTAAAGATATTGTGGCAGAAACAAAGATTTTTAATTTATGTTTTGGGAAGAAGTCAGGAATGCTTTTTAAAGCTCCATCTCAATGTCAAAGAAATAAATCCATTCCTAAAATTTGTCCTGCTCTGCTTTAGTTGCTAAAATTCACAAAGAAAATGAGTAATGGTGCTGGTGATAGGTAATGCTTCTTTAGCACTTACCATGTACCAGGAGGCACTGTGCTGATCTATTCAACTGAAATATCTCATGTTAACCCTCACCAGAGCTTTCTGGGATAAATGCTCTCATTATTCCCATTTTAAAAACCAGGCAATCTAGGCACAGAATGGTTAAGGACCTTGCCAAAGTCACATGGCACATGACAGAGAAATGAATACACACCCAGACACTCTAAACAGATAGAGAAACGGAAAGGAAGCTCCACTGGGACCCCCTAATTAAGTGTGAGGGGCTACAACATAGAAATGAATCATGAAGATTTAGTTATTTCACAAAATATACAGAGTATAAAGACCCAAACATGAAATACCAATATAGAACATGTTTGAACTGATACAAAGTGACCTTTGACCTGGGTTTCTCCTGGACAATTCTAATTTCATAGAATCTGTCTCAAGAACACTACTAGGTACTTAAATGCCCAACCCTGTGTCCCACAAGAAACACAGTATGTTTTTGACTGTCCTTTTAAGAGATTTCACACTGTAAAAACCCTCTAGTGGCACTAAAAATACTATAATAAAAGTGATCATTCCTGAAAATTATTACAAGGCTTGTAAAGAGAATTCTAACACTACAGCCTACACAGGAAGGCATTATGCTAACACCAACTAACTGCTGCGAAAACAATTCACTTTCTTTTAAACAGAAAAAGGGAATGTTCCACGCAGGCATATGTTCACATTTTAACTGAGCAGTGGGGATAAGAAGCACCCTTCCAAATTGTGCTGTCCGACACTGTCGCCCCTAGCTAATGCAAGATTTATTTATTTATTTATTTATTTATTTATTTATTTATTTATTTATTTATTTTGAGACGGAGTCTCGCTCTGTCACCCACGCTGGAGTGCAGTGGAGTGATCTTGGCTCACTGCAAGCTCCGCCTCTCGGGTTCATGCCATTCTCCTGCCTCAGCCTCCCGAGTAGCTGGGACTACAGGTGCTCGCCATCATGCGCGGCTAATTTTTTGTATTTTTAGTAGAGACGGGGTTTCACCGTGTTAGTGCAAGCTCCGCCTCCCGGGTTCATGCCATTCCCCTGCCTCAGCCTCCCGAGTAGCTGGGACTACAGGTGCTCGCCACCATGCCCAGCTAATTTTTTGTATTTTTAGTAGAGACAGGGTTTCACCGTGTTAGCCAGGATGGTCTCAATCTCCTGACCTCGTGATCCGCCCACCTCGGCCTCCCATAGTGCTGGGATTACAGGCATGAGCCACTGCGCCCGGCCTGCTAATACAGGATTTCAAATGCTTAGTAAGAAACAAAAAGGCAAAATATCTCATCAACATTTTTAAAATTCTGATTACATGTCAAAATGACATTTTAGATATACTGGGTTATATAAATTATTCTAATTAATTCCACCTGTTTCTTTTTACTTTTTATGGTAGCTGCTACAAAATTTAAAAGTCCCTATGTGGGTCAGGCACAGTGGCTCACCACTGTAATCCCAGAACTTTGGGATGCCAAGGCAGGTGGATCACCTGAGGTCAAGAGTTCAAGACCAGCCTGGCCAACATGGTGAACTCCCCCGTCTCTATTGAAAATACAAAAATTAGCTGGACATGGTAGTGGGCGCCTGTAATACCAGTTATTCAGGTGGCTAAAGCAGGAGAATCCCTTGAACCTGGGAGGTGAAGGTTGCAGTGAACCGAGATCTCACCACTGCACTCTAGCCTGGGTGACAGGGCCAGACTGCTTCAAAAAAAAGAAAAAAGAAAAAAAAAAGTACCTATGCAGTTCACGTTCCATTCCTACTGGACAGTGGAGAACTACAGAAAAAGCTGGAAAAATAAATGGGAAAAAGAAATTTCCATCTAGAATGTCTGGCATGTGTGGCTTTAAAGCCCTGCATAGCACTGTGAAAGGGAGCTTCTGACTGGGCACAGTGGCTCACGCCTGTAATCCCAGCACTTTGGGAGGCCGAGGTGGGCAGATCACGAGGTCAGGAGATTTAGACCATTCTGGCCAACATGGTGAAACCCTGTCTCTACTAAAATACAAAAAATTAGCTGGGCGTGGTGGTGCGTGCCTGTAGTCCCAGCTACTCGGGAGGCTGAGGCAGGGGAATGGCTTGAACCCGGGAGGCGGAGGTTGCAGTGAGCAGAGATTGTGACACTGCACTCCAGCCTAGCAACACAGCAAGACTCCGTCTCAAAAAAAAAAAAAAAAAAGGAAAAAGGAAAGTGAGCTTCTGTGTCTCCTTCATGGCATACTCCCTACTAATGTTCCTGTCCCCAAGAACAAAACTAGTCAAACCCTCTGTCTTTCAATTCTCTACCTATCCCATCCCCACAATTTAAGGGAACTCTACTTTTTCTCTTTTCCTTTTTTCTATTCAAGAGACTGCTAACTCAACGGGGGTAAAAACTATTTTTATGGAGCCAAATCGTTCCTTGGTCTATTCACTGCTTTAGCAATGGAAATGTGAGGCTCATAAATCCATCAGGAAGCCTAACACCTTGGCTTGGCATTGAATAATGCAGAAAGAGTAGAACAGTGTTCAACAGGTTTTCAGAGGGAACTGAGTTAAAGGGGCCCACAGCAAATACAGAAAATAGGACAATTTCATTATAGTCATTACTATTTCTGAAAAGCATAGCCAAATGAATCAATGTTGTAACCTAGAAATCCAGTTCCCAATCTTTCAATGGCCACAAACACTCTGCAAGTAACATGACTTTGGAACCCCTTTCCCTAAAGTTTACTCTCCCTTTCTCAATAATGTGATAAGTGAACAAAAGCAAACTTTCTAAGAAGTCTAGGCACTCCTGGAGGTGCCCAATTCACCACATGACCACTCATCTTAGAGTCACCTTTCTAACTTCATGCCTACCTCTCTAAAAGAGAGTGTCCCTTAGGGCATATAGCCCTAAATGCCCAAATCACTGGTTTAAAATGTGGATGGACAAACACACCCCTCAGATCATGATTCCACTGGACTACTGTGAGGCTTGAGACAATATTTTTAACAAACTCCTGTGATCAGATGCAAGTGGTTAACAAACTACTTTCTGAGCAACACTAATTTGCTCAAATCATTAACAATGAACCTCCGCTGTTAATGGAAGACAAGAAAAATGAAAGTCTTTTATAAGTTTAGAAAAACATTCTTAAATAAGCCCTCTAAAATGATGTGTTTGCAGAAAGCCTGGAGATAAAAATGTGTTTTGCATTTCTTCCTGGTGTGGGTTTTGAAGGTCACAGGACTCACAACAGATGTGGCCTGGTTTGAGCCATAAAGGTCTGCATGGCTAATGACAGTGTAAAAGCACGACAGCTGAGGCACTGTAGCTGCAACAGTTGGTGGGCTCCAGCCCAGCAGGACAAGCCCCTGGTTCTGCCAACACAGACGGTATCCCTTACAGGCAAGCTGCCCAGGAGTGGCACCAGCAACTTACATGCCCCGTGGTGGTCACAAACCCCTTCAGTCAAAGAAATCGCAGCAGACCTAAGGAAGACCCATCTAAACATATCTCAGGTGCAAAATAAGACGCACTATCATTTTCATGGAGCAAACGAAATGAACCACCACGTTATGGGCAACAATCTTGGGAGCCATGAAACTAATCAATCATTATATTATCACATATCTAGGCATTTCCATGATGAATTCTTTTTTTAATGGCATTTATTGCTTTTTCTGATAATGAAAGCAATAAATATTCACTATAGAAGCACATTAGGCAAAGTACATTAATGAGCAGAGTACATTAAATAGGCAAGAGAGTACATAAAAAGCATAAACAAGAAAATAAAAATAACCATAACCACTGTTCAAATTTCAGTGTATTTCCCTCCTTTGTTCTAACAATCACTAGGCTCATGTTTTAAATGCATGGTGAATTGTTAAAAAATGAGTATGTTAAACCATATAACTCCCCAAATCAAAGAATGTGTAAAAGTAAAGCTCATTTTCATAAAAAGTAAAAGTACTGTCACTAACGGGCCATGTAACTTTGCCCAAAGCTACTCCCTTGTCTGTGAAAGCAGAGGACTGGGAAAATGATTGCTATGGTCACAAGGTCTTACAAGGTCTAAATTAACTATTTACCTTTATTGTTGAGTAACCTAAATCAACCCAGAGCAAACACGGCAAACTGATAGCCTACTCTATGAAACCCAAAAATATAGCGGTTTTTAAATGTCAATCAGTTGCCAACCTTTACAAAGGGGAAAGAACACAGGACAATCAGACTTTACTCTTCCCTTTAAAAATGTTGGTATCAAGCCATCCTGAAACATACGGCAACAACTGGCCCGGATGCACAGTTGTGGGCCATCTTCACTTAGTGCAAATGTTCTCCCCTTCACCACTGCCCCTACTAATCACTATTCTCCCCTCAGCTGGGATGCCAGATATCAGATTACCCTTGCTCCTGTATTTAATTCTGTAAGCCCCTTTAGCTACTTACAGGGAGCCTCCCTGGTCCTTTTTGTTTGTTTGTTTGTTTGTTTTTTTGAGACAGGGTCTCTCTCTGCCGCCCAGACTGGAGCACAACGGTGCAATCTCGGCCCACTGCAGCCTCAACCTCCCAAACTCAAGCGATCCTCCCATCTCAAACTCTCAAGTAACCAGGACTACAGGAACATGCCACCATGTCCAGCTAATTTTTTTCTTTCTTTCTTTCTTTTTTTTTTTTTTTTTTGGTACAGATTAGGTCTCACTGTGATGCGCAGACTGGGCTCGAACTCGTGGGCTCAAGCAAGCCTTCCATCTCAGCTTCCCAAAGTGTTGGAATTAAAGGCATGAGCCACCAGGCCTGCTCCCTGGTCCTTTTAAGCATATGGGTTTTCAAATATGTTAGAGCACCTAAGATATAAAATAATAAGATACAAAAAAAATACATAGCTCTTAGCTAGATCATCTTAATTGAAAACTTACTGTGTGTGTGCTAGACACCATTTTTAAATCTTTTTCTTTTTTAACTTGTTTTTTTTGAGACAAGGTCTTGCTCTGTCTTCCAGGCTGGAGGGCAGTGGTGCAATCAGAGATCACTGCAGCCTCTAACTCCTAGGCTGAAATGATCCTCTTGCCTCAACCTCCCGAGTAGCTGGGACTACAGGCACACACGACCACACCCAACTAATTTTTTAATTTTTTTGTAGCGAAGGGGTCTTGCTATGTTGACCAGGCTGGTCTTGAGCTCCTAGCCTCAAGTGATTCTCCTACCTCAGCCTTCCAAAGTGTTGGGATCACAAATGTGCACCACCATGCATAGCTTTAAATCCTTTATTTTAACACTTTACTCCTCACAGTATCCTTTTAAAGTAAGCACCAGACTTGCTCAAGGTCGCACGGGTGTGTGCAGAGGCATGTCCACCTAACTCCAAGTCCAAGACAGTGAAGAAAGTAAATCATATGGGACTCTGTAATTCACTCATCTCCAACAGACTGTTCCTCTTTGCCAGCACGCTAGGCAAATTTGAGAGGCATAAATGCACTCTAACAAGATGAAAGAAAGACATGGAGATGGAAATGGGACTGAAAGTGGCAAATGTCAACAGAGAAGAAGAAAAACAATGAAAATATCACAAATGGTTCAGCTACCAGCTGGTAAAGTGCTTTGCCTCACAAACAGGTAGACCAGCCTTCCATACCAGACCAAAGCAAAACTGTAAAGTAGATAAAACCCAGGCATTATCAGTAGCCAAGAAGCTTCGCAAACTGCTGAGAAGAAAAATTCTCCGAAATTTCAGTGTCATGGTAGGTGAAGAATTTAACAAGCTCACCTTAAATTATTTAGTTACCTAGAACATACCATTGTTTGACTTGATATTACTGGGATTAAAGTTAAGACTTGGTGACCTTACACATTAACCTGTAGATTTATATCCAGTTTAAAGAAAGAAAAACAGGCAGCAGTTGTATTACCCTGTAGGACATTAACCAGTGTTGGCTGTAACCTAGCAATCATATTCTGGCATGCCTTTGTAACTTACGAATACCCAGTTCCTCAAAATGTCCTTTAAACCAACTTTACTTGATTATTGTTTGCCTTATTAATGATTTGCGTTTGACATGTATTCATTTTGTTTGTATAAAATCCATGGTTTTAACTTTTTGATATGGGCCGGGCACCGTGGGTCATGCCCATAATCCCAAATCCCAGGCTGAGCTGGGCATACCACCTGAGGTTAGGAGTTTAAGACCAGCCTGGCCAACCGTCCAAAACCCTGTTTCTACCAAAAATACAAAAAAATTAGCTGGGTGTGGTGGCAAGCATCTATAATCCCAGCTACTTGGGAGGCTGAGGTTGCAGTGAGATGAGATCACTCCACCGCACTACTCCATCTCAAAAAAAAAAAAAAATTATGATTTTACACTACAATGACTTAAACCACTTTCCCAAACAACTTGGGCTCCAGGTCTATTCCTCTCCCCTCCTGCATTCAAAACTACAGCACTCAGAAAAATGCCACAGAAAATCAAAATCAAAATTAAATTCAATAGCTCAATCTTTTTTTTTTTTTTTTGAGACGGAGTCTCACTGTGTTGCCCAGGCTGGACTGCAGTGGCACAATCTCGGCTCACTGCAAGCTCCGCCTCCCGGGTTCACGCCATTCTCCTGTCTCAGTCTCCCGAGTAGCTGGGCCTACAGACGCCCGCCACCATGGCTGGCTAATTTTTTGTATTTTCAGTAGAGACGGGATTTCACTGCGTTAGCCAGGATGGTCTGGATCTCCTGACCTCGTGATCCGCCCGCCTCGGCCTCCCAAAGTGCTGGGATTACAGGCGTGAGCCACCGCACCCGGCCAATTCAATCTTAATAAGTTGGAACAGCTTAACAAATCATAAACTCAAGGGAACTGTCAATCCAACAAAGAAAATTTCTAGGGATGCAAAAATACAATAATAATAATCCTTAATGGCAAAACTTCAGGCATCGAAACAGGCAATTTAGGGGGCATGCATTGGAGAAGATATAATTCTATCAGCAGTGTTTAATGGATTATAAAATGGCTTTGTGGTTATCTTATATGTCCTAGGTAGGAAAGTGCCTACTTACAATTATATTTAGCAATTTTTTTGTGTTATCCATTTAATGGCAGTATATTTCCATTATACAAATTATCAGTACAAGTGAGATTTGATATTATATTTCCCTCAAAGTAGCTCAATTTCTCTAGATATACTCTAACAACCAAATCCTATGTATTTTCAACCATTAACCCATACATCTCTCTATCAATGCTGAAAAGGATCCCACCAAGTCATAAATCAAAAGACCCTTTCGCTTGAAAGAGATGGTAAACAAGCAGACAGCAGTATAAGCGGAAGCCCCAAAACAAAGCCACTACACATAAACCACAGTAATGAAACTTGACTGAAGTCTGAAGATAAGAACTGCCGCTCTGTGCAGATTTATGTCACAAGGTCATAGAGTATGATGATCCACTGGAAATATTTAAACTAGAGAGGTTAGATTAAATATGTGGGGAAGGCCTGTTCTCTACCACTCATCCCAGCCAGTCATAAGCTTCTGGCTCTTCTCCAACTAACACTCAGCAGTGCCTTATTTGATACCAGTGAGGCAAAAACCCAGCTTTGTTGATACCACATACCTATCATACCCAAGTCAGATAGGACCGAAGGATCAGAGAACTCTCCTGCTGGGCCAGGCCTTGTTCTCTCGATCTGACTTAAAATTGGAATCCAGAAAGGAATAAAACAGATGATAAGACATTACCAAACCGTTAGAACTGGCCCTCAGGATTAAATGTGCCACATGAAAGGGAAGATTTCTCAGGGAGTGCTGTGGTCATTTGCAATGAACACAGTAGCCATTCCAAGCCAAAAAAAAAAAAAAAAGGTGGGGGTAGTGGTGGAGGTAGGCAGGGAATCAAATCTTCAAAAAGAGAAGAATAGAGTGGGTAGAATCACTCTATCCAAATTCAAGACTTGTTCTATATCTAAAGTTATCAAGACTATGTGGTATAGGCTGAGATTCAGGCATAAAGATCAATGGAACAGAATAGAGAACCCAGAAGGAGACCCACAGAGTACGGCCAACTGATTTTTGACAAAGGTGCAAAGGCAGTTCAATGGAGGAAGGATAGTCTTTTCAACAAATGGTGCTGGAGCAATTGGACATCCACAGGCAAAAAATTTAAAAAATAAAATACAAAGTGTATCTCACACTTTGGGAGGCTGAGGTAGGTAGATCGCTTGAGGTCAGGAGCTCCAGATCAGCCTGGCCAACATGGTGAAAATCCTGTCTCTACTAAAAATACAAAAATTAGCCAGAAATCACTTGAACTCAGGAGGTGGAGGTTGCAGTGAGCCCAGATCACGCCACTGTACTCCAGCCTGGGTGACAGAGCAAGATTCTGTCCCAAAAAAAAGCGTATCTCAACGTAAATCTCACAACTTACACAAAAATTAACTCAAAATGGATTGTACATTTAAATGTAAAGTATGAAACTCGTAAGTGGTAAAAAAGGAGAAGAGAAAATCTTCTGTACCTGGTGCTTGGTGAAGAGTTTTCAGATATGACAACCAAAGCATCGGCCAGAGAGAAGAAATCAATCAATTCGATTTCATTCAAAGTAAGAATGTTTGTGCTATAAAGAGCCTTGGTGAGAGGACGTGGGAACAGGCTCTATACTGATAAAAAATATTTGCAAACCACATATCTGATGGGGTTTGCAAATATCTACTATCTAGAGTGTGTGTAGAACTCTCAAAACTCAACAGTAAAAAGAAATCCAATAAGAAAGTGGGCAAAAGACACAAAGACAGGACAGCAAATGAGCACATGAAAGGATATTCGGTATCATTAGCCACCAGGAAAATGAAAATTGGGACCACACTGAGATATAACTGCATACCTATCAGAATCGCTAAAATAAAAAAATAGTGGTAATACCAAAAGCTGCTGGGGTGGATGCAAAAAAACTGGATCTCTTATGCATTGCTGGTGGGAGTGTAGAGTGGGAAAGGTACTCTGGAAGAGCCTGGCAGTAAAAAAAACTTAAATATACATTTACCATACACCCCAGCAACTGTATTCTGGGGTGACTATCCCAGGGAAGTGAAAACTTATGATCATCCAAAAACGTGTACGCACTGTTAATATTTGACTTTGTAGCAGCTAGGAAGTGAAAACAACCAAAATCTCCCTCAAAAGGTGAAAGATTAAACCAACTGTGGTGCATCCATGCCACAGAATACTACTTTACAATAAGGCCAAGCAAACTATTGGTGCACACAATGACTTGGATGGAGATCAGGGGCACTATGAAAGTCACACACTATATACATATTATATGATTCTATGTATATAACTACTTTTTTTTTTTTTTGGAGATGGGAGTCTCACTCTGTCACCCAGGCTGGAGTACAGTGGCATGATCTCAGCTCACTGCAACCTCCCCCTCCAGTGCCTCAGCCTCCCAAGTAGCTGGGGTTACAGACGCCAACTGCCACACCCAGGCTAATTTTCGTATTTTTAGTAGAGACAAGGTTTCACCATATTGGTCAGACTGGTCTCAAACTCTTGACCTCAAGTGATCCACCCGCCTCAGCCTCCCAAAGTGCTGGGATTATAGGCATGAGCCACAGGGCCCAGCCCAATATTCTCAAAATGACGAAATGAGAGAGATGTAAGACAGATTAGTGGATGCCACCATTTGGAGATAGTAGAGGAAAGGATGTTTGCAATTATAAAGGGGTAGAATGAGGGAAATCTTTGTGACATGGGAATCATCCAGTATCTGGACTTCAGCAGTGGTTACACCATATATGAGATAAAATGTCCACGACCTACAAACATATATTGTGCCAATATCAAACTCCTGGTTTTGATATTGTACTGTAATCCTGTAAGATGGAACCACTAGAGAAAACAAAAAAAGGGGGTATATGGGACCGCTCTGTACTATCTTGGCACCTTCCTGTGAATCTACAATTATTTCAAAATTAAAAGTTAATGGTATTTTTAATAATATATATCTCTTCTAAAGATAATCTAACAGTAGCCATCATTTTTACTTTCTATCCAACCCTTTTTGATAGAAACAAGGACCTCGTAACATGAGAAAATATATATTTAAAGACAATGAAACCATGGGGGTTTCCCTTTTCTTGTTTCACCAAAAATGTGCACATGTATCCTATTTATAATGGTAATACCAAGGGGGAGGGATGGAGGAAGATGAGGGCAGATAAAACTTAGCAACTTCTTAGAAAGATATCTCAACAGATCATCAGGCCATGAAAATTAATGCTGTTGTGACAGTAAAAAGAAAAAAAAATAGAAAAGTCACCATGACTTTAAATCTGTAACTTCCTGTCAATCATCCAATAAAATACTGGGAAATAAAACAAAAGTTTATTACCACACATTACCAGGCCTTTGAACAATGTACCAATTAAAGGATGGATTATATGAATTCTACAACAAAGACATTTCTTGAAAATAAAGGAGACAGGAAATCAGAATAGTCCTAAATATTTGACTTAGACTGAATACTGCATAGTTCTAACCTAGGGTTGGGTCACAAAACCAACTCCTCTAAATTTATCATCGACCTCTGCTCACCCCGAGAAACCCACTCGACAAATAATTTTTTAAGTTCCACTTGTATCTCTCAAATCATTCAAATTAAAACATTACTTTCAGAACTCCAACATCAGTTGGCACCTTTATAAAGTTCTTAAGAACAGAAAATACATTTCCATGATTGAATAACTATGTATTAGGCATCCTGTGTGCCAGATAGTACACCCCGTCTGAAGGAAAATTTTAAAAGGCAGTTTAAAAATTTAACCAAAATAAACAGACATAACATAAAATTCACCGTTACTCATTTCCTAACAAAAATTACAATTTCACTTTGAAGTTATAGTACTGAAATTAAAGGAAAACAGGACTAGAAATTTGATACTGACTTTCATATTTTATATAGTTGCTTTAAATATAAGCCTTGCAGGAAGACTTATGCATAAACAGAGTTCCAAAAGCCCAATTCTAATTCTAGCAAGTGGGCTGGATGCCCCATCCTGTATCTGATCCCCACCCTTATCCAGACTGCTTCCTCTGCTACATCAAAATCAATTTAGTGTCCAAATTTCCCTTCAGCTCAACTGCAAACTTTGCTATAATTTGAATGTATCCCCCAAAGTTCAGCTTTTAGAAACTTGATCCCTAATGCAGTGGTGTTGAGAGGTAGAGCCTAATGAACGTATTTGGCCCACGGGGGCATCAGCCTCATGAATGGATTATGAAGGGAGAGAGTTCATTATAAACAGACTAGTTTGGCCCTCTTTTGTGCATGTGTGTGTGTGTGTGTGTGTGTATTTGTTTTGCCCTCTCTCTTTGCTCTTCCACCTTTCGCTATGGAAGGACAGAGCAAGAAAGCCCTCACCAGACGCCAGCCCCTCCATCTTTGACTTCCCAGCCTCCAAAACCATAAGACAATAAATTTCTGTGCCTTATAAATTACTCAGTCTGTGGTAATCTGTTACAGCAGCACAACACAGATTAAGACAAGCTCAAGGGCCCGAATTGGTCTACTCCTTTTTCTCCTGGTCTCGATGCAACACTTCATGTTGCTGCATCTTGCCATACTAAGGAGAACCACTCTAAAGCTAAATCTGATCCACAGATGACAGAGCAGAAAGTCAGAAACAATATGAGGTTCCAGTGAAGTTCACTGGTCGCTGATTGTCTGGAAATACACTACTTCTGGATCTCCAGTATTTATACTAACTTATTTCTTTATTTTCTCATTGTTCTGAGTTGGGTCTTCCCTTACTTGAACCGAGAGCATCCCAGGTGACACATGGATTTTGCTTACATGGCAGCCCTAGCCAGGGGATGACCTCTATGGATTTTAAGGGAAAAAAAAGTTCTCCAGGAACTTTTTGACTTAGGAAAATATGCAGGACATGGTGTTAAATATGAAAAACAGGACACAAAGCTAATCCAAAAATATAATGTTCTTCTTGTTAAATTATTGTATAATATTCCATCTTACAGATGGTCAAACCCCATCAGTTGGCTGATGTGACTTTGTGCAAGTTAGAAAAGGTACTCCCTTCTCTAGACACATCTCTACCATCTTCCAGGATAAAGGCCCAATAACTGTACTCAATTGCATAGTGTCTCTGTAGTGAATGGTACATCTTTGAGTTTGTAAACATCTCTACTGGAGGCACCTGTAACCCAAACTTCTAGGAAGCCACTGTATCCTTGAACTCATCATCAAATATCAAATGGTTAACAGCACAATCAAAACTGATGATACTATATTACTTAAAGCGCTAAAATAGTTCAGGTTGCAATTCTAATGTAGTCACCCACCTGGAACAGTAATCAATTCTCAAGTAGTACCAGAGAGTGGCCAGTGACCAGAAACAGAAATGTACAGTAATTCCAGCTAGGGAAGAATCAACACTGAAGGGTAAAATTTGGTGCAAATTTATTATGCTTGGTTAAATTTACAATGCAGTTGAAAGGCAAGAAGAAGTTAAATAATCCTGTAAGACAATCACCAGAGAGATGTCTGATTAAGTGCCAGCAAATAGAACAGACAATAAATTAAAATTACAAGCAAGAAGAGTGGACTTAAAGACATCACAGCTAAAATACTTACATAATCAAGGCCAACGCAGCAGAAACAAGTGACAAATCTAATCGTCTAAGTTATAATGGCCAGTGTTTTGCCACTGGATAATATTTCTAAAGCCTCTAACTGCATTTTCCATTGGCGGGGATTAATCCATCAATGGAGGTCAGCTTTAGAAATCTAGCTACATCAGAAATACAGGTCTCTCTTCCAGTATTATTTTAATGTACTCAATCAATGTGTACTTTGCACCTGCCATATCCTGCACATACAGCAGTGAAATAAACTGACAGAAGTTCTTGCCATCCAAACCTCATCTATGATATCAGAAGTCAGGACGGTAGTAGCCCTTGAAGTGGGAAGAGGGGAGCATGGGGAGACCTTCGGGAGTGATACTGTTTTTTCATCTGGGAGTTGGTTACATGGCTGTGTTCAGATATTGTGATTATTCATTGAGCGGTTCACTATAATGCATGCATTTTTCCACATGCATGTTACAATTAAATACGAGTTTAAAAATTCCCGTTGGCCGGGAGTGGTGGCTCACACCTGTAATCCCCACACTTTGGGAGGCCGAGGCAGGTGGATCACTTGAAGTCAGGAATTCAAAAGCAGACTGGTCAACATGGTGAAACCCCACCTCTCCTAAAAATACAAAAATTAGCTGGACGTGGTGGTGCATGCCTGTAATCCCAGCTACTCGGGAGGCTGAGGCAGGAGAATTGCTTGAACCCAGGAGGTGGAGGCAGTGGTGAGCCAAGATCCTGCCACTGCACTCCAGCTCCAGCCTGGGGGACAGAACAAGAATGTGTCTCAAAAAAAAAAAAAATTCCCTTGTCATCATGGTGTTTACCCCCTAAGCAGGACGGAGGAGGGATAAATAATGAACAAGATAAAGTAAAACATATAGAATGACAAATGGTGCCCAGGAGAAAAAAAGTAGGGAGAGGACATAGGACAAGTCAGGACTGCACTGTAAAGTGAGCAAGAGCGGCCAGCAAAGGCCTTAGGAAAATGTGACATTTGAGCAAAGACTCACAGAAGCAGTCAAGAGCAAGTTGGGTCTCAGAAAAGAACGTTCCAGGAAAGGGGAGAGCAATTACAAAACAGTGAGGCACAAGGGTGTCTGGGAAGTGTGAGGAACAGCAAGAAGTCCAGGGTCGCTAGAGCAGAGTGAGTGAGTGATGATCAGACTCAACCTAACTGTAAGCCCTGCTTTTCCAAACCCCAACCACACATGGCCTCAATTCAGAGAGACTTCAGAATTGATTAACATAACTTCTGGGAGGAAGAAACAGGATGAAGGATTGAGAAAACGGAAAAGGGAGGGTAAGGAACCATAATAGGAAAGGGCCAGCCACCAGTTAGGTTTATTCCACCTTCTCCCTGTTCCCTTTCTCTGCCACTGCCAAGCCTGCTGACAAAGACACCACCGAAGGCTGTATCACAGAGGAAAACTGGCAGTGGGGAGACCCGGGAGAGCCAAGAGTCACTACAAAGGACAGAGAGGAGGGGCACATCCCCTGAGTATGCACTCCCCACACACTTTAGCAAGAAAAGACCTCGACACCAGTCATCCCCACAACTCCCAGTTAGAGGCCCAAGGCGCAGGGGCTTGATAAATACTTGAGAACACCTGCAGTCTTCTCTGTTAATTAAAAAAATTAAGCCCAGGGCCTTTCCTCGATTACATCTTCATAGAAAATACAAGTCAACGAACAAATTCCTTCTCCCAAATTTCTACAATTCATATCCAATTGCCATTCTTCTCTCTCCATTGTAAGATCGTACAGTTTCACAGCAGGCAAAGCAATACAATGTCTCATGTCTGGAATCCTTGCTGTTTGGGAAAGCTTTTACAAGAGGAGAAGTGGAAATCCTTGCCTAAAATGAGGTTTGGGAATTTCTACTGGCTTTTAGTGAGCCAGGTGATGGCTGGTATATGTACCATTCTTGATGGATTGTTGGGGACAATCCATTAAGTCAACAAAGCTATAAGAGGTACAAATTCAATGTCGATTGTTTATCCCCTTTCAACTTAAGAACCAAACTCCAAATTCACTGTGTGTGTGGCAATTCAATGACTCCTGGGAAGTCAATAGCATTGAACTTCATGCTTCTATTACAAATGGGAAAGGACTAGATGAGGGCAGGGCACCAGGCCAAAAAGGTTATCAAAACCTTTCTGCAAAGTCCAATTCTATCCAGCGAAATCATCAGCCTGTCTTATGAGTCTCTGGGCCACTTCAAGTCCCTGGTTTCTAATTGCTTTAAAAAAGTTACTAAGTTACAGTAGCACAGAAGATGGCACACAGGCTGCTTTTGGAGATACGGTTTTTCCTGATTTTGTTTCAAAGCAACAGAGACACAGGCAAAAACCTCCTTCTGTGCTTTCTGCTCACTCCCATAACTAATATAAAACAGTCTCAGATTTTAAAACTAACGGATGGTCACATCACAATGTCACAATGTCACATGATTGTGTAGTCTTTTAACCCGCTGAAGCCAAGTATGTGTTAAAGTGGATCCACACCTTCTCCAGCATACAGTTTCAATCAACCTGGCATTTTTCCATTCATTTCTATGGACCATCACAGCTTGTTAAAATGAAAATTAGCTAAGAATATAAAATGAATTTTTAAAACTAAAGCAATGTCAATGATCTAACAAATTCTTCCCTGAATGAAGTTTCCAAATCTGTCTTGGTTCTCTGAGTCTGCGTTTTTTTTTTTTTTTTGGTTTTTGTTTTTTTGTTTTGTTTTGTTTTGTTTTAGACAGGGTCTTGCTCAGTCACCCATGCTACAGTGCAGTGGCATGATCTTGGCTCCCTGCAACCTCCACCACCCAGTCAAGCAACTCTCCTGCCTCAGCCTCCCAAGTAGCTGGGACTACAGGTGCCCGCACCACCATGCCCGGCTAATTTTTTTATTTTTAGTAGAGACAGGGTTTCACCATGTTGGCCAGGCTGGTCTCAATCTCCTGACCTCAAGTGATCCACCCACCTTGGCCTCCAAAGTGCTGGGATTATAGGTGTGAGCCACCATACCCAGTCGAGTCTTAGTTTTTACAAAGCTATATGTCTGGGTGAAACAGTAGCTTAATATGTTCTAATACCTACAATAAAACACAAATCTTTTGGTATTTATTTTTATTTTTATTTTTAAAGACAGGGTCTGGCTCTGTCGCCAGGCTGGAGTGCAGTGGCTCAAACTCAGCTCACTGCAATCTGCAACTCCCAGGTTCAAATGATTCTCCTGCCTCAGCCTCCCAAGTAGCTGGGACTATAGGCACAAACCACCACGCCCAGCTAATTTTTTTTGTATTTTTAGTAGAGACGGGGCTTCACAATGTTGACCAGGATGGTCTCGATCTCTTGACCTCATGATCCGCTTGCCTCGGCCTCCCAAAGTGCTGGGATTACAGGCATGAGCCACCACTCCTGGCCCACAAATCATTCTTTATAGTAACACCTACTAGTTCTCCTTCAAGTAAAAAAAGTGTATGTGTATCAATTTACTCATTGTGGGAAAATACAAGAGTGATTTTGAGGCAGAGACCTCTCAAGTTCTGGGTCTATTGCCTTTGGCTATAAAAACTCAGTCCTTAGTTTCCTCATCTGTAAAATGGGAATAATAACAATATGTACCTCAAAGGGTTAGGGTCAGGATGATGCATTGCATATAGGAAGCATGAATAAATTGTAACCATTACTATTATTGCTACTATTTTTCTTTCCTGTGGGCATTCAGAGACTAACCACACAAGGCAGAAAAAAATGGCCTGTATGGACTATTTGACTTCAAAAACATAAAAATCTTTTACAACACGTGAATCCATGAAACAGCTATATAACAATTAAACAAGAGCATCAATATATCTTTTGCAATAAATACTACTAGAGTTTAAGACAAAGAAACAAGTCACCATAATTGGTTATGAAGCCTATGTCCCTGGGAATTTTTATTTTTTATTTTTTGTTGACATGGAGTCTCACTGTGTTGCCCAGGCTGGAGTGCAGTGGCACGATTTTGGCTCACTGCAACCTCTGCCGCCCAGGTTCAAGTGATTCTCCTGCCTCAGCCTCCTGAGTAGCTGGGATTACGCGTGCCTGCCACCGCACCCAGCTAATTTTTGTAGTTTTTAGTAGAGATGGGGTTTCACCATCTTGGCCAGGCTGGTCTTGAACTCCTGACCTCGTGACCCACCCACCTCGGCCTTCCAAAGTGCTAGGATTACAGGCGTGAGCCAACATGCCCAGCTGGGAGTTTTTATTTAAAAAGTAAGCAAGTATTTTTACCAGGTAGTTTAAGTACAGTTTGTATTTTAGCCCTAAAATGCTGTGACTTCAGGACACTTCATAACCCAACAATAAGAAAAGATAATGAGAGAAAAAAAGAGTACGCAATGGGGACACATAAGATGAGTAATAAATATACCACTTTCTTTATAAAAAGGGACAATAATTTCTTTATCCATGTGTTCCTGACTTAAATATTAATAATCCAAAATGCTTCCAAAACAGATTGTTATCCCACAGGGTAGATGATCTTGTGTTTTGTCTTTGCTTTGTAATAAGAAATTGATTTCTGTCTCCTAGTTGAGATACATCTTTGATAAACAACAAAATTCACTGTCTTAAGATATTAGGACTCTATGGGTAAATTATTCATGAAAAAAATACATTAAATTACCACAAAATAGCACTTCAGAGGAAGAAACACACTTCTGCAGAGTTCAAGATGACGTTAGAGGAACCTCAGAGTTGTGACGTGATCCCCAATTCTGGGGAAAAAAGCAAACAAACCATTCCCTAAAGAGTTATAAAGGAAAGGGGCGTGGCGGTGGCAGTGAGCTGAGAGCTTAGAGCCATTTCTGAAGCTTCCCTGTGATTCTGGATGCATTTCAGTGTTCCCAGCACCCTCACCACAGGAGACCCTCTCCATCCAGTATGTCATTATGCTCCTCTTATGTCTAGGAGAGTACTCTACACAAAGCAGTGAGTACTGACTCTGCTTATCTATCCAGGGACTAATAAATACAGAGTTAGCACTCACTTCTTGGATGGTAGAGATTTAAGGACCAAAAAAAAAAAAGCCATTGGTGGTAAACTAGTATGTACCCTATTCCATTTCTAATCTGGAGACCACAGAGGCGTGTGATCATGTGTCATCATCGTTGTCTTTTACTTCTTTCCTGTTTTCTCTATTTTGGTTGCTCAGAATTCATCCCTCATCCTCCCAGCAGCTTCATTTCTTTTTTGGAAATCTGTGCCCCCTCCACTGCAGGCAGTTAGGCAGTCAACCCAGCTGCACTCACTCCTGCTCCAGGAACTGGTGGCCAAGAACCCAGGGCCTTCCTCCACCCAACCCAGTAGAGTGAGGGGGCAAGACATACGATCTGGGCCTTGCCAAATGGACAGACACCTTCCTGAGGGCCAGACGCGGTGGCTCACACCAGTAATCTCAGCACTTTGGGAGACCAAGGCAGGTGGACATCTTGAGCCCAGGAGTTCAAGACCAGCCTGGGCAACATGGCGAAACCTGGTCTCTACAGAAAAAATACAAAAATCAGCCAGATGTGGTGGCACACACCTGTAGTCCCAGCTACTAGGGAGGCTGAAGTGGGAGGATGGCTTAAGTCTGGGAGGTGGAGGCTACAGTGAGCCATGATCATGCCACTACACTCCAGCCTGGAAAAAGACAGGACAACCCTGACTCAAAAACAAACAAACAAAAAAATAAGCTCCTTAAGGAAGAAAAAAAAAAAACAAAGAAAAAAAAAGCAAGCAGGAGATGATTCTCTCTGTAGCAGAAGCTGTACCTATGACCAGACCATCCCGGCTTTAAGTATGCTGTCCTCTAGCACTCACTTCCCAGCCTCTGGAATTCCTTGCCCATGACCAGCAATGTTTCTTCACTTTGCCTCTCTATTCTGGGAGCTTCTGTAAACTTCCAAAACACTTCAACTGAGTTACTCAAATTTGATTGCTGTTTGTGAACAAAAAATCCAAAGTGACTCTTGCAAAGAAAAAGACAGTGATATATTTATCAGGATTAGACTCAGGTACCAGTAATGGAAAATATCAAAACAGGAGTAGCTAAAACAAGATACTTCTTGTAACTTGTAACTTCTCTCTACCATTAATACAGTTCAGAGGTAGGGAAGTCTGGGATGGTGGGACATTTCACAGTATCAAGGCTCACGTGGCGCCTCTGAACAAATGACAGAAAGGCAGCCCTCCTGGTGGAAGGAGCCCTGCAAGTATATGGTTTAGCAAACATATGATCCTTTTGTGGAAAGTAAAAGGCCCCACCTTTCTCTAAGAACACAACTTGAGAAAGAGCCTGGATTGAATCTCAGCCCCTAACTCCTTCCCTCAGTAGCAGACTTTTCTGCAAGAAATACTCTGTACATCTGAGTATCTACAGCTGCCAGACTGCTTCTATCTTGTGGCTCTCCCATCTTCGGCACATAGTACCAATCTCGTGGTCCCATCATGGCTGCTTAAGATCCAGCCATTGTATTCACATTCCAGCTATCAGGGAGGAAGAACAGACTAAGGACATGACCGTCTTCCACTGAGGAAATGTCCTAGAAGTTGCACACTTAAACCATGGCTAACTACAAGGGAGGGTGAAGGCTGGTCTTTATTCCTCGCAGCTATGGGCCCACCTAGAAAAACAGGGCTTCTATTATGGAGAAATAATAGAAGACAATCAGCAACCTCTAGTCCACCATGCAAGGTTCAGTTAATATACTTGCATAAGACTAAAGATAGGCTGTGGCCTCTCCTTGAGGTTTGCAGAAATATGGCACAGTTGACATCTCACAAAATATATTAATAGTCATAGAGCTCATATTTTAGAAAGCCAGAAAAGACATATTAGAAAGGATTTTGGAGATCATTCAGTTCAAATCTCTCATTTGGATATTAATGTTTCATAACATATATCACTTTGCACAGATATGTAATGCTGTATTTTTAAAATACGGCATTATCGTTCATTTGTAACCTAGCAATCTCTTTGTTAATTATTACAACAAATGCTTTAATGCCTTTTTAACATTTAAATCACCCATGCAATTAGCACAATGTCTATTAACAAATGGAAATGGGCACATAACTTGTGCAGGCCATCTAATAAGAGTGTGGATGCCTCATTGCCACATAATAGATAAGGTGACCACCTTCTACAAACCAAAAATTGGGACACGCTGCCTGCCACACACAGGATGATGTTAACTGCTGAATGCTGCGGCCAGCACGTAAAATCTGGGACTGTATTTAACAAGCATTACCTTTAGAAAAATCATATTATATTAAATTTGGGGGAGGGCTAATAAAAATTGGAATAACCTGAATTTAAGGTCCATGGGGAAGGGGAAGGGTATTTTATCTGCCTCATTCTCTACTATAATCCCCTTGCCTAACAAAGGAGGTTACAACACATACAGAGGCTTAAAATTATTTGATGTTTCAGCCCGGGTGCAGTGGCTCATGCCTGTAATCCCAGCACTTTGGGAAGCCGAGGCGGGTGGATCACGAGGTCAGGAGTTTGAGACAATCCTGGCCAACATGGTGAAACCCCGTCTCTACTAAAAATACAAAAAAAAAAAAAAAAATTAGCTGAGCGTGGTCTCACGTGCCTGTAATCCCAGCTACTCAGGAAGCTGAGGCAGGAAAATCACTTGAACCAGGGAGCTGGAGGTTGCAGTGAGCCGAGATCGTGCCACTGCACTCCAGCCTGGTAACAGAGTGACACTCCGTCTCAAAAAAAAAAAAAAACATATTTGATGTTTCAGATAATCTGTCAAAACCCTGATAAGACCCTATAACTCTGAACCCAAAGACATGCATTTAGGAGAAACTAGGAAAAAATGAATAAAACAAACAACAACAAAACATGGCTGATGAAAGGGGGTACTTGGGATGCCAGATAAAAATTCCTGAAGTTGGTATGTTACTAATACCATGCCTACAACCTACCCCTCCATGAACATCAAGAGAGCTCATTCTCTTAATCTTGTCACCTCCCACTGTGTACTGACTCAAAAAATGTCAACATACCATTGATTACAATGTCATATGCAGAAGCTGCTATATATGACCTTTCATGCATGTTTTTGTAGTTTTGCTCTAGATAAAAGTATGCATAAGCAAAAGAAGATATTCCTTTGAGATAGATGTATTAGTCCATTCTCACCGTGCTATAAAGATATCACCTGAGACTGGGTAATTTATAAAGAGAGGAGGTTTAATTGACTCAGTACCGCACGGCTGGGGAGGCCTCAGGAAACTTACAATCATGGTGGAAGGTGAAGGGGAAGCAGGCATCTTCTTCACAAGGCAGCAGGAGAAGAGAGAGCACAGGGGAAGCTGCCACTGTTAAACCATCAGATCTCATGAGAACTCCCTCACTATCACGAGAACAGCATGAGGGAAACCTCCCCCGTGATCCAATCACCTCCCACCAGGTCCCTCCTTCGACACATGGGAATTATATTCCAGATGAGATTTGGGTGGAGATACAGAGCCAAACAATATCAATGGGGAAGAAAGGGATATGGATGTTTAGGAACTTGCCAATTCTCCAGTGTTCTCTCTTTAAAAAAAAAAAGTCTTAAGCCGCTGTGACAAGATATTAGCATCTGTTAAATGTCTCATATATTTTTTCTATATAAAAATTTTACATAATTCAAATTTGTAAAAATAATCGATGGCAGTTAAAGGACAATTTTTTAAAGACTATAATAACAGGCCGGGCGCGGTGGCTCACACCTGTAATCCTAGCACTTTGGGAGGCCAAGGCAGGCGGGTCACCTAAGGTCAGGAGTTCGACACCAGCCTGGCCAACATGGCGAAACCCCGTCTCTACTAAAAATACAAAAATTAACTGGGCATGGTAGCAGGTGCCTATAATCCCAGCTACTTGGGAGGCTGAGGCAGGAGAATCGTTTGAACCCAGGAGGCAGATGTTGCAGTGAGCCGAGATCACACCATTGCACTCCAGCCTGGGCAACAAGAGTGAAACTCCGTCTCAAAAAAAAAAAAAAAAAGACTATAATAACATCACTAACTTTGTATCTGATGGGCCATATCTTTTTCCAGAGTAAAACTTTTCTAATGTTTTAGAGACAGACAAATGTAAATTCATGTGGTAGCCATGGGGGAAGGTGAAAGCTGAATGATACGCAAGTAAAGAGAAAACTTGTAAATTTGTTTAAGTTCCTTGTAGATTCTGGATATCAGCCCTTTGTCAGATGTACACATTGCAAAAATTTTCTCCCATTCTGTATGTTGCCTGTTCATTCTGATAGTTTCTTTTGCTGTGCAGAAGCTCTTTAAAAAGTGGGCGAAGGATATGAACAGACACTTCTCAAAAGAAGACATTTATGCAGCCAAAAAACATGAAAGAAAGCTCATCATCACTGGTCATTAGAGAAATGCAAATCAAAACCACAATGAGATACCATTTCAAACCAGTTAGAATGGCGATCATTAAAAAGTCAGGAAACAACAGATGCTGGAGAGGATATGGAGAAATAGGAACACTTTACACTGTTGGTGGGAGTGTGAATTAGTTCAACCATTGTAGAAGACAGTGTTGTGATAACTCAAGGATCTAGAACCAGAAATACCATCTGACCCAGCAATCCCATTACTGGGTATATACCCAAAAGATGATAAATCATTCTACTATAAAGACACATGCACACATATGTCTATTGCGGCACTATTCACCATAGCAAAGACTTGGAACCAACCCAAATGTCTATCAATGACAGACTGGATAAAGAAAAAGTGGCACACATACACCATGGAATACTATGCAGCCATAAAAAAGGATGAGTTTATGTCCGTTGCAGGGACATGGATAAAGCTGGAAACCATCATTCTCAGCAAACTAACAAAGGAACAGAAAACCAAACACTGCATGTTCTGAGTCATAAGTGGGAGTTGAACAGTGAGAAGACATGGACACAGGGAGGGGAACATCACACACCAGGGCCTCTCTGGGGGCGGGGGGCTAGGGGAGGGATAGCATTAGGATAAATACCTAATGTAGATGATGGGTTGATGGGTGCAGCAAACCACCATGGCACATGCATACCTATGTAATAAACCTGCACTTTCTGCACATGTATCCCAGAACTTGAAGTATAATAATAATAATAAAAAGAAAGTAAAGAGAAAACTATATGAACAAGGGTCTAAATCAGAGGTATCCAATCTTTTAGCTTCCCTCGGCCACACTGGAAAAAGAAGGACTGTGTCTTGGGCCACACATAAAATACACTAACACTAACAATAGCTAATGAGCTTTAAAAAAAAAAATGCAAAAAAACTCATAATGTTTTAAGAAAGTTTACGAATTTGTGTTGGGCCTCATTCAAAGCCATCCTGGGGTACATGCTGCCCTGGGCCACGGGTTGGACAAGCTTGGAATGATCTGGGGCCACTTACTAGTCAAGAGACTAAGAGAAGTTTCCTCTTATATCTAAGCCTTCGTTTACTTACTTTTAAAATGGGGCTACTATTATCTAACCTCATAGAACTATTGTACGCACTACATGGGATTCGACATGGAAAGGGGTCTAGCACAAAGCCTGGCACATAGTGAAATATCAATAATTGATGCTAATTATCATCATTTAAATAAGGAAGAGATTTAAATATAGATCTAACCACATTTAAGATTAAAACATGTAAGCAGAAAAAGCTGAAGTTCTTTCATACTAGCTGTTTCCATTTTCAGACAGCCACTTCCATCATACTTTAAATTTCTTCATCATCAAAACAAAAGTTTTCCGTGCTTAGTGCATGATTTTGTCAGGCAACAAACCTATGGCTCAAACTCAAAGGGGATGCTACTACTACCAATAACTGGAGTGAGACACTCTCACAGTAACTTGGCAAACACCCGGAAGTACTGGTTCACCCTTCTAGCTCAATGTTACTTCTAGTGTGGTCCCAGGAACAGCAGCATCAGCAGCACCTAGAAACGCCAATTCTCAGGCTCCAACCCAGACCTTGGGAATAAGGCCCAGCAATCTATGTTGCATCAAGCCGTCCAGGTGATTCAGGGCCCTACTAAAATTTGAGAACCACTGGCACAGTGGTTCTCTTGCACAGTGAAATTTGAGAACCACTGGCACAGTGGTTAATTTGCACAGTGAAAAGGCTTCTTTTCAGTCTTGGGAAATGAAGGAGTAATAGTCAAGAGGAGGCATTGCAAAATTTTTCCATACACGGCTAGATAGTAAGTATCTTAGGCAAGAAGTAAAGTCAAGATTAGGTAGGTATTTATGGAACCATTTAAAATGCAACCATTTAAGGCGGGGAACGGTGGCTCACACCTGTAATCCTAACACTTTCAGAGGCCAAGGAGGGCAGATCACCTGAGGTCATAAGTTTGAGACCAGCCTGGCCAACATGGCAAAACGCCCTCTCTACTAAAAATACAAAAATTAGCCAGCTGTGGTGGTGCATGCCTGTAATCCCAGCTATTCGGAAGGGTGAGGCAGGAGAACCACTTGAATCTAGGAGGTGGACGTTGCAGTAAACTGAGATTGCGCCACTGCACTCCAGCCTGGGTGACAGAGCGAGACCCCATTTCAAAAAAAATAAATAAATAAAATAAAAAATAAAATGCAACTGTTTAAAAATATGAAAACCATTCAAAGCCAATAAGCCATATATGGCCAAGAGTTTTGGGTCAGGCTGACATGTCACACGCATTAGCTGGCTTACACTCTTATCAGCTGTATCCCCAGTAGGCAAGCTCTACCTCAGTGGCCTCATCTGCAAAATGGAGACAACAATACCTCTGACTCAGTGGGACTGTGGGAAGGATGAAACACAAAAAGGATTAAAGCACAAAATGATCCAGCATAGACATGCATAGTGCTGAAATTAACATACCTGCAGCTAGCTGCATTGTTTTTACTGTAATCTTACTACCAGTGTTTGCTTCCTTCCAACAGACTTAGAATCCAAACCGGCCAAACCTTGTGACATTTTAAAAATTAACCTGTTTGATTTTGGTTTAGGGCAAGTGCGCCCCTGAAAGGCTCTAAACCACCTTCACAGTCACATGAAATATAAGTTTCCAAAATATTTTTCAGGAATCCAGACTGGTATCTTCCATTCAGAAATAAAAGTTTATGCATTGCTCAATTTAAGATTTGCAGAAAGCCAGGCGCGGTGGCTCATGCCTGTAATTCCAGCACCTTGGGAGGCCGAGGCGGGCGGATCATGAGGTCAGGAGATCGAGACCATCCTGGCTAACACAGTGAAACCCCATCTCTACTAAAAAATTACAAAAAAATTAGCTGGGCGTGGTGGCAGGCGCCTGTAGTCCCAGCTACTCAGGAGGCTGAGGCAGAAGAATGGCATGAACCCAGGGGGCACAGCTTGCCCAGATTGCGCCACTGCACTCCAGTCAGGGTGACAGAGCAAGAGAGCGAGACTCTGTCTCAAAAAAAAAAAAAAAAAAAAAAAAAAAAGATTTGCAGAGAGCCCAGTTCATTAGGGAAGATATAAGAAGTTTTGGTGAGCTAATGATCCCCCAGTTGGGCTGTGAGAAAGGTGCCCAGTGTCCTCATGCTCCTGAGACACTCCTGGAGGCAGGTCACTGCTTCCATCATGACTCTAAAACATCATGCCCTCTTCACTAGTACAGAAGACCAACTATTCAAAGTTGCCCTGACATAGTGACTCAATATTTTTTTAATGAGCTTAGATCACCAGTTGGCTGAGATGTGCAGAAAGGACAGTCCTTTCATACTTTGTTAGTAGGAGCAGCACAAAGTGACACAGCGTTCCGGGGAGGCAAATATCCCTAAAAAATAAAAAAAAAACTACTGGGTGTGGTGGCTCACGCCTGTAATCCCAGCATTTTGGGAGGCCAGGGTGGGTGGATCCCTTCAGCTCAAGATTTCAAGACCAGCCTGAGCAACATGGTGAAACCCTATCTCTACAAAAAATACAAAAATTATCTGGTCACAGTGGTGTGCACCTGTAGTCCCAGGTACTCGGGAGGCTGAGGGAGAAGAATTGCTTGAAACAGGGAGGTCAAGGCTGCAATGAACCATGTTCACACCACTGCACTCCAGCCTAGGCAACAAAGGGAGACCCTGTCTCAAAAATAATAATAAAATAGGCATTAAAAAATAAAAATATCCTTAAATACTATGACGGTAAAGTTTATGTGTCAACTTGACTGGGCCAAGGTGCCCAGATATTTGGTCAATTCATTATTCTGGGTATGCCCTGGAGGGTGTTTTGGATGAGATTAACATTTGAATTGATAGACTGAGTAAAAAGCACATTGCCCTCCCTAATGTGGGTGGGATCACCTAATCAGCTGAAGGCCTGAACAGAATACAAAGTCTAACCTTCCCTGCTAACAAGAGGTAATTCCTCCTGCCTGACTGCCTTAAAGCTAGGGCCACATTTGTTTCTTGCCTTTGGACTGAAATAGAAAAAAAATCAGCTCTTCCTGGGTCTTCAGCCTGCTGGCCTTGAACTAGATCTACACCATTGGCTCTCCTGGGTCTCCAGCTGGCCAACAGGCAGATCTTGGAACTTGTCACCCCCCATAATCCGATGAGCCAATTTGTTATAATAAATCTTTCTCTCCATATAGATCCCGTTGGTTCTATTTCTCTGGAGAACACTGATGAATACAAATACTAACTAAACTTCTGTGCATTTAATCATAGGTAAAAACGCATATATGCATGAGGATGCATATGCTACTTTTTTCACTTCAGCATTATTTGTAATAGAACACAACCATGAACAGCTACATACTCCATAAACTATGAAATATTTATACTATGGAAAACTATGCAGCAGTTATTATAACAACAATAAAGACACTATCTATGGAATGACCTGTATAGACTTCTAAGAGATATTAAGTAGAAAAAAGAATAGGCTAATAATATGAAAATACCATTCATGGAACATGAAAATTAGGTATTTCCCCATATGTAAATGCACAGTAAATGTATAAAATTCACAGCAGTTATCTCTGAGAGGAAACTGGAACTAGGAGGGGTAGGTTAAGCATGTTTCATGTATTTTTAAGTTTTTTCAAACTTCAATGTATTCATATATTGCTTTCTAGTTAAAAATAATAATAATAATAATACTGGCCGGGCACAGTGGCTCACCCCTGTAATCCCAACACTTTGGGAGGCTGAGGCGGGTGGATCACCTGAGGTCAGGAGTTCGAGACCAGCCTGGCCAACATGGTGAAACCCCATCTCTACTAAAAATACAAAAATTAGCTGGGCGTGGTAGCGCCTGTAATTCCAGCTACTCGGGAGGCTGAGGCAAGAGAATCGCTTGAACCCCGGAGGCGGAGGTGGCAGTGAGCCAAGATTGTGCCATTGCATTTCAGCCTGGGGGACAAGAGCGAGACTTCATCTCGAAAAAAAAAAAAAAAAAATTACTTGCACATTCAGATAAAAATCAAAGAAAGAAAATGAGTTAATGTCATTTCTGCAATTCTCCAAAGCAAGGAATTTGGGCTGTTAGCTTTATACATGTTATAAAAAAAAAAATACAGCTTCCTTTACAGATATTATCTCACTATATATGTTCCAATTATTAGTAAGAGAAATAGGTCAGAGTGTTGCTTTAAGTTGCAGATGCAGCTCACATTGGGCACTTACTCAATGGGACGGCTCCCAGTTGTATTCTGTACATTTTCCCAGGTTCTTTTTTTTTTCCCCCCCAGGGTATTTCTGGGTTTTTCTTTTTTTAGTGATAGCCCAAAATTTTAAAAGCTCTCTTTAAGGCACTGCAAAGTGTCGATAGATGGCAAGCATTTAATCCTGCCTGCATTACTGAAATCACATTCCTCATAATCAATCATTTTTCTGCAGACCCGAAGTGGGGAGGACACTTGGGGGACTTGCTCTTTATACAACATAACTGTCCCTTAGGGCACATGAAAACAGAACAATATGAAACAAGAAGCAGATGGGAGGCACAACATCTTAGGGGAAATCGGAGTATGCTTGTGTATTGCTACAATCTTCAGCCACTTCAGGAAAGGTCAAAAGCAAAAGATAAAAAGGAAGAATTGAAGATGGGTGCCATTGAAGAGGGCACCTCACGGCCTCTGCTCAAGCATCAGTCCTCCCCAAGAATGATGAATACGGGGTACCACTGTTCATTAATTCAGTCATCTAAGCAGTAATAAGCATTTAATCCCTACTATGTGCAGTGAAACAAATGGACCAGCCTATGATGACATCGTTCCCGGGTCCTGGTAAAATAACCAAGAATAAGGCCCATAACACCTGATTCATTTAACATCAATGACTCTTCTTTATTGCACAGTTATACACCTCCTACTCCTTTGGTGACAAAGCATCCTTTCTTTGATGCGGTGATGGCGACAGTAAATAGTATTTTTTTTTTCTTTAAACATCTCTATTGGACAAACTTAAAAGTTATTTAGCTACTTTACAGCAGGCCTCCAGTTTTAAACTGGTCCACAAAATCCAAAGCCTGAAACCCCTGACAAAATAGCAGCCTTGAGCAAATAATGGAGAATAAAAGAAGAATCAGAATCTACCCATTCTCCCACCCTCCAACTCCCTCTCCCAACAAACAAAACCCATCAGATACTGGTATTCTGCTCCCTGCTTTCCAAGTGCCTTTTCAGAACTGTAATTTCCACTTGTTCCTCACACCCAGCGCAGGCATCTTCACTAACTTAATTTCAACTCTCAGGTGCCCCAAGAGCCCCTTCGTGGTGGATGCCTATGGGGTATGTGGTCATTAACAGGTGATAAGCAAATACCTGGGGCTCAGCCACCCAAAGCTCTTCAGTGCATGTGTTTTTTTATCCCAGGCAGCTAAGCTCACTGTCCAGCACCTGTGTTCACACCTCTAGCAGGCTGGGGTTCTCCCAGGAGCTGCCTGGCTTTAACATGATTTAACAGGTCTGCTCTCAGCAAGGACCTACTTGCAGGAAGCCAGGGAAGCTGAGCTGCAAATGAGCAGGTAGCAGAAACTGTCAAATTGCAAGGGCCAGGGGCGGGGGCCAGGCAGAAGCTACTGTTCTTCAGGAAGGTGGTGGCTATTAATCCTATCTGAACAAATGCAGTTCATCTCAGAAAGTATATCAATAATTCAGTAAGCAGGGGAATGGGAACAAACAGACCTTTGCTACCAGGGCTTTGTTAGCTTTCTATTTTTGTTTCCATCAGTGGGGCACTAGGCAGGGAATTATGGCTTTCTCAGAGGAGTTTTTCTTTAAGGCAACAGCCACCAGGTGTTTTTACCATAGCATTTAGAAGAGAATTTAACATAAGACTAGTGGCTCTCAAAGTCAAGGTGGGGTGGGTGGGGGGTGATTTTGCCCCTCCAGGGGACATCTGGCAATACCTGGAGACATTTTTTATTACCACACTGGAGCTATCTAGTGAACAGAGGCCAAACTGACACAAATTTGTATTTGTTTTTCAAAGAAGAGGGTCATCCAACAGATTACCAAGAAAAGGTGAAGAATCCTTGATGTAATCCTATGCTCCCCATTTTACAAATGCTTAACACCCTACAATGCACAGCAATTATCTGGCCCAAAGTGTCCAATAGTGCCCAAGCCAAGAAACCCTGCATGGACTCATTTAAAGCTCCAACAATCCTAAATGGTAGGTACAGTTACTATACCCTTTTTACAGCTGGACAAACTGAAGTACAGTTTTTAGTAACTGGCCCACAAAAACCTGGCCGTCTACCTCCAGAACTTGGCCTCCCAGACAACCAATTTGTGCCTCTCCTTATATACTACCTGGCCTTGCAGACAACCAATTTGTGCCTCTCCTCTCCATAGTAATTCACCAAATCAGATCCTATCCCTACTGTAAATCCTATGGGGGTAGAGCTGGAGTATGACTTGTTTACCTCTCTACCCTCACAGCACAAGGCTGCCCAGAGTGGCAGTCCACAAAGATAAGTTATTTAAAGTGTGATCAATAGTATATCCAGCTCACTTTTGTTGCAGGTAGACCATGGAGTATCATTTTCATTTTAGCTACAATGCTATATATTGCCGTCCAGAACAATAAACCTGGTATAATAAAAGACTTCTCCAAAATGCAGAGAGCTGAACTTTCATTAATAATAGAATTGGGAATTTCCTTTATAATTAAGAAATCACGAGCTAACAGGTATCAACAAGCCCATATGAAATGGGTTTGAAATTTACACAGATTTGTGTTTGTTTTTCAAAGGAGAGGGTCATCCATCAGATTACCAAGAAAAGGTGAAGTTTCACTGATACAATCCTATGCCCCCCACTTTACAAATGAGCGAGGCAGGAGAAACTAAGTGGCCTTCCCAAGGCCATACAGCCAGTTAGCACCAAGGGAGCATGAAAAGATACAGCATCAACTCCCCCAGCCCTGTGGAATGCCTTAGAAATACCATTTTTGGTTTCCAAATCTGGATCACTCCACCATTAATGCCCATACTACGAAATAAAGCCAAAAGAGAAAAAATGTCAGCCTAGTTGACACAGCTACTCTCTCAAAACCAATCTTATGAAATTTGACATTACTGTAACTGATTTCTTTACAACCCTTTCGGCTAAATCAATACTGATAAGATGCATTCTTCTGATGTCCTTTATCTATTTTCCAGAAAGGCATCAGTCGGAAAATGATAGGCAGTTTAATGGTGTGGCACCTATATAAGTGGGGCAAACACAAGCTGCTAAGAACCATCTTAAAGTGCCAGTCCACTGAACTTTCATACAGGGGGAAAAAAAAAAAAAAGATTCAACTTCCTTACCTGGGGAGAAATACAGGCTTTAAAATTACAGGCAGCAGCAGAGGGTAGTGGTAACGAGCCAAGGCTCTGCCTATAGAGAATCAAGGTTCAAATGCAAATTCTGCACCCACCGTATGAATTACATTTAACCTTATCCCTTATGGTAGGCACCAGAGGGAACTGCATACAAATGTGCACCAACAGGCATTTACAAGATTGCTCTTTACAGCTTTACTCATGAAAGCCTAAAACTAGAAAGAACTCAAAAGGTCTAACAAGAAGAAAACTGGCAAACTGTTGTATAGTTGTATAATCAATAACTAAAGAGTAAGTACCGCACAACATCACGTGTGAATTTCATAGACATTATGTTGAGCAAAAGCAGACAGACCCAAAAGAGTTCCCTAAGTTATGTGGGCAAATCTATCTGTATGGTGAGTGGAAATACAATAGTGGTTACCTGGTGGGGGGTTGGGAAAAATGACAGATGTGCCTGGAATGCTAGAAAGTATTCCATCTTGATCTGCAAGGCAGCCACTCAGGTGAAAGCAGTAACACACCTATAGAAACACACTGAGCCACATACTTCAGATTTGTACAATTTACTGTGCCTGTGTGTGTGTGTACACGTGTGTATAAACGTTTTAACTCAAACTAAATTTTTTTAATTGTTTAATGAAAAGTTTTGTAAAAATGTAACTCTCCCTAAGAGGGACTTACAGTCAGTTACTTTATTTCCTGGGCCTCAAAATCCTCTTCTCTAAAATGAAGAAAGTAACAGTTCCTATTCTCAGCATGTTAGGGTCAATATTTTAAAAGGTAAGGATGGGTAAAGTCTTAGCAGGATGCATCAAAGCACACAGGCTACTATTCATGGCCAGACGCGGTGGCTCACGCCTGTAATCCCAGCACTTTGGGAGGCCGAGGTGGGTAGATCACTTGAGGCCAGCAGTTCAAGAACAGCCTGGCCAACATGGCAAAACCCTGTCTCTCCTAAAAATACAAACATTATCCAGGTGTGGTGGTGCTCGCCTATACTCCTAGCTACCCCAGAGGCTGAGGCAGGAGAATCACTTGAACCCAGAAGGCTGAGGTTGCAGTGAGCCGAGATCGCGCCACTGCACTCCAGCCTGGGCAACAGAGTGAGACCCTGTCTCAAAAAATAAAGAAAAGAAAGCACACAGGCTACTTTTTTCCTTTTTTCTTTCCTTCCTTCCTCCTTCCTCCCTCTCCTTCCTCTTTCTCTTCCCTCTCTCTCTCTTTTTTAGACAGGGCTTGGCTCTGTCACCCAGGCTGAGTACAGTGGCACTCCCTTCAGTCTCGACCTCCTGGGGGCTCAACTGATCCTCCCACCTCAGCTTCCTGAGTAGCTCAGATGACAGTCACGTGACACGACACCTGGATAATTTTTTTATTTTTAGTAGAGGTGAGGTTTCGCCATGTTGCCAGGCTGGTCCTGAACTCTTGGGCTCAAGGGATCCACCCACCTTGGCCTCCCAAACTACTGGGATCACAGGTGTGAGCCACTGTGCCCAGCCTTCAATTATTTCTATCACCATCATTATTATAACAATTGTTAGAAATGTTTCTGCACTCACTTCTTTTCATTATTATACTGTAGAAAAATTAGTCACTAAATATGGGTTTTTTCCTCTTCTGCCTTTATGCAAAAAGTTTTCAAATATTACTATTATAATCATATGAAAGTAGAGATGAAACATAAATAAGAAAATGTGACCCGAGCCTCCTCAAACTCATAGCTACCAGAGATCTGAAAATTAAACAGCACTAGCCCAGCAGCATCCTGTGCCTTGCATCCAACATGATATTGAGGAGTTGTCAGATACCTTGTTAGCAGTGGGTGCAAATGTGAGAAGTATCACACAGCTATTCTGCATGTTCTGACAAGACCATGAGGAAACACAGTCCCCAAAGAATCAGAGAGCTCAGCATGCAACCTAATTAATCACCACAGGAAAAAGCCCATATGGTGTGATGGTGGACTACTCCGTGAAAACACAAGAAGAAATATGCAGCTAGCCTTAAACAGAACAAAGGGGCAAGCAAGGAGGGCAGGGAGATTGAGGGCAACTATTAAAGCTCCCACTGCATAGGTTTCCAGAAAACCAGGAGTCTTTCCCTCCTAGACTGTCTTCACTTCCTTGCTAGTTGCTGGGATTCCTTACATGATAGGGCCTTTTGACCCGGATAGGGGCAAAGCTTACAGGTGTAGCTTTAATGACAGGGATGCACATTTGTTTCTATCAGAGTGGGTAGGATGTTTTACATGTATTTCCTGTGTAGTATAAAAGTAACAGATGTAATAAATGGGAAAGGGATGTATACCCAGAATGAAAATGACAGAGCTGAACATGAGTGTGAAAAAAATAGGGGAATTTTTCCTTCTACATTCAGAAGAGAAAACCCAAAATGTGAATATTCTGGAACAAGGCTAAAATTGTTTCCTTGACATTGCTGTTGTTTTTGAGAAGCCCTGGAGTTGAGCCTCCCAAAACAGTCAAGTTCACTTCACCATCTTCCAAATACATACTCATATCTTCACTGAAGTATCACGGCTGGAAGAGGTAAATTAAACAGAAATATGTTATAATGGGTAATAAAAGTAGGCAACCAGGGAATTCACTGAGCCCAATTTAGTTATAAATTTCCTTTAAAGTTAAGCTAAATATAAAGAAAAGGCAATTAGGTACAAGCTTTTAGTACTGTGCTGAATTACTTTAATATTCATTTCTATCTAGTCAGGACTGTGAGAAATCTTACTGTGGAACATTCTCAGCTTATTTGCAGCTTTATCCCCCAATCTATTTACTTGCAGGTATCAAAGAAGAAAACAGATCTGGATGAAATAATTTTGCCTTTATGAGAAAAATCTCACATATATAGGTTCATATGAGGATCCCACAGCATCGTTCTAGCAATGTGAGAGTTGACTTATTTCTTGGTTGAAAAGCCAAGTTTTAGCAGCATATGGCAATCCTTAGGGGGTACAGAGAAGAATAAGGAGACTTTGGGCATGAAACCTCCTCAGATTTTCAGAGCCACCCATTTACTATATAAGGATCAATTCCAAGAGGACCACACAGACCCCCTCACCACTGCCAAGAACCCAGAATCCCAGATATCACTGACCTAAACTTGAAGGGCCCTCAAAACTTAAGTAGGAAATATTTGTTCTTGAAAACCCTCTAGAAAACTTATTTCAAAAGCAGCCACTCTGAGGTTGAGTCTCCTTTTGTATTTAACCTTATTATCTTGAAGCTTTTCAAGTGTTTCAGTTTTATGCAAATCATTCTTTTAGGCTTCTTTGTCATCACAGGCATTTTCCTGCTCTGAAGCTAGCTTCTTTTGTTCCCTTTTACTCCAATGAATTCAGACTATCTCCTGGCTTTTGTTTCTCCACAGTAGTAAAACTCTATTGTGATGCAGCAGCAGACAATTCAAGCCAAGGTGACAATCATTTCAGAAAATAAAGCAAACCTGCTTTCATAAACACCTACCACATGACTAAATATGCCTTCTACAGCAGGGGGAAGGAACAGACACTGAAATGTTCACTTTTAGCTCAGAAAAAAAGATGACAAAGAAACTCTCAATAATAGGTAAAAGCAGCTGCCATTTACAAGGTAATACTTAATTTCCCTTAATGATGTCTGTAGGACATAGATTCTCAAACTGTGGTCCAAAGACCCCTGTGGGTCCCCAAGATACTTTCAGGAGGTGCAAGGGAGTTTTCAGGAGACAATATGACTTATAATATCACAACAGATTGAATGCAAAAGCAGTTAGGAGAATCCAGCTGTCTTCTGCTGAGGCAGACATTAAAAAGATTTGCAAAAGTATAAAGCAATGCCACTCTTCCAACTAAAATTTGTTTTGAAAAATAATTTTTTTTTTCCTACGGCCATACCACCCTGAACGCGCCCGATCTCATCTGAAAAATAATTTTTTTTAATTTTGTTATTATTACACTTTAAGTTTTAGGGTACATGTGCACAACATGCAGGTTTGTTACATATGTATACATGTGCCATGTTGCTGTGCTGCACCCATTAACTCGTGATTTAACATTAGGTGTATCTCCTAATGCTATCCCTCCCCGCTCCCCCCACCCCACAGCAGTCCCTGGTGTGTGATGTTCCCCTTCCTGTGTCCATGTGTTCTCATTGTTCAATTTCCCACCTATGAGTGAGAGCATGCAGTGTTTGGTTTTTTGTCCTTGCGATAGTTTGCTGAGAATGATGGTTTCCAGTTTCATCCATGTCCCTACAAAGGACATGAACTCATCATTTTTTATGGCTGCATAGTATTCCATGGTGTATATGTGCCACATATATTCTTTTATAAAAATGTGTTATTTATGTTAACATGCTATGGTTGTATTAGTTATTTAAAATGAATTAAGTTTTTTTAATTTGTCAGTTAAAATTTTTAGAACAGTAAATATCCACAGATATGATCCACATAAACAAAACCTCTTTCAGGTCCTATTCAATAATTCTTAAGAGTATAAAGGAGATCTGAAATTAAAAGGTTTCAGAACCACTGCTACGTAAGGATTAGCCAACTATGTCCCATGGGCCAAATCTATCCTGCCTGGTTTTGTAAGTAAGGCTGTATTGACACACACAGCTACAGTGGTTCACATACTATCTTCAGGCCAAATCCAGCCTGCCTGTTTATGTAAATAAAGTTTTATTGGAACAAAGCCACACCCATTCACTTATGCATTATCTATGTCTGCTTGCCTGCTACAAGGGCAGTGTTGAATAGTTTTGACAGACAAGGTATGACCTGCAAAGCCTAAAACATGTTCTATGTGGCCCTTTCCAGAAAAAAATGATGATGATGATAAGCAACATTAACTGACTATCTCTTATGTGCCATGGAGACTTTATATCAAATTGTAGGGAAAAAGAAATCTCTTTCCTTCCCAACCTAAGTTCATGGTTGAGGCCCCTATAACAAAAGGCAGATTAACAAGAGAAAAGCATAGATATTTATTTAATGTAAGTTTTATGTGACACGGGAAGCTTCATTTGGAAATGAAGACTCTAAGAAATAGGTAACCTTATGTATTTTTATGCCTATGTTTGATGAAGAATGAAGAGTCACGGAGAAATACAATTACAGGATAAAAGAATATGGTCTAATGGGAATAAACGCAGGGGAAATTAGCAAGGACTGTTTGTTCAAATTCTTCTTGGTGTTGTAGGGATAAAAAGAATTTTCCCTCTCCCTCTGAATGTTTATGTGTGCTCAAACTGACAACAGACAGAATAACAGGCATAAGTACAGGAGTCATGCAAAATATGAGACTCAAAGAAGGGCCAAATGGTTGAGGCGTAACTACCCTTTTCATAGGGGAAAGGGAAGTGGGGGGCTGTGGGCAATTTTGAAGGAGCAATAAATGATTTTTAGGGGGGAATGAATGAGCCCAAAGGACAGACAATAGCTTATAAGTGATTCTTTGGAAACTGAATGGGACTGAATACTGGAAGGTAAGGAGCAGAACTGCACTGTTACCAAAGGTTATCTTATTATGCAGATAAAGTCTTCCAGGTAATCCCTCAAAGCTGCCTTCAGAAGAAAAGATGAAAAACATGTCTGGGCATGGTGACTACTTTTAGTCTTTTCTCTTCTCTGATGGTTAATCGTGCCTGGTTATTTAATGAGACTTCTAAGACCATTGCATTTATTTTGTAAGAAGCTTTCTAAGTCAGATATGGGGAATTCCAGAGAGACCCTGGGGGACGAAGGGAGTACAACAGAAAGTTCCCAAATCCTTGCTTCTGGGGCAGTTGTGAAGCCCTTCCAATTTTCTTTAATTCAAAAGTACTCAGCATGCCGAAGTATGAGACTTCGGAGTATTGTTCTCTGAGCCCCAACAGCATCTCTCTGACCTCAGTGATAAGGATGCCTCTTTTCTCAGGGTAGAGGGAGGCGCCTCTGGAATGAGGGTCTTAGGACCTACTTCAGTGAAGAAAAGCAGGAGAAAGCCAGAGAGTGGCCCTCCTAGGTTTTATAACCTGCCTCAGGGGAGAAGGGTCAGGGAAGGTAAAAGTGACCTTTCTGCTTCTGCTGTTTTCTCAAATTCCAAGGTGCCATATTTTGGAGTAGTATGTCCTGAATTCCATCAAAATCAATCTTCCCAATAACTAACTCCAGGAGAGAGACTCTGTCATCATCCCCACTGAGTAGAGGAAAAATTTAAAGCTCAGAAAGTTTAAAAGACTTTCAGGTCACAAGACCGTTATCAGTGGAGAAGGCAATATTTAAACCCCAGTCTGACTCGAAGATCAACCATCACCAGATTGAAGCATGAAAAATACGTATGGTAAGTTATCATAGCTCCTTGTGGCAGTCTACCCTACACTGGCTAAAGCCAGAAAAGGGATTTCTCCATTGAAAAAAGCTAGGGCTCTAGTCGCTTCCCCGGCAAAGACTAATTCTCAGATCCGGTTACCTGCTCCTCCATGCACCTACCCACTGAAGTACCCAGCCAGTATGAATACAAAAGAAAGTGTATTCATGTAGTCCATCAGTCCATCAGTGAGAAAGGATTATAAAACCAAATGTGGGCTCACATTGCAAATAAGCATGTGGCTAGAATTTGTTTGTTTGTTTGTTTTTGAGACGGAATCCCACTCTTGTCGCCCAGGATGGAGTGCAATGGTGTGATCTCAGCTCAATGCAACCTTCGCCTCCTGGGTTCAAGCAATTCTCTTGCCTCAGCCTCCCAAGTAGCTGGGATTACAGGCGCCTGCCACCACACCTGGCTAATTTTTGTATTTTTAGTAGAGACAGGGTTTCCCCATGTTGGTCAGACCGGTCTCGAACTCCTGGCCTCAGGCGAACCACGCACCTCAGCCACTCACAGTGCTAGGATTATAGGCGTGAGTCACCGCGCCCGGCCTGGCTAGAATTTTTTAATAGATATGTACTCGTATCAATTTGCAACAACAACAAAATAGCACAAACATACAAGCATTGGGGGAATTTTGGGGTACTACAAGTGCATGGAAGAACCGCATTTTTGGTTTGTTCTCATAACAACACCCTCAAAGTCTTCATTTTAAGAACATGTAGTTACATCCCAATCAGCTCAACCTCATGTTGACTGTGCCACAGAATGTTGTCAAAACACATCCTTAAATCCCTATCTCACTCCATCCCTCTTGCCAACATACTCATTCACTCATTCTAACATTTTTGAACTAGGGATGTATTTATTAACATTAATGTATATTTAGTATATAGTATACAGTAGTGTTTTAATCTCAAAATTGATTAATTCTGTACATCATATAATTAGCATCCTTGATTCGAACTATTGTTCACTTGGCAAAAACAATAAAATTAAAACCAAACAAACATAAAACTTGAACTACACCACTGCAACCTGGAACATGTCATACTAGCTGTAGAACTCATCATATCTTCAACGGAAATGTATGACATTTTTAAAAATCTTGTGAATAGTCAAAAATCAAAAAACAAAATAAAATCAAATCAAGCCAAACTGTAAAATCCCGAATTAATTCCTAAAATGCCGAGGTGTATGAAGTTGGACCCTGCAAGGGACTGGATATCAGAGGTAGAAAGGGAACAGAAATCCTTTAGTCAACGGAACTTGTTCTCATAGAGAGAAAATTGAGACCTAGAAACTACTACATTAAGCCTTTCAGGACCCTACCCATAACCCTAACCAATGGTGGTCCACCCATTTCAATGCTCTTAAGACATCAGGAGCCTCAAGCCAATGCAGGAACTCCTATTTCCAAATTTTGAAAAAATGGAGGACCTTGCAATAAAAAGCCAAACACGCCAGGCGCGGTGGCTCACACTTGTAATCCCAGCACTTTGGAAGGCCAAGGTGGGTGGATCACCCGAGGTCGGGAGTTCGAGACCAGCCTTGGCAACATGGTGAAATCCTGTCTCTCCTAAAAATACAAAAATTAACTGGGCGTGGTAGCAGGCGCCTGTAATCCCAGCTACTCAGGAGGCTGAGGCAGGAGAATCACTTGAACCCGGGAGGCGGAGGTTGCAGTGAGCCACTATCGCGCCATTGCACTCCAGCCTGGATGACAAGAGCAAAACTCTGTCTCAAAAAAAAAAAGAAAAAGAAAAAAAGCCAAACAGTTCAAAAGAGTACGCAGTGAAAAGTAGGTCTCCTCCCCAGAAGCTACTTTTGGTAACAGTTCTTCCATATCCTTCCAAAGACAGTATGTGTGAGTGAATGAGAGAGAGTGAGGGTGAGAGTGAGAGAGAGAGAATGAGAATGAATAGCATGTTCCTCACTCCCACAATCTTAAACAGAACACCGTACAAATTCTGCACATAGCCTCTTTTCACTCAGTATATAGATGGAAAATCATTCTAAATCAATACATGCAGAGCTTCCTTTCTTATAAATGGCTACATCGTGCCCCACTGCACAAATATATCACAATTTGAAATTCCCTAATTATGGATATCTAGGATGTTTTAAGTTTCATGCTATTCCAATCGTTGCTGCAATAACTATCTTAGTACATAAACCTTGGTAGAGATATGCAGTTTTTCCATGGGATAATTTCTCAGAAGTGGGATCACTGAGTCAGAAAGTATGCGTATTTTTACTTTCTGTGGAAACCGACAGGTTCTCAACCAGATGCATGTTCGTACTGACACAGTTGCAGTCTAGGAGTAGGTAGGTAATAGAGTACTTTTATTCATACCCATACCAGTTTGGTATTTTATCAAACATTTTGATCTTCGCCAATCAACATGAGATAGTGTTACCTCACTGTGGTTTTAACTATGTAAGGGACTTTTTAAAAATCTTTTTCTTAATGTCTTTAAAAGACCCAAGGCCCTTCATGAACTGGCCTCTTGCCTGTCTACCTTATTCCAGTTCTGTCTCTGTTAGAGAGTTAGTCATTCCCTAAAGAATTAATTGGCATTTTTGCACCCACGTCTTAGCATGCATTCTTCCCTGTATTCAAAATGCTGTTCCCTGTCTCTGAAATGGCATGGTAGATCCTCAAGCCCAGCTGGTTCATCCCCTACTCAACTCATTAACATCACCTACTTTTTAAAGCCTTGCTTCCCTCTCTCTCTCTCTCTCTTTTTTTTTTTTTTTTTTGGAGATGGAGTCTCACTGTGTCACCCAGGCTGGAGTGCAGTATCGTGATCTCGGCTCACTGTAACCTCTGCCTCCTGGGTTCAAGCGATTCTCCTGCCTCAGCCTCCCGAGTAGCTGGGACTACAAGCGCCCGCTGCCATGCCTGGCTAATTTTTTTATATTTTTAGTAGAGACGGGGTTTCACTGTGTTGCCCAGGATGGTCTCGAACTCCTGAGCTCAGGCAATCTGCCCACCTCAGCCTCCAAACATGCTGCAATTATAGGCGTGAGCCGCTGCACCCGGCCTAAAGCCTTGCTTCTCTTAATTCCTCTCCACACACAAGCCTGGAGTCAGATTTCAATACGTCTTCATCTTCTCCCTCCCCAGCCCTGAACACACACACCTTGTGCACCTTTATTCTGCAGCAGATTATGCCTGCCTCTTACTGGAGTATCTGAGCACACCTTTCAAGGGCAAGAACTTAACCCTCCCTGGGTACTCCTCAGCACCAAGTCCAGCCCCCTAATAGGCAGAAAATGTCTGCTGAATCTACTGGAAACTGGCTGACAGACACTATTGATAAGAACATGTATTCAATTATGACACATTACCTATGCATTTAACCATGAGAGTTCAGAATATATTAGAAAAAAGGAATATCGTGCCAAGTTCACGGACACCTCATGGGTAATAAGTAGAAGCATCTGAATTTTCTCTTACATAAAATATATTATTTCCCATCACAAAACCTAATGGGAACATAAAAGTCATTTATTCTAACAAGTTTTGGACGGGTATTAAATTCATAATTTCTCATATATTAATCATTTATACATCTCGCTAAATAGTTGTACCTTAATATGATGCCTACCTCACCATAAAACTGAGACATCTGATATAATGAATGGGCAAATTGTACTTTTAATATTCTTCCATTGTTAATCTTTTTTTCATTTTTATTCCAAGGAATAGCAACCAATTAATAATAAAGTTCTTAGTTTCATATCTTATCCAATTGCTATAAAAACAACTGTTACTAATAGGGCTGGGAAGACCCTGAAGAAGAAAATGTACAACATACCAAAAAAAGCTTAATAGGTGCATGTACAGAAGTAGCCAACTTTTGTCATGAATCTTTCAATTCTGCTCATTTCTGTCAGGCCTATGAGCCCAAGCTAAGCCATCATATCCCCTGTGACCTGCACGTACACATCCAGATGGCCGGTTCCTGCCTTAACTGATGACATTCCACCACAAAAGAAATGAAAATGGCCTGTTCCTGCCTTAACTGATGACATTATCTTGTGAAATTCCTTCTCCTGGCTCATCCTGGCTCAAAAGCTCCCCTACTGAGCACCTTGTGACCCCCACTCTTGCCTGCCAGAGAACAACCCCCGTTTTTCCTTTACCTACCCAAATCCTATAAAACGGCCCCACCCCTACCTCGCCTCGCTGACTCTCTTTTCGGACTCAGCCCGCCTGTACCCAGGTGAAATAAACAGCCTTGCTGCTCACACAAAGCCTGTTTGGTGGTCTCTTCACACGGACGCGCATGAAAATTTCCAAACTGTAAAATGTAGTAATAGCAGCTAATATCTACCAAACAACATGTGCCACAACCTGTAACTTACATCAATTTTGTACACTATTTCATTTAATACATCAACTCTATGGAGTTAAGTAATTTTATTATTTACATTTTATAGCTGAAAAACCCCAGCTCAAAGTTGAATGCAAGGATGTATTGCTACTAAGTTGTGCCATGGAGATTTGAACTCTGGTTTGTCCAATTCTACTGGGCATCCAAACAAAAGGAATGCTATTTGCAACTTACGTGCAACATAAAACTCTTCATCAAACCATTAACTAACACCACACCTATTGAAGGGCAGCTGAATCCTTAAGGAGAAAACTCTGCGTAGGAGCAGAAGAAAATTCATTATGTATCATATACTATTCACTGCTTAGCACTGGAATGTACTCAAAAATTAATAAAAGTAAAAAATGTATCATGAAATACTCATTCTTCATTCTACTTGCCTTATATACTCTCTGCAACCGAAAATGTATTTGTCTTCGACCCGTGTGTGATGTAAACATCCCCTTTTTATCCTCCCAGCAATAAATTGTTAATGAATCCAAGGTTAAATGTAAGTCCTCTTTATTTAACATGATTATACTGTGCCTCTCAGACCTTAGGAAAGCCCCATATGCTTTTTATGATATTAAAATTTTACTGAAATACTTGATGCTACCATCTGTTCTTGGTGAGAACCAAAATGGTGGCCCCAGGGAAAGCACTGTTGCATTACTAACGTTGCTGGGATATTTTCCAAAATTTGTTTATCCATAGTGTATAAATATTTCTCATTGTATGAGATCAGGACAATACACAGATGTACACAAAACGCAATGGTCACCCTCTGTCCACTTCCCCCTAGTGTTGCCTGAAGGAACACAGTTTGATTCATACCATTTTAGTCATTTTTCTAAGCAATTACACAGACACACACAGAGATATACATACATATTTAGGATGGTCCTGATCCTCATATATATGAAGCACAAATAGGATCACACTCCATTTTGCACATTGTTCTGCAACTTGTTTTTTGTTTGTTTGAGACAGGGTCTCCCTCTGTCTCCCAGGCTGGAGTGCAGTGGTGTGATCACAACTCACTGTAGCCTTTATGTCCTGGGCTTAAGCGATCCTCTTGTATCAGCCTCCAGAGTAGATGGGACTACAGGTATGTGCCACCACACCCAGCTAATTATTTTTGTAGAGATGGGGTCTCTCTATGTTGCCCAGGGTGGTCTCAAACTCCTGGGTTCAAGCAATCCTCCCACTTCAGCCTCTCAAAGTGCTGGGACTAAAGGCATGAGGCACTGTGCCCAAACTGCAACTTGTTTTAAAGTCACCCAACCACATCTTAAACATTTTTCCATGTCATATATACATAGACTTACACTTGAGGGTGCCTAATATTCCACATTGATGGCGTGCCATATTTTATTTCCTCTATTGAAGGATTCTGTGGTTTTATTTTGTCTATGTAAAAACATAGCAATTCACCCCAAAATCAATCATTCTCTGAGCAGTCTCATCTCAGAGATGTAAAAGAAACAGTAATGTACCTTTCAAGGAAGACAGCTCTGAGATCTAAAATTGTCTAGCATTGACTGTATCATCTATTAATTTCCTTGAAAAAAAAAAATCACTCTCTAGCAAAAGCCTGACACAAGCCCAAAAACCAAAAAGCTTTGTTTCTGGCTAAATACTTTGAAGGGCATTTCAAAGAGAAGAGGAGTCACTACCAGAAACCATCTGAGTGAACAGTTTTCTCTTAGGATGTGGAATCCATAAATGGCACAATCCTGGCCTTGATGTGTGATGACGGAGAAGGAGGATGGACGAATCTATCCCTTCATGGACCTTCAGAGCAAAAACACAATGAGTGTTTTAGTGACTTAAGCTTAAACAGTTAGTTGTGGTGAATGTTTGTTTAACCTGTCTTCCACTCTTTGCAGTAATTCCTCCACTTTGCATGTATCAGACGTCCAGGTGATGAAAAACAAGGCAGACAGGGTCCTGAGACAGCCGTTGTATTTAATACGTCCCTATCAAGCATCAAGCAATTGCCATTTATCCTGGAGAAAAGCAGCAAGTGAGCCACCCTGCAACAAACACCCAGAAAGGGATCTGATGCTGTTCCTTAGGGGGTCTTTGCCATCTCACACTTGCTCCCTTCCTGGGCTTAGTGGCCTTGAAGAACCAGGAGGCCTCTGCATTTCCAAGAAGTGATAGTGACAAACTGCATTCCAGGCCATCTGCCGCATGCAATGAAAGCTGGTGATATTGTCGTAACAAGTAAAGTCCATTGTCGGTTGCGGATAATGCCAGAAGGAAGTCTGGCATCACCAAACCCAGGGGATGGTTGAGACAGTGTCCAAAGAAAAAGGAAGCTGAAGAATAGCATGGGAAAAACAATGAGACTTGTTAGAATGTATGGCCCTTGCTGATGGTCCTTCCAATGGAGTATGCTTTCATTCAGAAGCAATTGAGAGGAACACTATTTCTAACCCCACTAAAACTTTCTAGCTAGAAAATCTTCAGAACACAAACTGAGATTTCCAAAATGCGTCTAGTAGGAAATAAATGGAATCAGGTTAAAACTTCAATTTATCTGATCAACTAATTTTTATGATGGGATAAGAACACTGCAAAATGAGATAGATTTCTTCTATTTTGTCATCATTTGCATACTAGTTTCTCCCCCTCCATTTTTGGGGAGAATTACTCACCACCAATAAATATAAAGACTAGAAATCCAAATGCTACCTTACCTGGGATATGAAGAAATTACCCTGAGAGAAAAAGATCTGATGCAATTCACACTTGCCCTTGCCACTTCAGCTTCAGTGCCTCAATTTCCAAGGTCCTCAGCATCCTACAACAGAAATTAAATCTTCCCACATAAGCAGCCACATAGCCCTCTCACTGTTTCTTAGTTTCAGCTGCCATAGCAGAGAGTAATGGCCTATGTATTTATTTGAGGTGCTTGCTCAAGACTCTGTTCCCTCCAAAGTGAAATTCATACATGCCACACAGTCTACATTTTAAGTCAGACAATCATAAATATGCATCCAGTTTTATTGAAAATTCTTCTAGACTTTTTGCTAAGACCCAGTAAAGAAATTATCTTGTTTTGTGTGTAAACGTGTGAATGTATACACATAGCTTCAACCATTACAGATGATGATAGGGAAGCAGTTATAGGAATCACTCTCCAAAACAGGTAATTCCAATAGCCAAATCACTTCTGGCTGGTGTTAGGGATCTTTGCTAAGCAGCTTCAAATATGAATTGCAATATGTTTTTCTTAGGCCAATAGTAAATACAATTTTCATTCCTAGAGCATAAAGTCCAGAGTGATGGATTATTACAGTAAAAACAGTCCTCAAATGGCAGTCAGAATGCCTGGGCTAAGTAAGGCCTGTTTCGCCAGCACTGGCTGCTTAACCAAGTGCAGTCGTACCACCAAACTTCCTCAGCCTCTGCCCTCTCTGTCAAGTTAAAGGGCACGCCAGACATGTTAGGATATTTTCCCTGATGCATTGAGAAGCAGGGCAGGACAGTTCAAGAATATGGCAAGTCAGCCAAGGTCAAGCCGCCCTATCTAAGCTTCTTCTACTGACAAGGCTCACACAAGGCAACCCAGAAAAAGGAAGCTGGGATATGGCAATGTTTACCATTTACTAGGCAATGACCCAGAAACAGGCAAAGGACACAGAATTTAAAGCAGCAGCTGACAAGGGTACTGACTATTGAATTTTGCAAACATAAGCGTTAAGTCCTTTGGTATGGAAAACACTAGCGGGTGGTGGGGATACTGGCTCCTTTCTTTCACTCTGACTTGCCTGCATCCTGCTCAGTGAGGAGCCCGATTTGCCTGCTCCAATCCACCAGAGAGCCCCAGAACAGAGGAAAATGCGAAGAGCCTTCCCCGCCGTGCAACTAATCACCGACAAAGCTTGAGACCTGCTGCCACAGCTGGTGGCCTCTGAGTCTCTGGAAAGATGGAGGCGACTGAGAAAAGAGAGCCTCTGATGAGCTCCTGCTTTATTCTAGCTCCGATGCCTCAAAAAACTCCAGCTGGGATGACAAATGCCAGGATACAGAGTCTAGGCTGGCCCGTGGGGAGCTGTTTCCTCCGCTAGTCAGCATGCAGCCTTTTTTTGACTTGAGGTCCGAAACAATTCTCCAGGGCAACACCTGGCTAAATCCTGGTCCTTGCCTAATACCCTGTAAATAATATAAATCTGGCTGGAAACATGGATTAGTCCAGGAAATGTCTCTCTGTCTCTCTCTGTCGAAGAGTGACAGGACAGTTCTGGCAACACACCTTCCCTGACAACCACCTCAACAGAGCCAAGGTCATGAAAGTGATGTCAGCCACACTCAGGAAGGCCAGATGCCCTCAGAAGAAGGGGCTGAATGGGGACATCTCCAAATCAAGTAATTATCGAATTTTGCTAAGAAACTTGGAAAAGCTGGGTACGCGATTCCTTTTCTAGAAACATGTCTGAGCTTCCCAAACCCCTATGAACATAATGGCATGTGATTAAATTGTCCTATTCTGTTAGCCTTTTTAGCAGACATGGAAACAAAAAAAAGTCATAATCCTACTATAAAACTGTCATATTCTGAGGGCTATTTAACAAATGGATTTCCCAAAAAGGAGCAGGTATTGCTGCACATTTTACACACCACCCCCACAAATGTTTAAGTGAATGCAAACTGGCATGTAAAGAATTTGTCTAATGTGTTAATAAAAAGATTTCCATGATCAACAAAGCCACAAAGCCTTACTTAAAATATAATTCACACTTTCCTAACTTCTCATTCTTTTTCATACTTTTGTATAAATTTAAAAACTCCTTTTTTTGTTTTCTTTTCACTGCAGTGATTTGGTTTGAAAAGAATAAAAAATATCAACTGGAAACTTCAAGAGGGTCCCAAAGCCATGTTTAGCCAGATCAAGTCAGGCCAGGTCTCTTAATGTACAGCCCCAAAGTCCATTTACGGCCTTGACAAAGGTGGAGTCCCTAGTAGGACTGCCGGGAAGAATCATTAACCAGTGTTGTATGAATACATGCTGGCTATTACCCTGAACAGGGCTAGTGCAGCACACATGCTCTCCACTGCTTATCTGAATCTATGGGCACCCACCAGGGTGGATGGCTAAGGACCAACTTGAGGTGTCACTGAAGGCCCCCTAAAGAAAATTCCAAATAAGCCAGATAATAAGATGTTTAAGTCAAACCATTCCAAACATTTCCTTCAAATCTGGTGAAGATTTCCTACGTCTTTTCCTGTCAGCTGGAAGTGAACAGATACTTGGTTTCATTTCAGGGTAGGTATTGTCTAACTGGTAAGCTCTACCTGATCTCTTTGCTAGTCCCAGTGGTCAACGGTTGATGCATTTTTGGTTGGCTGGTTTTGGGGATGTCTTTATTAAATTTAATTTTCTGAACTGATAATGTATGTATATATTCTATAAATCAAAGTCAAAGTATAAAAACATGGACTCCTTATCTCACCTCTTCCCCATACCTCTCAAGACAACACCAACCATTAATACCATGATGCTAAAGATAATCCTGTATGTGTCCCATAAAAAAAGTAGCTTTAACTAAATACCGTTGTACGCCCTGCTTTTCCCCCACCTGATTAACAAGGCTATCTAGGGAAATAGAGATTTCGATATACAGACAAACATATGTATCTGTTCATAGGGCAATGCTTCTCTGATTGTAACATCTGCACATATGCCATTATTTAGCATAGTATAATTTATTAAAACAGCCCCTATTAATGGGCTGTCAGGTTATTTCCAATCCTTTCAAAATCCAAACACTGATGCAAGGAATAACCTTGACATGAGTCATTTTGCACTGTGGCCAAGTACATCTGTGGGGCACACACCTGGGGGCAGAGTTTCCTGATCCAAGGGTATAGGCAAATCTAACTGTGATGGACATGGCCCAGTCGCCTTCACAGAAGCTGTGCTCATTTAAAGTCCCCAATAGTGACGTCTAAGACCACTCATTTCCCCCAGTCTCACCAACTACTCACGGCACAGGCCAGTTCTAACATGAACCCTGGCACAGAGAACAATGGTAAGTATCAGAGGGCTAGTATGGGCCAAATTCTCTTTGCATTCATTCCCTAGCTCCAGCTCTATCTGTCACATGACAGCAGAGCCATTAAGTTGACAGGCTTAGTGGGCAGAAAGAGCTGAGGTCCCATCTCTGCCACTCCTGAGGTAAGTGGTCCTAGAGAACCTTAATATTTAAGTTCTCTAACACTCAGTTTCCTTACCCATCAAGTGGACATGCATGCATCTCGGTACTAAAACAAATGTAAACAAGTCCCTCCCCACGCAAGACCACGGGAATGAGGTAACGAGCACCAAGTGCTCCTCACGGTGCAGGGTCCTGGCAGATGCTTTGCAAATGTTCAGAAGCACGGCGCTCCCACTCATACCCCAACAAGCGGTAACTAATCTTTCCAAGCTCAAAAGAGAACACGGCAATAAGAAATCTGACACCATTATATGCCAGGTTGCCAGGAAATGCCCTCTCCTGTGCTCCTCAATGTGCCAGCAGTCAATTACACTGACAAAGGCCACACTCTAGGGGCAGAGACTAACAGGATACATTTTCATTACCTTTTTATTATAGTTGATGATAAAATGCTGTGTAGGAAATAAACTACATGTGACAGAAGTAAGACAGAATAGGGACCCCAACACAGATAGTGGAGGTATCTCTAGCTAGCCCTAGCAGGGGTACAACTTGGAGCTCCCTTCAGCAAAGAACTTGCTACTCAGCTGCAAAGAACCTTCAGGTTCCAAGCAGCTTTTGTGTCAAGGCAAAGCTCTTCCCCAGCCAAGGGCTGCAAGGAGTCAGGGGTACTACTGGGGTCTGCCTGTTTCTGTCCACTATGGCAGATCTGCAGCACATTCTGAGATTCTCCCTGTCCAATCCTGCTTCTTCCCTTTACTTCTGCTACAGGCACTAACCCCCAATGAATTCCTTGCACTGCTAACTCAGTATCTGCATCCCTGAGGTAGTCAGATCCCTATTGGGACCATCAAGGACACTCTTAATTTTAACCAACCCTCTTCTCCTCCCTGGTCAGACTTCCTTTCTAACCAAACTAACTTGCCCTCCACGATAAGGCATTTGATGTCTTCCTTCTCCATCAGTGCGCCTGTTTGCACAGGCCAGTTTCCTTGTCTTGAACTCTTCCTGCCTCCACTGATAATTCCAAATTCTCAACATAGTAAGTGCAAGCACATTGCCCAATTTTTTAAATGTACTATCTCGTTTAATCCTCATAACCACCAGATGAGGGAGGTAGGCAGTCTTGTACTTAAGAAAGAGAATGAGAGAGGCGGAGGAGCGGGAAAAGAAAGAAGGAGAGCGGGAGGAGGAGTAACAGAGAGAGGGAGGGAGATGGGGAGAGAGAAACAAAGGCTCATCTCCAGGAGACTAGACTTGGGTTAAATAATTTGTCCCAAGGTCAGTCAATGGCAGGGAAGGGATTCACACAGAGGTGTCTCTGGTGACAGATATCACGATCATCTTCACCACCCCATATTGGTTCATTTAAAACCTGGTTCCCAAACTCAACTACTCCAGGAAGCCTTTCCCAGTCAACTGTAAAACTCAGATTTCCAAGTACCTTGGAATCTCACAGGCAAGTTTTAATCTACATTAATCCACATTTGCTAATTCTTGGTTCTGCAATTGTTCTAAGCTGTTTCACATGGTCCAGTTTTGGCTCCCAAACTAAGCTGTAAATGCCCCAGGATCAGAGGCCCCCGCTTTTATGACCTGTGTTTCCCACAGCCTTGGGTAATGGACTTCCCGACTTCCCACAGTAACAACCACACTGGGCTTAGAAGCTCCTGTCAGATGTTAAGACAGAGCCCCTCTGGGCTTGGACGTGTTCCCTTTGTTTCTCTCAATATCACTGGAGTGTGGCAAATACTGGCTCAGAGAAAACCCACACAGAAATGACTATATTTTTAAAAAGGGCTGTAAATGTTCCAAACCAAAAGATGCCAAAAGAAAAATCAAAATGTATGCTCACCTCAAAAGAACAGGCAACCCGCTCCCTAATGAGCCACATACAGGCACACAGATGTGTCCCGACAGCACAGCCTGGAGGGGAGCTGGCAGCAGCATACTGATGTGGAAACAAAGGTGAGATCCCCCACCATCACCACCAGCATATACACTCCCATAGGGGAAACAGGACAAGTTGTGACCACCTTACTACTCAGAAGGCAAAACTTCTGTTGGAGCTACTCTTAAAAGTCCAGGAAACATCTCTGATAGCCTATACGAGACAAAGGAGACAACAGTGGCAAACGGAAGCATGACTCCCTCATAGCTGTTTAGTCTCCAGGGAATCTCAAACCAGTGTACAACTGCAAGACCATGTTTATGTCATGCTTGCCCTACGGTACCATGGAGCTGGGATGAAGTTACACATTTCTAAATGTTACCAATATATAGCAACACATTCTAATCACAGCCCCAAGACGATAATCACATAATTTCTACTTTGTGCATACAGGCTATTATTAAACGCCTAGACTCGAATGGGAGGTCTCCTTCATAACTAAATTTACCAAGTTTTTAAAGTGTGGTTTTATTTGCTCTGCTGCTGATGCCAAACTGTAGCCTCAAGTCTTTCACCAATGTTTTTCAAGAAGGCTTCCAATATTCAAGTGACGGTGAAGTCATAAGTCGAGAGAGAGCTCAAGCACGACAGAGAACGAAATATATCAAACGGAAGAAAGGAACACTATGTCCCATGAAAAGGAAAACAATTCAAAGGGATTTCCAGTTTAGTTTGGCTACTGCAACCATGGTTTTAGAAAAGGCCACAAACTCAAGAGTGTTCCTGAGACGGCCAAGTAACCCCAAGGATGAGGGAGCTGTTAAGTGTAGAGAGGGATTTGGCTGCTTGGTTAACTGAATAGTATGGGAACCACCTATTTCCTAAAAGGGAAAAAAACACATCCTTGACTTAGAATCGAAAATTGACCCTCCACAGAGAATTGACTACTATTTCTAGGCCAATCCACAGCAACAGCTGTTACCACTGCCTCATTTACATATCACCCATTCAGAAAACTGTCCTGAGTGACTGACGCCATTCGGCTCTGCTGGCCTTACCCAGAGTTTCCAGGTTGGGACTGCCGTCAATTATCAGCCCAGCTGTCTTCGGCCATTGTGCTGATCTTTATAGCCTGACTTTTGCAATGCTGACTGAAAAGAGCAATTCAACTTTATGGAAAATAAAAACACCTCAAAGATTCCATAATGACTCACTTTTCAGCCCAGGTGTGACATCCCTGTAATTAGTCAGCAAGACACCTTGAGCTTTGTTAGGCCTAAAACCAAATCGATTTATCTACCATAGAGGAGCTATTCATACCACGTGGAAAATTAAGGAAGGAAGAAAGAGAGAAAGAAAAGCTTTCCACTTAAGGACAATTTAGCTAATAGATCACATATGTTCAGCTTTGTCTTCCCCTTGCCTTTTTCTGGTTTTAAATTTTATTACCCTGGGGCATTTGCACAAAACAGAATCTTCTTCGTTGCTTAGGAATTAATCCGCCACTGCTGTTTATTCCTCATTTGAGTCATAATCCTCCATTTGTGACATCACAATTAGCCACTTGTGGTGATGATTATAATGTCATGAACAAAGGATTATGACTGGGAGTTGGAAACAAAACAGCAGGGTCACTGAAAGCTGGGCAAGGAAGTTCTTTTCAAATAACCATCCCCAGGAATCAAGAATTGAGGGGTGGGAAAGAAGAACAGGATAGATAAACTAATTGGAAAAAATCCACCTTTGGACAGAAATGATAAATGAACCAGTAGTTCTGACCTAGTGAAAAAACACAGAATGAAGTTACCAGCTACCTTTTTCCTCACTGGCCCACTTTATTAAAAACTTTTTTATGTTTAACTTTACAACAAATGCCTATGTCCCCATCACCCATACCCATTACTGTCAACATTTAACAGCATCTGCTATATAAGTCTCTATGCACATATTTATTCCTCAACCATTTGAGAATAGCTTGAAGATATCATGCCCCTTGGACCCCAAATACTCGAGTGAATTTCTTAAGACAAAGACATTCTCGTATATAATCATAGTAGAATTATCAAATTCAGAGAATTTAACATTGATATAATATGGTCTAACTTATAGTCCATGTTTGCAGTTCACCATTATTTCCAAAATTCATTTCTCATTACCAGTTCACTTTTTTTTTTTTTTTTTTGAGACAGGAGTCTTGCTCTGTGGCCCAGGCCCAAGTGCAGTCACACAATCTCGGCTCACTGCAACCTCTGCCTCCCAGGTTCAAGTGATTCTCCTGCCTCAGCCTCCCATATAGTTGGGATTACAGGTGTGCACCCCACGCCTGGCTAATTTTTGTATTTTTAGTAGCGAAAAGTTTTCACTATGTTGGCCAGGCTGGTCTCGATCTCTTGACCTTAAGTGATCCACCAGCTTCAGTCTCCCAAAGTGCTGGGATTACAGGAGTGAGCCACTGCGCCCGGCCACTAGTTTACTTTTCAGTCATCAAGAAAATGAAGCCAACATCTTTTTTCAATTTTCCTCCATGGTCAACAACATTACTAATCCAAAATTCAGGAGCTTAAAAAAGTTAAATCCAGAGCAAGAAAAATCATAATGGCTACTGTTTATTTGGTGCTTCCTACATGCCCATATCAAATACTTTACATGTATTATCTCATCTAAACCCTATAGAAATTCCATGGGGCATGAGTCCTTATAATCCACATTTCATAGAAGAGGAATAAAAACTACCCCAGAGAATGAAGCATATATTGGGAAATATATCAAGGTGAAACAAACGGCCGAGTCCTCTCTGTATGACAATGCTTCCTCTGAAGAGCTGAATTCATGCTGGTCCTAGCAGGCAGTCTGACATGAATAGATTACGAGATCCAGTCAACCTTCAGGACAAACTGAAAGCAGACCAATACCCCACTGTAAATGAAGGCTGCAATTAAAAATGCAGATTGCAGGGTCAAGGCTGATTGTAATGTTTCAGCATTGGATCATTACAGAATATTCCAATACACATCCTGCCTCTGAGCAAGTTTTGTGGTTGGGTGTGTGGTGGGTAGTTTCTGTGGCATTATTAACTGCCTATTTAACAGATCCAGGAATGCCATTTATTCTAAACGCAGAGTGAAGGTTTTAAAAGCAAGAAAAGAAGCTTTTCACAAGCTAAAAGCTTTTAGGATGGGATGGACCTTAAATTGCCTATTTCACAGAGACAGAAATGGCTCCAGGGAAGTTTGGACATTGTTACTTTCTTCTTCTTTTTTTTTTTTTTTTTTTTTTTAGAACATAAAGATATAAGATTAACTCAATCTCACTAAAAAGCAAAGCTGCTCATCTAAACCGGTTTTGGAAAGGAACAAAAATTCACAACCTAAAAGCCATGACCGCATTTGAAAATAATGATTTCCATACAGCTCCTGTCTCCCACATTTTAAACACATCCCACTGTGCACATGGCATATGCCATATACAGGTTCCCAACACCCAGCAAGTTACACAGCAGGCACCAAACACCAACCGGGTGCCAATAACCCTAGTTATTGCCTGCTGTGACCCTAGTCATCCCCATCCCCACCTCCCTGCAACCTGTACCACACCTGATAACCAGAAACAGCTCTAGGAAAAGTTTGCTCACCAATATACCCTGAAAGCCTATACCAGAGGCTGGTTTTTCCATGCCCTCTTTTTTTTTTCCCCCTTGATCTCCTATTTTTTTTGTATGATTTTTTTTTTTGAAGGACAGAATGAAAAACTTCATTCAAAAGTAGCCAAGGGTCACCCACATATTTTGCCAGGCTCCCATGCTGTTTTTTTGTGTTTTTTTTTTTTTTTTTCATAAAGCTGAATAATTGCCAACATGTTAACCTCAAAACGCTGATGTTTCTGGATTTGGATTTTTATCTAGATTTCTTGCTTCTCTTGATACTCAGCCTGGGCAAGAGTAGGAGCACATTCATGCAGGCCGATGCTGGTGCAGGTCCAGCCACCCTGAGATGAGGCCCTCTCCCTTTCACACCTCCACCTACCCTGCTTCCCTCACTCTACTTTCCTTACCGCCAGCCATCTGAAGGCGACTTCACAATTAACTGTCTGGACAGGGACTCTTTGGAGAGTGAAAGGGGGCACTGTTAATAATTACACTTGGACAAGCTGGCATTAATGGGGCAGATGGCCATCCTATTGGGTTGCCCGTTTTGGGTCTGGCTTCAATTCCCTGCATCAGGTACGTCTTTGTTCTGTTCTGGCCCAACTGCTCTGGTTTGCTCTGCTCATCAGTTTTGCTTTGGGATTGAGAGAATAGGAAGTTTTAATGTCTAATTAGTAAATTGCTTAAGGGGACAATCGAAATTGAGAAAGAGAAAATGTTCCAGTAGCGGGGCAGTTGAAGAAAAGTGGGACAAGCCGAAGAGAGTAAGGTGTCAAGATTTTTACTTCTCCTTGGGATCACTCTTTACTTCCCACTGCATTCCATTTAAACCCTGTGAACCTCAGGCCGGCTGAGGTCTTACTCACTGGATTGTGGGGTTTTTTTGCTTTTCTGTTTTTTTGGTTTTTTGAGACAGAGTTTCGCTCGTCGCCCAGGCTGCAGTGCAACGGCATGATCTCAGCTCACTGCAACTTCTACCTCCCGGGTTCAAGTAATTCTCGTGCCTCAGCTTCCTGAGTAGCTGGGATTACAGGCGTGCACCACCACACCCAGCTAATTTTTTGTATTCTTAGTAGAGACAGGGTTCCACTGTGGTGGCTGTTCTCAAACTCCTGGACTCAAGTGATCCACCAGCTTTGACCTCCCAAAGTGCTGGGATTACAGACGTGAGCCACGGTACCTGGCCTTATTCACTGGAATCTAATGAGATATCTTAAGATCATACTGTTAAGGTTCTGCATGTACTGACCAGGGTCATTCCGTGACTTATAAGCCTGGCTCTTGGTCGGGCTGCTAAATTTCTGGTACCTTTTAATGAAAAACACCACCAAGTCCTCTGAAACTGAGCAACTTCTCAAAACCCTAGCATGCATTCTGTCCTCCTGACAGGCTGTCAAGATCTCCTTTTATAATGAACCCAATGCGCAGTTGGGCTCCTTGCCAAATGCGATGGCCATTAGTTTGAAAACAGTTTGAAATGCTCAAGCTTTGGAGTCATATAATCAAAATCAATTAATGTATCATTTGGGAGTTTGTATGTACAGCCATCCCTGAGGCAGCAAGCTTTCCAGACTCTGATTTGACTGTGGCCCAATCTTGCCATGTTTCTACCAGTCTCTCAATCACGTGAGACCAGTGCCCTTTGTGAATATTCTTCCCTCTCCTAGTCAAATAAACTTAACTTAGGATGACTGTCGTCACTTAACGGGGGGAAAAAAAGCCATTATTGCAGAAATGCTTTCAAGGAAAAAAAAATTGCACATAATACAGAGATACTAATGAGGGGTGAGCATTGGGAGGCCTCCCAAAACTTAGGTATGGGGGATGCAAATTCAAAGAGACTATTGGGTATTACAATGGGCATTTACTTTTGGAGAACAAAAATAAAGTTTTAGACAAACAACCAATAGAAAGAGTACACGTGTTTGGGGTTATTTGTATAATAAGTATCAAAATGGGACATGATTATGACACGTCTGGGAAGTAGGTTGGGTGCTGTTTTTCTAGAAATGTGAGATGCCAAGCGGAGACGCCTGGAAGCCAGGATGGGAAATTCACGTTGATCTCTCGGCCAGGGAACTTTTTACCAGGGATGAGGCCATCTTGTCTGGGGATGCTCCGAGCTGGAGAAATCAAAGATGCAAAGACAGAGGGTACAGCTACAATGGACTGCACTTCTTTCCAAATAAGAAGGGAATGTGGGGAGATACCATCAGGTTGTTCCCGTCAATTCCAGCCCCACCCGACTCCTCCGAATTCTTGACTCCCCTGCTGTGTATTCAGACACCTCTACTTGTAAAGACTAGACAACTACGCCAGACATTGTAAAACACATGTTGACTATTTCTTCCCTGGACAACACATGAATATCTATCGCTTCCTTCATTTTTTTAAACCCGTCGGGCTACCCCTTCAAGTATTCAGAACAGTTTTCCCAGCTGTTAGTTTTCAAGTGTCTTTTAGAACGACAGTCATTTTCCATTCATCTTCCATCTTCCTTTGGATTGCGGGAGGGCAGCCACACGCATGCCTTTGGTTTGCTTATGAGACTGGAAACAGCACGAGCTGAGCTGGATGATCCCAGCCACAGCCCCTCATTCACGGCACTGTTTGTCTAATGATGATAAAACATCCTCATCTGCCCAACATCAGGACTCTGCCCCAGTTCTGCACACAGCATGTTGTGTTACCAAATGTGGTGTCTGCACCTCTGGGTATCGAATTTCCCAAACAGCTTTCATAAATTTTAATTCATGAGGAAGGGGTGTACACAAGCTACCTTTTGAAACTGTACCAGTCACTTCCCTTCCCCTCCCATCCACGGCCCAACACTCCTAAGGACTCTTTATAACTGACTTATGGTCTAGGTGTGCCACATCAAGAGGGGCTGCCGATTTCCAGAAATCACTAGCTTAAAAAATATATCAAATAAGCAAGCCACTCTACCACTCTGGGACCCTGTGCATTTGAAGCTTGGTTTGTTCCAAATCAAAGTAAGAACAGAAAATAGAAAATCGGCAAAATTTAGCTATTGCAGCACAGAGAGAAAAGGAACTTTTAGACACATAAGCAATGGGCAGGTTTTAATCACAGGCCTAGATCTATGGCTTTTATATGCACACATTATAATTAATAAGTAAATATACATCTACCAAAAATTCATCACTGATTTATTGGGATCGTGATCCAAGCCACTGAAAGGGTTAATTAACATGTCCAAAAAATCTATATCTAGCTGTGCAACTTTAACTGAACAAGTTAGTTTCTCTCACTGTCTAGGCCTCGTTTCCTCACATGTAAAGTGGGAAGAATAAGAGAGACTGCCTCTGATGGCCTTCATAAAGATTCAGTTGTTTAAGGTAGGTGCCAGGTATAACACAGCACCTGTCCCACACTAAACATACATAAGAAGAGGTAGTGATTCTTTTTTTTTTTTTTTTTTTTGAGACGGAGTCTCGCTCTGTCACCCACGCTGGAGTGCAGTGGTGCGATCTGGGCTCACTGCAACCTCTGCCTCCTGGGTTCAAGCGATTCTCCTGCCTCAGCCTCTCGAGTAGCTGGGACTACAGGCGCCCGCCACCATGCCCAGCTAATTTTTATATTTTTAGTAGAGATGGGGTTTCACCATATTGGCCAGGTTGGTCTCAAACTCCTAACCTTGTGATCCACCCGCCTCAGCCTCCCAAAGTGCTGGGATTACAGGCCTGAGCCACCATGCTTGGCTAAGAAGAGGTAGTGATTCTTAATGTATTGTTTTTACCCAGGCTAACTGGAGGCTCACAGGACAGATAATACTCCTCACTCAGGTCAGGAGTCTCCATCTAACTAGCTATGGAAGCCAATAAAAGAAATTGGTGGTCCACATTCCAACAGTTACCCAATCTCTATCCTATCTGGCTCCAACTATCCCTGATGAGAGGAAGGCCTATAATAGCTCTCAGCTGAGAAATGGGAATTAGTAACTTATGGTAAATAAACAACAGAGAGATACACACCATGCATTAACTATCCATTTCCCGATAGATGTCTTTGGAAGAGTCACATGCAACCGCAACACGTTAAAATATATCAAGGCGCCAAGACATCGGGCAATAAAAATTACTTGATACACTAAATTGTGTGTGTGTTTGTGTGTGTGTGAAAGTAAAATATTCACTGGAATTACAGTGAAGTATTCAGAAAATGTACTAATTTCACAGACTTTAGTAATTTTCTTTTTTTTTTTTTTTTTTGAGATGGAGTCTGGCTCTGTCGCCCAGGCTGGAGTGCAGTGGTGCAATCTCAGCTCACTGCAAGCTCTGCCTCCCAGGTTCACGCCATTCTCCTGCCTCAGCCTCCCGAGTAGCTGGGATTTCACGTGCCCGCCACCACACCCAGCTAATATTTTGTATTTTTAGTAGAGACGGGGTTTCACCGTGTTAGCCAGGATGGTCTCGATCTCCTGACCTCGTGATCTGCCCACCTCAGCCTCCCAAAGTGCTGGGATTACAGGCGTGAGCCACTGTGCCCGCCTAGACTTTAGTAACTTTCTAAACAAAGATTTTTCATGATTGTTTTGTTAACTAAGGCGAAATACTAGCCAGTATCTTCTGTTACTGTAACTCCAGATTCCTTCTTGGGTAGTGAAAAATAAATAAAAATTTAACTTACAAATGCCTTCTTAAATAAATGACTGGACAAATTTTCCTCTATTTCCAAGAATGGTCGAAAAAACTGAGAACAGACGTATCTAACAATAGGATACTGGTTCAATTATTAATATGATCCATGCTACCACGGAATGACACATGCCTCTTAAGAATGGCATTGGTGTGAATGTGTAGATCTGGGGAGATGTTTATGGCTTACTGAACACTTTAAAAAAATTTAGGAAAGATAATTCAAAATGTATGCAAAAGCAACAGTATAATAAACCCTCATTACTCATCTGCAAAAACTATCCTCAACTTAGGGCTAACCTTGTTTCAGCTGAAACATTAGCCATAGGCCTCACCTCTCCCCTTGGTTATTTAGAAGCCAACATCAAATACCATATCAATTATGATATTCTACTAAATGGCAGAAAAAAGACATACAACTGCCTAGGAAGCATAATCCTGTTATTAAAAGATAGCCAAAAGTACATACATAATAGGGGGAAAAAAGACTGTTTACCTAGAAATGCTAACAGTGATACCTGTGGGTGAGAAAAATACGGGACTCAGTTTCTGGCTGATATGTTTTAATCAACTTTTTCTATCATGAACCATATATTACTTGCATTATAAAGACAAATTAAACTTAACATGTCCTTAAAATAATTTAGTATCATAAATGAAACAACCTCAACCATGACTTCCACTAATAATACCCAAATTTACTGCTAAATCTTATTTTTCTATATTTTCCTAAACCTTACCATTCTAGCCTAACCCATCTCACATCCTCCATCCTCCGGAAAAGTTATCCAAGCCACCAACATAAATGTATCATTAAGGGGAAAAAATTAGAGATATATGGAAATATCATTTGCATAAAGAATATTGCTTGCTATACATCATATGCCAATTTTTACTAGAAAAGAAATTGTTATTCAAAAAATGGTAAGAGTTGATGGAAATTTATAGGGCAACAGCACTGAGTGACAGACATCTGTGGTAGGGTAATGCTAGGCTGTTTCTTGCTTTGTTGATTCAACAATCAGCACTGAATGTCTCCTGTTCTAATTTATTTTAACTTCTGCTTAATTAAATGCACAAAAGAACGAATGTGTTGGATTTGGGGATTTAAAATGACTTTCACCCAGCTGTTTTTAAATGCACTAGGAAATTTCTTGAATATAATTGTTCTTTTAGAGGCAAAAAAGCATACTGTAACCATGACACTCACACAGAGGGGAATTATCACCTAGTGACACTGGCTGACAACTTGTAAACAGTAATTCCCACCCAGAGTTTGAAAGACATTCCAGGACTTTTCCAGCTACCTCATGAGGTGATGTTAAAGTTACAAAGAGAAAGGTCAAGATAAAATTATTTTTAATTCATTTTCAACCAATTCAACAAACAGCTGCTCAACAAACATCTGCTAAACCAAACAGAAGTCAGCAGCACATCAATCGAATTTTTTGGACAACTGGGGAATCGTCTCCTACCTCCCACCTTTTTTTAATGGAGTATTTATAGAGTACTAATATGGCTTTTTTTTTTTTTTTTTTTTTTTTGAGATGGAGTCTCACTCTATCGCCCAGGCTGGAGGGCAGTGGGGCGATCTCAGCTGACTGCAGCCTCCACCTCCTGGGTTCAAGCAATCCTCCCACCTCAGCCTCCTGAGTAGCTGGGATCACTACTCCCTGCTAACCAATATGGCTTTAAACACATTAGGTAACAGTAGAATCCAAAACTGAAAGAGCGGGGAGCTGGAGATCAGTATCCAGATCTTTCTACTCAAGGCAACATTAACATGTCCATCTCTGAGACATTCAATAGGCTTTTCTCATGCAAAGCCATGTTTCTTTTTTTTTTTTATTATTATTATACTTGTTCTGGGATACATGTGCAGAACGTGCAGGTTTGTTACATAGGTATACACGTGCCATGGTGGTTTGCTGCACCCATCAACCCGTCATCTACGTTAGGTATTTCTCCTAATGCTATCCCTCCCCTACCCCACCCACCCCACAAAGACGCCAGTGTGTGATGTTCCCCTCCATGTGTCCATGTTTTCTCTTTGTTCAACTCCCACTTATGACAACAAGCAGTGTTTGGTTTTCTGTTCCTGAGTTTGCTGAGAATGAGGGTTTCCAGCTTCATCCATGTTCCTGAAAAGGACATGAACTCACACGTTTTTATGGACAAAGCCAAGTTTCTATTTCCTACCACATCTTAACATAAGGAATGTACATTCTTCTTACTCCAATCCTCCCAATCCAGTCAAGTGTTGCTCAGAGTTCAATAGTCAGAAAGGGGGTTAGATGATAAGAAATTACTTACTGGGTATAAGGTACATTACTCGGGTGGTGGATACCCTAAAAGTCCCAAGTTGATCACTCCATAATCTATGCATGTAACACAATTGCACTTGTACTTGCATAGATTTATACAAACAGTAATAATAAACTAGTACAAACAATAATAAAAGAATTCCATATTTTAAAAGAAGAACATGTAGAAATAAATTTGTACTCAGTGTGATGCCTAATGCCAAACTGGCTCTCAATAATAATAGCATTGAAATATATACCATCTAAGGTGTATCATCTTCATTTTGCAGACTGAGAACTACCTCAATGAGAGCCCCACTTTGTAAAGTCTTGAGCTGGTGTTTTATCCCATGGGACCATTCAGGCTCTTTGTTATTTACCAAAAATCTCTAACACAGAGTTTTAGAAATAACCTTTGCCAAGTGGCTCATCCACAGAAATTTCTATTACTTTCCAGAAAGCGCAAAGACTGTGATTCACATGCAGGAACAATTTTTGTTTTACATGCAGGGACAACTTATAGCTTGTTATTTATTTGTTTTATCTTTTTTCTTCCATTTTATTTTGAGACAGAGTATCGCTCTGTTGCCTAGGCTGGAGTGCAGGTGCCACGATCGCCACTTACTACAGCCTCGACTTCCCAGGCTCGAGTGATACACTCCACCTCAGTCTCTCCGAGTAGCTAGGACTACGGGCACGCACCACCACACCCAGCTAATTTTTTATATTTTGCAGAGACAGTCTCACCATGTCACACAGGCTGGTCTCAAACTCCTGGGCCAATCAAGAATCCTCCTGCCTTGGCCTCCCAAGGTGCTAGGATTGCAGGTGTTGTGCCCCCACACCGGGTCCCAACTTTTAGACTCCAAAACATGATGGACCCTTAAGAGCCCTCTCCCTCTCCCTCTCTCTCTCCCTCTCTCTCCCCCTCTCTCCCTCTCTCTCCCTCTCTCCCTCTCCCTCTTCTCCCTCTCCCTCTCCCTCTCCCTCTCCCCACAGTCTCCCTCTCCCTCTCTTTCCACGGTCTCCCTCTGATGCCGAGCCGAAGCTGGACGGTACTGCTGCCATCTCGGCTCACTGCAACCTCCCTGCCTGATTCTCCTGCCTCAGCCTGCCGAGTGCCTGCAATTGCAGGCGGCGCCGCCATGCCTGACTGGTTTTCTTATTTTTTTGGTGGAGACGGGGTTTCGCTGTGTTGGCCGGGCTGGTCTCCAGCTCCTAACCGCGAGTGATCCGCCAGCCTCGGCCTCCCGAGGTGCCGGGATTGCAGACGGAGTCTCATTCACTCAGTGCTCAATGGTGCCCAGGCTGGAGTGCAGTGGCGTGATCTCGGCTCGCTACAACCTCCACCTCCCAGCAGCCTGCCTTGGCCTCCCAAAGTGCCGAGATTGCAGCCTCTGCCCGGCCGCCACCCCGTCTGGGAAGTGAGGAGCGTCTCCGCCTGGCCGCCCATCGTCTGGGATGTGAGGAGCCCCTCTGCCTGGCTGCCCAGTCTGGAAAGTGAGGAGCGTCTCTGCCCGGCCGCCATCCCATCTAGGAAGTGAGGAGCGCCTCTTCCCGGCCGCCATCACATCTGGGAAGTGAGGAGCATCTCTGCCCGGCCGCCCATCGTCTGAGATGTGGGGAGCACCTCTGCCCTGCTGCCCCGTCCGGGATGTGAGGAGCGTCTCTGCCCAGCCGCCCCGTCTGAGAAGTGAGGAGACCCTCTGCCTGGCAACCGCCCCGTCTGAGAAGTGAGGAGCCCCTCCGCCCAGCAGCCACCCCGTCTGGGAAGTGAGGAGCATCTCCGCCCAGCAGCCACCTCGTCCGGGAGGGAGGTGGGGGGATCAGCCCCCCCCGCCCATCCAGCCGCCCAGTCCGGGAGGTGAGGGGCGCCTCTGCCCGGCCGCCCCTACTGGGAAGTGAGGAGCCCCTCTGCCCGGCCAGCCGCCCCATCCGGGAGGGAGGTGGGGGGGTCAGCCCCCCGCCCGGCCAGCCGCCCCGTCCAGGAGGTGAGGGGCGCCTCTGCCCGGCCGCCCCTACTGGGAAGTGAGGAGCCCCTCTGCCCGGCCACCACCCCGTCTGCGAGGTGTACCCAACAGCTCATTGAGAACGGGCCATGATGACAATGGCGGTTTTGTGGAATAGAAAGGGGGGAAAGGTGGGGAAAAGATTGAGAAATCGGATGGTTGCCGTGTCTGTGTAGAAAGAGGTAGACATGGGAGACTTTTCATTTTGTTCTGTACTAAGAAAAATTCTTCTGCCTTGGGATCCTGTTGATCTGTGACCTTACCCCCAACCCTGTGCTCTCTGAAACATGTGCTATATCCACTCAGGGTTGAATGGATTAAGGGCGGTGCAAGATGTGCTTTGTTAAACAGATGCTTGAAGGCAGCATGCTCCTTACGAGTCATCACCACTCCCTAGTCTCAAGTACCCAGGGACACAAACACTGCAGAAGGCCGCAGGGTCCTCTGCCTAGGAAAACCAGAGACCTTTGTTCACTTGTTTATCTGCTGACCTTCCCTCCACTATTGTCCTGTGACCCTGCCAAATCCCCCTCTGCGAGAAACACCCAAGAATGATCAATTAAAAAAAAAAAAAAAAAAAGAAAGTTCATACAGTATCAGGAGAAGTCCTAAGACCTCAAACAAAATAATCTTCCCCGAGAGATGCCGAAGATTTTTTATTCCCCATCTCCTGGACTCTGTGACAGCTTGGAAATGGGCACTACCATGTTCTCAAATTGAATCATATTTTCAACGAATCCAACTTAAGCATGGCCTCACCTAACCTGATCGCTCCGGCTTCGCAGTGTCTCTACGTCACACTCCCCACCCCAAGTCAGGGCAAGCCTCCGGAGAGCAGGGATTTCGATAGTCACAACACAAACAAAAAATGCCAACGAAGGTCTCTTTTCTGCGATTCTACTTAATTATATCTTAAAGAACTAAGCAGTATTTCAAACGACAGCAGACTCAACCATGACAAATTCCCCGTGTTGTGAAAACTCGCGCCCAGTCTAATACCTACAACCGGAGGCTCAGGAAAATGCCGGGGGACTGCGAGAGATTTTAAGAACTCTGCCTCCCATAGCTGGTCCCCTTCTAGAAGGTTTCTATTTCGTGTCAGAGAGGTTAATGAGTTAGTGGGTCTGCTCTAGGTCTAGCTTTGGAGTATGACCATATGGAAAGCAGAGATAAGCAAGTAAAAGATGTCGCGCTGATCAATAAGGGCGCAGACAATACCATTTTGAAAACAGATTACAAGTCTGCAATGCGCTGTGACATAATTTAAACAAATATCACAAAATGGATTCCTACAAGGCAAGGTGCTCTTAAGAGTAACTCAGGTATGTCTGAAAGCTACAGTGACATCTTTAAGACTCCCTGGGAACTAGTTACTGGCAGACATTCTTAGATGACACCTTGCTGGCCTGAAAGAATTAACACATTTTCAAAAAGAACCTGATTTTTCGGGATAAGTCAACCCCCTCCTGGGTCTTCCCAAGTTTTTGAACATAAGTCACTGACTACAAACTGAGTCCCAATGCAATTCAATCAGTTCAGATTCGGCTAAAGGAAAGCTAACACTCAGCATTTATCTGCCCCTAACACACCCAGAGTTGGGCTTTTCACATCTTCCCACAGGGCTATGTGTGAAGCAGATATTTATCCCCATCAAAGAGACAAGGAGACTAATGTTCAAAGGGATTGAATCAAGGTGTCCAATGTCAAACAGCTAGTGAGCCAGGGTGGGGACAGAAGTCTAGTTCTGCCGACTCCAGTACTGAAACTCAACCACCCTACCAAGCTACCTCTTCCACGAAGAGCAGCCCTACATGACTAAGCACACTGATCACCACCTGCATTCAAAGGCAGCACGTGTCTGGTCTGTGAGCCCTTCCCTCCTCCCTGTCACCACATCAACACCCAACCAGCTGTCCACAGTGCCAAGATATGCCACATTCCCCTCTCAGTGCCAAACTGTCTCAAGTACAACTGACTTTTGCAGCAATAAAAGACACATAGTAGAAAAAGTAATGTGTATCCTACAGAACGTTAAGAAAAACCTGTGCAGCATAGTTCCAAGCAGTAAATTCCTTGCTTCAAAGGAGAAGAAAAAATCAAAACATCCATTCATTCAACAATACACTGCAGGCACGGGGGTCCAGTCATAAACTTAAATCAATTAACTCTCTATCTGAAATGGAACTGTAATTAACAGAGACAGTAAAGTCTAGGAAGAGAAGTAAGAAGGAGTAAGAGGGATGGGAATGGATGCCCCTGCAGACACTGTTAAGCCACAGACCAGCTGTGACTGTGCTGTCATTACTAGGGACAGACACATCCAATGTTCCTCTGAGCCTCTTGATACCGGTACCAGCATCCAAGCACATTACAGTATTTGGAGTCAGTCCTCTGACCTGATTCTGGGTCTCGGTGAACAACTCATAATGTCTCAAGCTCTAAGCCACAAAAATCATCCATCAACCCCACTGGAAATGAGGCCCTGAAAAAATCTTGCCTGAAACAAACACTTCTGCTCATACTTTTTATTTAACTACACTACCTTAGTCCACTCTCAAGCAAAAATCAAAGTTTAAAATAACCAATCCTAGAGAGCAGCGCAGCTCAGCATCCTTCACTCAAGGCCCTAGAAGGTAATGTCAATAATACAAACGCAATGCACAGTGTTAGTTTTACCAGGGGACAAAACTGTAATTAGAAAGCATTTCTATATTATCTAAAGTTCAGTGTAATAAATGAGCTTTAAAAAGTAGGCCACCACTGATTTAGCAAATACTAAGTATTCTCTGAATTTAGTATAAGCAAAAAGCTCTATGTTGGGGCTCATCATAATTTCAGATAGAGGAGCTTGTGTGGTAGAGTAAATCCTCCTAAGAAATGACAGCCTTAGTGTAACATACTTTCAGCCCAAGATAATACCATCTCTTGAAAATATCTGAGAGTCACATTTGTTGTGATTCTACTCTGAGATCTCATTAAACTTCAGGAAGTGTCTACATGTTCAGCAGAGGGTAATGTTCACAAAGTAACCTTTTTTAAAAAAAAGCGACAAACCCATAAAACCAATTAAAGCCTTACACATTTCCTCTAATACTTTTTGTAAAATTTGCATAATTTCTGATTTAACAAAAGAAACTCAATTCTTGGTCTCCCCCCACCTAACCTTGAGTTGCTGTGTTATAAGGCGCCACCCACACACTGCCGTTTGCTTTCTACTAAAATGGGCCTGTCAGTTTCTATTCTGAAGCTGTTGCAGAAAAGCAGCGAGAAAAACAGAAAGTTTAAGATTGCTATTTTCAAATTTTGCAGAGTTAAAGCCGGGCTTTCTAGAGTACTATAGAGAGTTCACACACTCTCCCATTTTTCACATGTTTATCTGTTCCTTTCTCTTCCCCCAAATGCCTGATAGAGGGGTGTCCTGTAAATGATTTCACATTCATCATAACACTGGAGAATGGCACCAAATACTTGGACCTTCAATGTATGAGTTTTAACTCAATCTTATTTGAAAGTATATGGAATTAAGATTTTTAAAAATTTGTTCCTACCTTTCTGGACTATACATATGGATGAGAATGGTCTTCTGTATGGGTAGGCAGACTCACTCTGCTAACAGCCAGACAGTAAATATTTTAGGCTTGGCAAGCCATATGGTCTCTGTTGCAAACACTCATTTCTACTGTTGTAGCAAGAAAACAGCCATAGACAATAAGTCAACAAATAGCAGGGGCTCTATTCCAATAAAACTTTTTTCCCACCCCTACACCTTGACCAATAAAACTTTATTTACAAAAAAATAGGCAGTAGGCCAGATGTTTGCCCATGGGCCATGGTTTGCCAATCCCTGGTCTTGTGGATCAAGTCTTAGAATCAGCAGAATGGACTTAAAAGACTAGTAGCCAGACTGACTTTTTTTTTTTTTTTAATTAAAAAAATTTTGTTTAAAGAGACAAAGTCTCACTATGTTTCCCAGTTAGATTCAAACTCCTGGGCTCAAGAGATCCTCCCACCTCAGCCTCCTAAGTACCTGGGACTGCAGGTGTGCAGCACCAGGCAAGACTGACATTTATTAGCCGGTAATTCTGGGCAGTCGACTTTGCCTTGCTTTAGTTTCCTCGTGTACAAAATGCCGAGCATGAGTCAGGCCTAATAGAGCCTCCCTCATAGAACTGTTCTGAGAAGCAAGTGAATTAAAATGGGAAAAGTGCTTAGAGTCGTAGCTGGAACATATTACGTTGTACATATGCTTGCTATAAGCATCATTTTAAATCTAATTAATGGCATTATCTAGAACCAGTATCAAATACATATATATATTTTTCTTTCTGTTATAGCTATGTCAAAGGTGCCAGACTTTCTAGGAAAACTTAGAAGGAAGTTTTCTCTCCATCCCTATGTTAACGCCTTTGCATCTTAAAAGCAGAAAATGTTAAAGATACATCGAGGTTAGAATGTCCCACCAAATCCATAAGCTATGCAATCCAAATTTAAATTGTTGAGGAGGCATTTAAGTTTTCAGCTTATTCATAAGCCACTTGTGGTTTTTCTTAGGATTCGAGTTCTGTTATGATTTGGGGTCACTGGAGACCATTTCCGCTCTTGTTTCCAAGCCCATCCTAAAGCAATTACTGCTGCTGTAAGGCAACAGGAAGGAACAGATGGCTGGGTCTAAGTTTTAAAAGTACTTTTTAAATTATTAATTCAAATGAATTGGGGGGGTAAGGGAGAGGAGACACTACCATTACATAATTTCTTTACTAAATGTAAAAACAATTACTAAATTGAAGTCACCCATTCACTCCAAGTACTGTTCTACACCATTTTTGAACAAAGAAAACACCTGACATCAGCTGTCAGCTTTTCTTAAGTAGGCTTCTGTCAGTGGTCAGAAACAAATTACTCTTGAGACATCTCTGGTATTACAAAGAGGATGAGTGTGCTACTGGCATCTAGGATAGATGTTACTAAACACCCTACGATGAACAGGATGGTCCTCCCAGATGCTGGGTAATAACCTTTGGATAATAACAAATAATTATCCAGCCCAAAATGTCAATAGTGCTGAGTTTCAGCAACTCTGCCTTAGGTTTTGAGAAAACCAGCGACAGTAAAACCACCTGCCAGGTACCTGGTGTTTATCATCTCATTTCACTTTCATCACAACCCTACAAAGGCTGGTTTTCCTTTCTTCCATTGCTAGATGCAAGAAAAGATGGCACAGAGAGGCTAGGCTGCCTGCTCCAAGTCCCCTAGCCTCATAGTAACAGCAGAGAACTGAACACAAGCTTGTCAGATTTGCCACACACCCTTCCCAGAAGGGGAAATTATTTGGCAAATGAAGACTGGTAAGTTTAACTTAAGGGAAATAAGATATCCAAAGTCTGTGAACTGCTATCAAATGAGAGTTCCCATCTCTGTCAAGCCCAGAAGTAATTCAGACAGATAACAGAAGAGAAATCTCATCACCTTCACACCAGTAAGGAGCCTTCAGCAGCTCTGCTGCGGCGCCCTTGATCTTCACCAGCCGGCATAAGAGGAACAGAGGTTTTTATCGAGCATCTGGGAGTTTATTACACTCTGCAACTCTTTCTCCTTTATAGGATTTTCTGGCCAAACTCAATAGTCACCAGCATTCTGGAGAGGTTAACATCGTTCTTTATTTACTAAGATACACAGCCACCTGTTTCCAGTTCCCAGTATAATTAGCCATTTTACTTGGCCAAAAAAAAAAAAAAAGTAAAAAGGCGTTAAGAGCTAGAATTCTAATCCTTTCCAATATAAGTCTAATTTTATTTCATTTTCTGGACCTCTCAAATTCATACATAAAATTCCAACTAAAAGAGTTTCATATCCATAATTCATTTTTAGAAAAACAAAATCTTTTCCTTTAAGAAATGGGGTATCATTCTGTTGCCCAGACTGGAGTACAGTAGCATGACCATAGTTCACTGCAACCTCAAACTCCTGGGCTCAAGCGATCCTCCCACCTCAGCATCCTCTGTAGTTGGGACTACAGGTGCATGCCACCACACCCAGTTAATTTTCTTTTCTTTTTTTAATACAGATAAGGTCTCACTAGGTTGCCTAGCCTGGCCTAAACTCCAGCAATCTAATGATCTTCCCGCCTCAGCCTCCCAAAGTGCAGGAATTACAAGCATGAACCCTTTTACCAGAACCCAGCCTAGAAAAACAAAGTCTTCAATATATTTGTGCCTGTGTGTGTGTGTGTGTGTGTGTGTGTGTGTGTGTATTTATTTACAATTCACCATCTTAGCTTTGGGTTTTCTTTCAAGTTACAACTTGGCCCAGACTTGCAAGATAACTCTGAGCCTCCATAAAACATTGCCATATCGCTATAAAAAAATCATTGACTCAAATAAACCTATTTGTCTGACTTTGTGCAATAGATTTAAAACGATACTTCCAGGAAGAGACAGTGAAAATACTGATAGGCGAGTACTGCAGAAGGCCAGCAATGTATTTCTTAGCTCCCCATTTCTTATCTCTTCTAGGTCTCTACTTCTGAATGGCAGAAAGGCAGGAGCTTGTGTGGTGAAGATTAGCCCCTACCTACTACACAAGATTTCCTTTCCTAAGAATTTCACCTTGAATCACAGCCCAGCTACACAAAATGGGACAGAATAAAATCTGACATAAACATGGATCCTCTTGTGAGGGTTCCTATTCAAACAGGGGTGACACTGATAGAGACAGTAAGATTTATCAGAAAACTCCACCTGCTAGTGGTTCCAAGAAAAATTCTGAACCAAAACAGGGGATGTCCAGTTCCTTAAATTTCACATAACCCTTCAGACAAAAACTTCCTACTACTCAATATCTTCCTAAATGCTTTTTTATTTTTTTTATTTTTATTTATTTATTTATTTTGAAACAGGATCTGGCTCTGTCGCCCAGGCTGGAGTGCAATGGCGCGATCTCGGCTCACCGCAACCTCCGCCTCCCAGGCTCAAGGGAGCCTCCCACCCCAGCCTCCCTAGTAGCTGGGATTACAGGCGTGTACAACCACACCTGACTAATTTTTGTATCTTCTGTAGAGGTGGGGTTTTCACCATGTTGCCTGGGCTGGTCTGGAACTCTTGGGCTCAAAGTGACCTACCAGCCTTGGCTTCCCAAAGTGCTGGGATTACATGTGTGAACCACGCCAGGCCTTTACAATGCATTTTTAAATGCCAAAAGTAATGCTCATAATTATTTACAGCACAAAGGTAGAAGTGAATTGTTTTTACAGAATATCCAGATTTATACTAGGTTACTTTACTGCAACAATCTTAGTGACAGAAAGAAATAATTCTGTCATGCTCTTGGACTGAGGATTATAAGACAAGGAGTGATGGCCCATCAGACCAAGAGCTCTGGGCTCAGCCACCCCATCAGTTGAGTCCCAGGAATGTGGCTTCCTGCTGGGTAACTATGACTCACAACTGTAATGTTACCTTCTTAAAAATGCGAGGGGCGTGACACTAGCTTGACTACAAGGAGCATGTAGAGTGGGAACTTGGCAATAATCCACTTAATACAATCCAGATGTGGAACAAAATCCAACAGTTCACTTCTTGAATTCATCACTCACAACTTAAGGAACTGAATTACCAAGGCTAATTCTGCCAAAACAGAAAGTACATGATCAAAACTTCACATTCGTTCTCTGACCATCATAACAAGAATGGATTCTGAGGATTCTGAGAAATACATGCCTGCCTACTGTGTAAGTGCTTTAAATCAGGGGTCCCCAACCCCCAGGACACAGACCACAGCCAGTCCGTGCCCTGTCAGGAACCGAGCTGCACAACAGGAGGTGAGTGGAGGGCAAGAGAGCATTACTGCCTGAGCTCTGCCGCCTGTCAGATCAGTGGTAGCATTAGATTCTCATAGGAGCAAAAATTCTATTATGGGCTGTGCACGTGAGGGATCTAGGTTGCCCGCTCCTTATGAGGCTCTAATGCCTGATGATCTGTCACTGTCTCCCATTACCCTCAGATGGGACTGCTTAGTTGCAGGAAAGCAAGCTCAGGGCTCCCACTGATTCTACAGTTTGGTGAACTGTATAATTATTTCATTATATATTGCAATATAGTAATAATAGAAATATAGCGCATAATAAATGTAATGCACTTGACTCATCCCAAAACCATCCCCCCAACCCCCGGTCCATGGAAAAATTGTCTTCCACAAAACTGGTCCCTGATGCCAAAAAGGCTGGGGACTACTGCTTTGAATACACTATCTCCAAGCCTTACAATAACATTGCAAGTTAGGGGTTATTTATCCCCACTGTACAGAGCAGGATATTGAGGCTTAAAAAGATTGTATCATCTGCTCAAAATTATACAATGATATTCATTTATTATTTCAACAAATACCTACTGAGAACCTTCCACGTTCTGTGACACCAGGCATTTGGGAGTAAATAATACAGACATGTCCCTACCTTCATGGAGATTACAATCTTCCAAGTGGCAAAGTCAGATTCCATTCCCAAACATGAATGGGATGCCAACGACATTGCTCTTTTATTTTTAATTTTATTTTTTATTTATTTTGAGACCGGGTTATGAGACTAGCTGATTCTTGTATTTTTGGTAGAGACAGTTTCGCCATGTTGCCCAGGCTTGTCTCAAATTCCTGTGCTCAAGTGATCCACCCACTTCAGCCTTCCAAAGTGCTGAGATTACAGGTGTGAGCCACCATACCTGGCCTGCTCTTTTCAATGGTTGTGAAAACTAAAGAAAACAGTCATATCGGAAGCTACTCGACTTGAACCTGCATCAGACGCCTATGTGTATACTCTGCATCTGTTCTGCATTCCCTTGCTCACCTGCATTTCCGCAGACCGACAGACATATGCACCATCACCATCAATAAGTCTTAGTTGAGAGGCCTTTTTAAAATGCTACTGGAACAGATCTTCCTTGTTGATGCTAAGTACCAAATCTAACCCCAAAACATTCCCTTTTCTGCCCCTAGAAAGGCCTTACCTAGTTCTGCAACATCATTGGACCCCATTCCAAGGGCATGCCAAGGACCATCATCTTCTTATGGATTCAGTTTGTTCCTGTGTATCTGACCCCCACCATTATTGTGCATTAGTGATCTATTACTGTGTAACAAATTATCCCACAACGTAATGGCTTCTAACAACAAACATTTATCATCTCATAGGCTCTGTGGGGCATGGATGTAAGAGCAGTTTAGTTGGCTTGCTTCTGGCTCAGGTTCTCTCATGAGGTTACAGTCAAGTGTTGGCTGCACTGCAGTCAGCTGAATATTTAATCTGGGATAGAGGATCCACTTCCAGGCTTACTTATATGGCTATCAGTGGGAGGCCTCCATTCCTCACAACACAGGCCCCTCCACAGGGCTGCTTGAGTGTCCTCACAACATGGCAGGTGGCTTTCCTCAAAGTTATCCAAGACAGAAAGTCTCTTTAGAGATATTGTCTCTAAAGTCACTATCACTTCAACCTTATTATGTTCATCAGGAGACATGAAGTCTAGCTCATAGTCAATAGGAGGACAATTAAACCTCAGTTTCTGAAAAAAGATTTTGTGGACATATGTTCAAATGACTATTACCTTCTAACCCCTTCCAAGACAAGAAGAAATCTGGTCTTCAGGAGAACTTGGGTTAATTAACTATAAACCTAGAACCTAGAAGGTGAGTATAGTGTTGGTTTCTATTTGTTAGTGTGCTAACCAGTGCTAGTCAACACGCTAGCTACACCAACATGTATAAATAATAAAGAAAAAAAATACTTGATGAGGCATTAAGCCTGGTGCTTATTAAAATTTAAATTATTAATTTCTGAAAAGAAACAGTAAGGGATTGGGTGGTGGTGGTGTTTCTTGACAGGTAAGTATTTGTAAATCAAAATCATTATTCTCTTTGCCACACATTTCAACACCAGCTAGTAGGTGCTGGTGTTTTATGTGTCTAGGGCTGAGTCTGTTATATAAGAATGCTAATATCTACACACAAATTGATATCTCCTCTTTACTCACTACAAAGAAAAGAGAAGTGATTAAGAAACAAACAAACAAAGCTCTTTATCCAAGTTAAAAATAAAAGGAATAGAATTTATATACAAAAATGAAATAAACTTGTTCTTTAATTTCTAGTGTTTTTTGGTATTTATAGCATGATAAAATGGCTCAGCGTAGGTACAGTCATTCACTAAAGATGCTATAATTCTAAAAAACATTCAGTGGCATAAATGCTTTACATATTCTAAACTGCCTAGGAAGCCAGATAAATAAGATATACGCAGCATAAAAACGGGCATATAGACACTAAAGGAGAAATAAGATATTCACCACAGTCAAGGTTTGCTATTCCTTCACTCAGAAATCACTTCTCTCTTAAAAATTTAAAAAAAAAAAAGGAAACTTTTATAAAAATAGTAAGATGACAGAGTAATCTCAGCAATTTGTAAGGCCAAGCACCCATTTTTTTTAAGTGAGGGGAGCCTGGGCTAGTGGCATGCACTTGTAGTCCTAGCTACTCGGGAGGCTGAGGCGAAAGGATTGCTTGAGCCCAGGAGTTTGAGGCTGCAGTAGGCTAGGAGCATGCCACTGCACTCAGCCTGGACAACTGAGCAAGACTCTTGTCTCTTAAAGAAAAAAAAAAAATTTTTAATTAGGGGGGGAAAAAGTGTCCAAACCTGTTTAATGTATTAAATTGTGTAAGGTTTTGTTTTTTGAGATGGAGTCTCACTCTATGGCCCAGGCTGGAGTGCAAGTGGCACAATCCGGGCTCACTGCAACCTCCGCCTCCCAGGTTCAAGCGATTCTCATGCCTCAGCCTCCTGAGTAGCTGGGATTACAAGGTGTGCACCACCACGCCCAGCTAATTTTTCTGTTTTTAGTAGAGATGGGGTTTCAACATGTTGGCCAGGCTGGTCTCGAACTCCCGACCTCAGGTATCAGCCCACCTTAGTCTCCCAAAGTGCTGGGATTACAGGCGTGAGCCAACGCATCCAGTCAGGTTTTTTTAATATCCAATCATCATTATCATTGTCAACCCGTAGACGCCGTGTTATACTGAACCACGTGCTGTTCTAGAAGCTTCCTCTGAAATGGTCTTTTAATCCTGATACCAACACCATGAGGTACTGCCTTTAACAAATGAGAAACTGAGGCTCAGGGAAGTTAAATGCATATATCACTCGCTAACTATGTGAACAGAGGCGAGAGGGGGCTCAAACCCAGACAGTCCAGCCTCAGTATCCAAACTCTGGACCACTATTCTATTTTCTTGTTCAGAGAGGGCTTTGGGAGACTTTGAGTTCAGGTTTACCTCCTGGTCAAAAAAAGAAGTTTAACCACACTGTGATACTTCTGTACTGCCTTTAGAAGTCACAGCAAGCTGCCACCTGCATTAAAACTCCCAAAACAATTCTGTCAGGTAGGTAAACATTCATCTCCTTAGTGTTTCCAGAATTTCATTCTTTGTGCTTTTTTCATTTTTGTTTGTTTTTTGAGACGGAGTCTCACTGTGTCGCCAGGCTGGAGTGCAGTGGCATGATCTGACCTCACTACAACCTCTACCTCCCAGGTTCAAGCGATTCTCCTGCCTCAGCCTCCTGAGTAGCTGGGACTACAGGCACAAACCACCAGGCCCAGCTAATTTTTGTATTTTTAGTAGAGACAGGGTTTCACCATGTTGGCCAGGATGGTCTCTATCTCCTGACCTCGTGATCCGCCTGCCCTGGCCTCCCAAAGTGCTGAGATTACAGGTGTGAGCCACCGCGCCCGGCCAGAATTTCATTCTTTCTCATACTATGTTCAAAGTTTCCACCATAGCCACATTCCCCCTGAAAAACTCTAGTTTTCCTTATTTAAAAAAAACCATTCATTTCTTCTAATTAAATTTATTTTTAAAGGAAATTGTGTATCACATCCAGGAATTTAAAAACTAGTATTATTTGGTTTAGGTAAATCGGTTATGAAAAGTAATAATCAATGTATCATGACACTCTCCCACTGCACCCAGACATGACTTCAGAATCCTTCTCCATACAGTGGTCTAAGCAGTCTCTATCCATTAATCATCAATGACACTCAAAATGCAATCTACTGGGTATACCACATGGAATCTAATACACTCTTCAGAGAAGGAACATGACACTCAAAGGTTACCAAGAAAGTGTTTATCTTCCTAAGATTTTTTGGGAAATGAACACTCAAAATCAGGATCCAGACCCCTACCTTCTCTTCTGACTCTCCTTCCTGGTCACCCCACTGTCTGGACAAACCTGCAAAGGCTTTTTCACTTTTAAGAAGTGTACACAGCCTCATCAAACTATCTTCTTCTCCAGTGAAGCAGAATGCAGTCAGTCAAGAGCTCCCGAAAATTGAACAAGAAAATCCTCAACTGAGCAGCACTGTTTGGACTTGCACCATCAGTGCCTTTGTCGATGAAAGAAAACATACATTGTATATGCCTATATGAAGCCCTGAGAACATCTATTCAGGCTGACGGCTATGGAGCTACAAGAATAAAACCATCAGCATCCTGTCTGATGTTCATCAGGCCATGGCAAAAGGCCCTTAAAAGCAGGGATTACCAAAGGCTTTCAGGCTAGAGGGGCCCCAAGGTGTGTCTGCTAGGTCTTGGGCACTGTCCAAAAAGGGGAACAGGGGCAGGGGCAGGGGCAGGGGCAGGAGAAAACAGCCGAACTCATGCTCCTAGGTAGAAGGCTATCAGCAAAAATTTCCAAAGACTTCCTCCAAAGCAAGCCATGAGAACCAGTGCTACATTCCTGGTCTGAACACAGATTCAGAAGTGAAGTTCCAAGGGCATGGTGGCCAGAATCTATAATGTGTCAAATTTTTACAGGCGTATAACTATGTTTCTACTTGAAGATGGTCTTTTTCTGGCTTTGGCCAAAAAATACGGACCTGGGAGCACTAGATCATGGCCATGAGTGTCTAGCAAACTCATCCTTTCATTCTATAAATACTTCACCTAGTAGGTGCTGGGTGCTGAGACAGAGCAGTGAACAAGACCAATCAAATCCTTAACTCGCAAAGAACTTGTATCCTAGCTGGGAAAATAAACAACAAAACAAGCATACACTTATCTCGGGAATAAATGACAGAAAGAAAACAAGACTTGAAAATAAAAGTGTGATGTGGATGAGATGGGGAGAATAAAACACCAGGGAGCTAAGTTAGACATTAGATCCCTATTTTCAAGATAGAAAAAGGAGCTCAAATTGTTATCTAACTTTCCCAAGGTCACAAAAAATAGATGAGGGCAGAGCTGGTACCTGAACCTGTAGCTATCTGGCTATGGGACCAACCAGGCTCTCCACTGTGACTCCACGTTGCCTCCTCTAACCTTGTACCTGAGATCCTGAGACCTCACCTAGCCACTGTCCTAGGACACCGTCTCATCAGGGACATCTGAATTCATAATGTCCAGCTGCAGTGTGACCAGTCCTGAATCCACAGGCACCGGGTGCCTGCTTGCATCAGGCCAGAACATTCCTATTCTGGCAACTTTCGCAGCCCCTGAGCTTGAAGACAACCAAACCGTCAAATATGTGCCAGAACAATGACCTGAACAGTACATGCAGATTCAATTCCAAATCTAGAAATCAGAGTTAGGTCCTTCCCATTTCATCCCATGGCCTGGAGCTCTTATACTTCCCAAACATTTTCATGGAGTGTGTCTGTCCATAGGGTGGGTGCCCAGTGTGTAGGGAAGCACCATAACCACTGTCCACATGCACACTCATGTCACCCACAGCAGCACAACCAGGGTCACACTGCCACAGCTGCTTAGCAGCCCTCTGTTTAACAAGCAAAGTACAAAGCATCTTCCCCGCTGATGCCTGCTATCGATCAACTTAAGGACAAAGAGAACCAGCTTCCGCAGCACTCTCAGCAGCCATGGGAACAGCTCCCACTTTTTAAGCGTGGGAACTCTAAATGCTCAGTTGTAAATAACTGCTTTAAAGCCTACTGATCCTTTCATTTATCATCAATTGGTTTCATTTTGAGCAAAGAAAGTTGAAGGCATGAGGGACGGCACATACAGGAGACACTAGGGCACAATGAATCCCAAGAAAACAAATCAAAGGCATCATCAATAATTCAGCTACAAGCATGTGCCAGAGTTGAGAACACCTCCTGGGTTCAACTGATCCTCCCTCCTCAGCCTCCTGAGTAGTGGGACTACAGGAGCTCACCATCATGCCCAGCTTATTTTTTTATTTTATTTTGTGTAGAGACGGGGGCTCTTGCTATGTTGCCCAAGCTAGTACCAAACTCCTGGCCTCAAAATGGAGCACCTTGCCTTTGGGAGAACATCAAAAGCAGGATGGTCTCTCTGGTCCTCTCTCATCCCTTCTCCCCCTGAAACTGGTTATAAAACTTAACTGACCTTCCCCTGAAAGTAGGTCATAGTCTCACCCTCATTCTAGAGAGGTCCTCCACATGCCCAGAGGAAAGGAACGTCCTTATTTCTGTGAGACACCAAGAAGAAATTGAACAAAACAAGCCTTGCTGGCTCCCCTCCACCCCCACAGTTTATTACCGGTAGACAATAATACCCCTTTGTCCTCCAATCATACTTTGGCACCACTGTCCATAAAAATACAGTTTTCCCCGTTGCTTTGGGTCTTCATTTCTGAAAACTCCTGTGACACGTAAAACTGATATTCAATAAATATGCTTGCTTTTCTCTTGTTAATCTGTTATGGGGGCCTCAGCCATGAACTTTTTGATGTGTAAGGGAAAGGAATCTTCTCTCCCCTACACAGGTTCTAGAATGTCAGCTCTGTGCAGGCAGGGATTTGTTCACCACTCTATCCTGGGTGCCTGAAACAAAGGGGCCCGGCATATGGCTGGAAGAAAATATCTGGAGAATAAGTAAAAACATTTTTTATAGTAGCCCCAAATCGAAAACAACTAAAGGATGTGAGTCCAGAAAGCAAAGAACAAGAAGCTAAGGAAAATATCTTCAATCTACAAGAATGTTGGACATGACCCAGGCAACCTATCTCCTAAAAAGTAAAATTGACATTCCAGAATCCCAACAGACCCATCAAATGCAATCAGGTAAATGAACTGTTAGAATGCCGAACCAAGAATACGCTTGGAGAAGAAATTCCTAAAAGTTAATTTTAAAAATAATGTTGCCAAAGGGGAATGATTTGCAGTGGTACCAAGTAATTGGCACTGGTAACTCAGACTGTGTCTCTTCTTTGCTCTGGAAATCCACTCATCACAAGAGTATTCCCTTAAAATGCATTCCTGGTTAGGGCTTATTTTATGAAACGGTCAGTTTTTAACTATTCATATGTAAATTGGGGGCTATGGAGGCATTTCCCTACTAAATTTGCTAATCCCTGAGACAGAGACCACTTCTGTGTCACCTCACCTTCTGCATCAAATGAGGGATGCTCACACACTCAGAAGGAAAGAAGCCCTTTCTTGTTTTTCTTATTTATTTATTTTTTTAAGAGACAGGGTCAGGCTCTGTTGCCCAGTCTGGAATACAGTGGTACAATCATAGCTAACTGCAGCTTCAAACTCCTGGGTTCAACTGATCCTCCCTCCTCAGCCTCCTGAGAAGTGGGACTACAGGAGCTCACCACTATGCCCAGCTTATTTTTTCATTTTATTTTCTTTAGAGATGGTCGGGGGGGGGGGGGTCTTGCTATGTTGCCCACGTTGGTATCAAACTCAGGGCCTGAAGCAATCCTCCCACCTCAGCTTCCCACAAAGGGCTAGGATTACAGGTATAAGCCACTGAGTCTGACTCTTTCATGAAGTAAATTACATCTACACTTAAGAGTTAAACAGGCCAGACACAGTTTCACAATTGGTTGGCCAAGACAGGAGAATGGCTTGAGACCAGGAGTTCAAGACCAGTCTAGGCAACATTGGGAGATCCTATATCTACAAAAAAAATTTAAAAATTAGCCAGGCATGATGGCATATGCCTGTTGTCCTGGCTACAGGGAAGGCTGAGGCAGGAGGATCACTTGAGCCCAGGAGTGAGCCAGGAGTGAGCTGTGGTGAGCCGTGATCCTGCCACCACACTCCAAGCTGGGTGACAAAGTAAGACCCTGTTTCTAAAAAAATACAAAGTAAAAGAGCCAAAATATGCAACCACCCATTAGTACAAGTAACTTGAAGATACATATCTTCAAGAAAAAGTTACAACTGAGTATAACTGCCACTCCTTCTTGACTGAGATGTGTCAATTATAATACTCATTTAGTCCATATTTCTGAACATCTACTATGTGCCAGGCAGTATCCTGGGACCATATGATAAAAGAATAAGTGAAACTGATAACAATCCCTGAAGATCTTAATCTACAGGATTAATGAATATCATGAACAGGTCAACAAATAAGTGAAAAACGTAACTTGCAAATGTGGTTAAATGCTGGGAAGACAATAATCAGAGATGAAATAAGGACAAAGAAGAGAGAGGAAATCATACCTATTTCCTGTCATTGAGAGGCAGCACTGTGCCCTTGTACAACTCTGGACAATCTGGCAGGGGACTCGGCGACTCAACCATTCCACCTGCAGGATGACTCACCAGGCAACCAGGACTCCTGCCGCACACCTCAATAAGCTGATAAAGCGCAGGTGGCCGGGTGCGGTGGCTCACGCCTGTAATCCCAGCACTTTGGGAAGCCGAGGTGGGTGGATCACCTGAGGTCAGGAGTTTGAGACCAGCCTGGCCAACATGGTGAAACCCCGTCTCTACTAAAAAAAAAATACAAAAAGTAGCTGGGCATGGTGGTGGGCACCTAAAATCCTAGCTACTCAGGAGGCTGAGGCACAAGAATCTCTTGAACCCGGGAGGCAGAGGTTGCAGTGAGCCGAGATTGCACCACTGCACTCCAGCCTGGGCGACAGAGTGAGACTTTGTCTCAAAAAAAAAAAAAAAAAGAAAAAGCACAGGTAGCCTTCCTTTGTCAGCAGCATAGAAGGTCAACCCATTAAGCCCTGGGCTGCATACAAGAAAGCAGGATAGAATTATATTATAGGCCAGGCATGGTGGCTCACGCCTGTAATCCCAGCACTTTGGGAGGCTGAGGCGGGCGGACTGCCTGAGCTCAGGAGTTCAAGACCAGCCTGGACAACATGACGAAACCTCATCTCTACTAAAAATACAAAAAACTAGCTGAGCATGGTGGCACATGCCTCTAGTCACATCTACTCAGGAGGCTGAGGTATGAGAATTGCTTGAGCCTGGGAGGCGGAGGCTGCAGTCAGCTGAGACTGCACCACTGCACTCTGGCCTGGGGGACAGAGTGAGACCCTGTCTCAAAAAAAGAAAGAAAGAAAAAAGAATGATATCATAAATATATATTCACCTAACAACAGAGCCTCAAAGCATATGAAGCAAAAACTAACAAAATTCCACCTATATCTCCTAAATGTGCTATGAAGACTTGAGAACGCACATCAATTATCTAGCATATGGGTGCAGGGGGTGGCGGGCAGGTGTTGGTTAAAGCACAAGAGCAGCCCCATTCTCTTGAATGACTCCCACATCCCAGACTCCACGGTAAATGCTATTCACACACGATTCATTTCTCACCACAACACTATAAGGCACAAGAGTAAACTGAGGTCCGAAGAGATTAGGTAATTTGTCAAAGTCAAAGTGCCCTGGAAGGGCATGTATCTCATGTTCCCTCTATGCCTCTCAGATGTGGCACTGGGCTTCCCCTGGAGCCATCCATGAAAAACAGGACAAAAAAGACACCTAACAGATGATGTACCTTAATTAGCCTTACATGTTCCCTTACAGTTCCCCGCGCCCCCCACCGCTCCCCGCTTAACAACCTGCACACATGCTGCTTCTAGTAGATTCTGATTCATGCTGATTTCACTAGATAACTGGGAACAGTGTGGGCCAAGGTGAATTCTAATCTCACAGGCGAGCAGATTCTAGAGCCTCCCTTTCATAGAGGCTGGGCCCTTATACAGGAAGAGGTTACCCTGATGAGCAAAGAAAGTTGAAAGGGCAGGGGACAACACATCTGAGAAAATGGCAGGGCACGACGAATCCTAACAAAACAAAGACATATGCAATGATTTAGCTACACATACGCAGCTGGACTGTAAGATCCATGAGGACAGGGATCAGCCTTGTTCACTGTTCTATCCAAGGTACCTGAAGCAGGGGTGCCTGGCATACAGTCTCATGTACATAAATACGTGAGGACTAAAAGCATTATTTAGAACAAAAAAAAAAATGAAAACAAATAAAATGTCCAACATTAAAATGACAGAAAAGTAGACACTGGCCCATTTATGGAGGATCACTATTGCAGCTGCTAAAAATGACAAGGAACAGGAGACAAATATGCCACCCATTATGAACCATGCTGGAAAAAAAAAGGGGGATAATTTAAAGAAATGGGGAAATGTTCACAATATAAAATGAAAAAGTAGATTGCATAACATCAGTCACAGACAGGATGTCTTGACTAACCCTATATGTACAATACGTCTTTCCTATGTGTAATATGTATAGAAAAAAAAAACTATCAGGATGTAGTGACATTAAGTCACATTCATCTCTACATTGTGAGATGATTTTTTAAATTGTCTCTTCTTTTGGCTTATAAGTACTTTTAAAAAAAATTACTTTTCCCTTATCTTATATGTACTTATAAAATGTTCTGCAATGAATACAAATCTGTTGTTTGGCATAATTTCTACCCCCATGATATCTGGTGGTTGTAGTGTAAATCTCCACTCCATAGCATTTTGATACAAAGATTCTGCAGCTGCCAAACAGGCTTCTGACCCTTCACCCAGTGACAAATAGCTGGCAGTTACATTAGAAGAATGGTTCTCTATTAGGGGAGAATCCCCCACTTGCCAGAAGGCATTTGACTACCCCTGGATGTTCCAACTTAGGAGGATGCTAGTGGCATCCAGTGAGTGGAGGCCAGGAATACTACTACACATCCTACAATGCACAGAAGAGCTCCAGCAACACAGAACTATCGGGGCCCAAAAATACCACTAGTGCTAAGGTTGAGAATCCCTGTTTAAAATGAAGAGCCTGAGGATGTATCTTAAATATAAATAAGAAAAGAAACATTAACAACAATATTAAAATATTGTAACTAGAGGAACAAGGTTCTAGAAGGGCAGAGAAGGGGAACATTTGCTCCACTGAATATCCCTTAACCCTAGCCCAGTCCATGACCCAAAGAAAGAGCTCAACAAGTGTCCTGGCCATCAGGGAAAATAGATTGCACCGTAGAGGAAATTCTAATTTCAGAGTCAGGCAGAGGTAAACTTGAAGATCAGCCCTGTCAATGGCTAACACACTCCGCATCTGCAGAATGAGGAATAGAGCACTATTTATTTGATTCTTCATTTTATTTTTTATTTACTTACTTTGAGACGGAGTCTCGCTCTGTCTCCCAGGTTGGAGTGCAGTGGCGATCTGGGCTCGGTGCAACCTCCGCCTCCCAGGTTCAAGCAATTCTCTGCCTCAGCCTCTCAAGTAGCTGGGATTACAGGCATCCACCACCATACCCTGCTAATTTCTGTATTTTTAGTAGAGATGGGGTTTTACCATCTTGGCCAGGCTGGTCTTGAACTCCTGATCTCGTGACCCACCTGCCTCAGCCTCCCAAAATGCTGGGATTACAGGCATAAGCTACTGCGCCTGGCCTACTTTTATATATATATTGAGATGAAGTCTCGCTGTGTAGCCCAGGCTGGAGTGCAGTGGTGTGATCTCTACTCACTACAACCTCAGCCTCCCAGGTTCAAGTGATTCTCCTGCCTCAGCCTCCCGAATAACTGGGACTACAGGTGTGTGTCACCATGCCCGGCTAAGTTTTGTATTTTTAGTAGAGACGGGGTTTCGCCAGGTTGGCCAGGCTGGTCTTAAATTCCTGACCTCAAGTGATCCACCTACCTCGGCCTCCCAAAGTGCTGGGATTCCAGGCGTGAGCCACCACACCTGGCTATTTGATTCTTACATGACTTACATGGATCAATATATATAAAGCTTCTGACACTCTCCAAGGTACACCAGAGGTGCAGTATTCACTGGTGGCCTACAAAGTAACACCCAGAAAACTTCCAACATGGTGCACGGAAATTGCTTAGCTTCAAGCTCAACACCAATGAATCCAGGTCAATTCCCACATGGACCCATTATCATCTTCTAAAGAAATCTGTGTCTCATGAACTAAGTCTAGCCCTAAGGCTTCATCAGGCCCGTTCAGGATAAACAACCACTAGTCATGAGCAACTGTGTGAGCATATAAATCAATGGCTGCTATCATCTATCACTAGTATTTTCTTGTGAAACTTAAAAAAAAAAAAGATTATTAACAATGGGACAAAATGTCAACGACAACTTTTTTCTTTAAGTAGAGATCCAAAGGGATAAGATTACCTCTGCTCAGACTGAAATCAATACACAAGAACTTAATCAACTAAACCCTACCAAGATACCAGATGGTCTCTTAAGTATTTTGGGATTTTTATCTTACAGCCAACACACCCATCTGGTAGTATATAGAAATTATGTTTTTCCTTTAAAAAAAAAAAAAAGAGAAAGAGTGTCCAAATACATCGTGTAATTGAGGTTGATGAACAGGGTTCTAGAAGTGTAGGCAATGAGGAAAAAAATATAAACATACACACAGATAAATGTGTAATTTATCGGAGCCATTAGAGTCAGCAGAGTCATATAAACTTTTACTAGACAACTCCACAGCAAAAAATATAGGTTCAAATTGCTGAATCATTGTTCACATGTAAATAGGATTCCTAAAACTTTTATTGGTAGTAAAAATTAGTTTACATCATAAAGTAAACAAGAAAAGCAAGCTATAAAACCAAACAGTGGTAAAAGACCCTCAAATGACACATTTCACCAAAAAACTCATTTTGCAAATCGAGAGTTAAACAATTAAGTGTTTGAAAATGCTTACATTTGAAAATGAAAACCATCACATTAATAAATTTTAAGATAAAAGTTGACTGTGCGTTTGATGAGGAAGTGTGTATTTGATTAAATCTTCACACTAGTGTTAGGAAACATTTATTCCATGGAAAAGAGCACTCTGGTTAGAAACACATGGGCTCAAACACAAAACTTCTTTCTTACTCAGTTATCATCCTGAGGTCTACGGTCTTCCCTGTGAAAACCGCAGGCACATCCAATGGTTGGATAACTATTGCATCCTAATAAAATCAGGTGCCAAGTTTCCCTTCTCCTGGCCGGGACTCAATCTCTTATGAGCTCTTTTTTGGCTGCTTCTCAACAGTTTTGTGCGGAACTCGTCACTGTGTTCTTCGAACATGAGTCTCATTCCACAAAAATCTTGTACTACACATTCCCACTGGTGTTCCTAGGTGAGTGGCAATGGTAGATTCTGTAATACCTCGCTGGCATTCAACATTTTTAGGATCAAGGTACATGGTGCCCCCACCCTTGGCTTCCTTGATTTGGTTTTGTAACCCTTATGTATTAAAAGATAATTTCTCAGCAGCCGTGTACAGCTCTGGTTTTCACACATTCAATATGTATCACTGCATTTGTACAGGGGAAAAAAAGTACCAGGCTTTTTAATCCCTGGTGCTTATGGGTTTTATTTTTCCTTCTGGGAAGAAAAGGTGGAAGAATTAAGGACAAGGAGAAATCGAGAGAAACCAGAGACTCCCCTTATTAGGTTTAGCAGTAAAACTCAGTGCCCTGTTTATTAGGACCTTCAGGCTACCATTTGTAAAAGATGTTCTTGATGGTCTGCTTTCCACCAGCAGATTATAGCAAGTCTGTTGAAATAATGAGCTCAGGGACATAAGGCAGGATTCAAACCCCAAACCAAGGCTTTACCAATTTCAAGCCCTGTCATCAGCCACATGATCTTGAGCAAGTAACTAAAACTTTAAGTGTCAGTCTGTGCATCTATACGACAACCTATTTCTAAGAGGAGCCAATGTAATATAAGCAAAGTGCCTTGCATTATACTCAACACAATAAATCCAAGTTGTCATATTATGCTGATTTAGCCCTGCTGTGATTTGAAGCCTGCATGTCTCCTCCAAAACGTAGGTGTTGTCAATGTGATGGTATTAAGAATCGGGATCTTTACGAGGCAATTAGGCCATGATGGCTCCTCCCTTGTTAATGAGATTAAGAACCATATAAAAGAGTCTTCAGATAGTGTTTGGTTCACTTGTTTTTCCACTTCTGCATGAGAGGTCACAGCATATCTTCCTTAGAGGATGCATCAATAAGGTGCCACCTTGGAAGCAGAGAAAAACCCTCACCAGACAGCTGAACCTGCTGGCACCTAAATCTTGGACTTCCCAGCCTCCAGAACTGTGAGAAATAAATTTATATTGTTTATAAATTACCAAAGCCAGGCACAGGGGCTCATGCCTGTAATCCTAGTACTTTAGCAGGCTGAGGTGGGAGGATCACTTGAGCCCAGGAGTTCAGGACCAGCCTAGGCAATACTGTAAGACCTCATCTCTTAAAAGAAAATAGAAAAAGGAAGGAAGGAGGGAGGGAAAGAAGGGAGGGAGGGAAGTGAAAAGGGAAAAGGGAGGGAGGGAGGGAGGAAGTAAAATAAATTAACCAGTCTCCGGCATACTCGTGTAACAATGAAAAACAAACTTAGACAAACCCAAAGTTAACACTAGGTTTTTTAACCTTGGTAATAAACTCACATATGACTGTTCTTTGACACTGCTATACTATATGAAACGTCTATTTGCTTCTTCACTTTTGGATTTCCTGAGACAGCTCAAGGAAAAGGCATTATTTTTTCATGTAAATAAATAATTGCTTCAACAAAGATCAGAATCTTTAAAGTGGAGATTGCCTCACCAGCAGCCCCCAACCCTCATTACTTTTCTTATTTGGAGTTTGAAATATACACGGAGCACAGAAAACATTCTCTTGGGAAACATTCAAGCAACATGCCATTATTCTTCCAATACAAGGTAATAGAACCTAATAGAAAAATGTCTGCCCTCTCTCTCTGACTGTATTACAGATGGCAGCCAAATGAGTGTGTGTTCTGCAGCAGAAAGCCTGGGAAGTGCAGGCATTAGACGTTCCCTTGGTGCATCAGCCTGGGGTCACCCCACTCAAACACCCTGCATTTAGCTGCCAACAAAAAATGAAATGCCTTTGTCTCAGGACAGAGGAACTGAGGTATTTCAAGATGTGTAATTCCAAAAGAAAACCTCTCTTTTGCTGCCCAGTTTTCATTTCCCCTCGGGTGAAAATGTGTAGCCTGGTAGGAGCAAGCTAGGTGTCTTCCACCTGGATCCTTGGTGCCTATGTGTGAAACACAGGAAGGCATTCAAGGCAGGAAAGAATGGGGTCCTGGAGGGATGCCAGGGAATCCGCAGAAGTTAGGTGCTGCTAAGTCCAACTAAGATGCAGTCATGAGACCTTATGAATGAAACAAGGATTGCCTGGGTAACGAATGGACAACTATGTTAACGAATCTCCTAATATGTTATTTTAATCTCAGAGTGTCTTCATCACCATGGGGGTCCACAACACCCTGCAGTAGTCTCCTTTACTAATTCCACTGTCAGGATATTCTCAGGTGACAATGCATAGGACTGGTTTAATCAAACATGAAGCCTCCACTTATCATGAAGTTGCAGCCTGTCTTGGGCTTCAGGCATATCAAAAGCAAGACAGAAAAATAAAACCCAAGAGGACAGAGGATTCACGGATGGGTACAAGGGAGTGTCAGTAGATAGACAAGCCATAACGGGCCTCACAGGCCGCAATCACAATCAGGACACTTCGTAAGGGAACATCTCAAGGCATCAAGGGCACCAAACATTCAGTGGTTTCAGAAAAGCAGCACCAGCTCCAAGGTCAGAGTTTGAATTGCTAACTCTTTTTTTTTTTTTTTTTTTTGAGACGGAGTCTCACTCTGTCACCCAGGCTGGAGTGCAGTGGTGTGATCTCAGCTCACTGCAAGCTCCGCCTCCCAGGTTCACACCATTCTTCTGCCTCAGCCTCCCAAGTAGCTGGGACTACAGGTGCCTGCCACCACGCCCGGCTAATTTTTTTGTATTTTTTAGTGGAGACGGGGTTTCACTGTGTTAGCCAGGATGGTCTCGATCTCCTGACTTCGTGATCCGCCCGCCTCGGCCTCCCAAAGTGCTGGGATTACAGGCGTGAGCCACTGTGCCCGGCCAATTGATAACTTTTAATGAGCTGGATGAACCTGAACAATTACAGGATCATCTAGCTCATTAATCGCACATACCATGTGGCTCAGTTTCCTTCTTTAGAGAAACAATGGTATTGACCCTCCTTTGGGGAGTTGTTATGAGGCTTAAATTAGATAGTATGTGTATGGTGCTTAGTATAATATCTGGCATGTAAGAAAACTGCAATTCCTCTTTTGTTTAAAAATTAATCCAGATAATGGTGTGAAAGACGGTAAAATGAAAGACAGGAAGAGCTGTTCAAACACTGCCAATTCCAGTTATCACGTGCTTAGTAAAGGAGAATAGTCTGGCAGTTTCCCATAAAACTAAATATGTACTTACTATACGACCCAGCAATGGCACCCTTGAGCATTTATCTCAGAGAAATAAAAACTTAGGTTCACTCAAAAACTATGTACACAAATGTTCATAAGCAGCTTTATTTGTAATAGCCCCAAACTAGGAAAAGCCCAGATGTTCTTCAACAGATGAACGGATAAACAAACTGCCACATCCCTACCATGGAATACTGCTCAGGAATAAAAAGGAACAAACAACTTGGATGGGTCTGGGGAGCTACACTGAGTAAAGCAAGCCAGCACCAAAAGGTTATGTACCGTATGATTTCCTTTATATAATGACATTCTCGAAATAACAATGGGTTAGTAATTGCTAGAGGTTAGGGATGTGGGGGTGGCTATCAAGGGGTAGCATATGAGATCTTTGCAGTGATGGAACTGTCCTGTATCTAGATTGTGATGCTGGTCACACAAATCTACACATATGAAAAAAATGCATAAAACTATACATACACATACACACCACAAACACCACTGAGTAAATACAAATAAGTGCATGTTAAACTGGTGAAATCTGAATAAAGTCTGTGAATTGATAATGTCAGTTTCTTGGTTTTGATATTACACTATAAGTATATAGAATGCATCATTGGGGGAGGCTGGGGAAAGGGTACAAAGAACTCCTCTAGGGGAATAATGTTTTGAATGGGAGCATTTCTAGATGTGTAATTCCAGAAGAGTTTTGGACAAAGAAGGCAGTTCAATTAAGAATTAGATGATCTGGCCAGGAGCGGTGGCTCATGCCTTTGATCCCAGGACTTTGGGAGGCCAAGGCAGGCGTTATCACTTGAGCTCAGAAGTTCGAGACCAGCCTGGACAACATGGCAAAACCTCTTCTCTACCAAAAATACACAAAATTAGCCAAGCGTGGTGGCGTGGTGGGACCCATGGTCCCAGCTACTCTGGAGGCTGAGGTGGGAGGATTGCTTCAGTTCAGGAGGTGGAGGTGGCAGTGAGCCAAGACTGCGCCACTGCACTCCAGCCTGGGTGACAGAGTGAGACCCCATCTCAAAAAAATAAAAAAAGATGATCTACTGCAGAGAATCAAAAACAAACCATATTTTATCCAAAAGAGTTACTCTCTCTGAATGGAGGAGTCCTTATTTGTGTCTGTATAAAGCAGGTAAGATTTTATGGCCTCTGCACATAGTAAGTTAGATTATGAAGTCTGGAAATAGGAATGAATACCCTAGTGGCAAGGAAAATAAACCAAGTCTACCTGATCTAAGAAACAGAATTTACTGAAAGTTTTGGGTAGCTCAGCTCCCAGGATCACTGGTTAGGCTAGATCTGGTATTGGCAAACTACAGTCAAATCAGGCAACTGCCTGTTATTGTACATAAAGTTTTGCTGGAACACATCCATGCTCATTTGCTCACATATTGTCTATGGCTGCTTTCACAACACCACAACAAAGATCAATAATTCCAACAAAGATTGTATGGTCCATAGGATCTAAAGCATCTACTATCAGGCCCTTTAGAGAAAAAATTTGCCAACCCGTGGGCTAGATAATGGAGCTCAGGAACTAGCCCCGTTAAGGCAACGAGGCTTCTCTACCACCACTGCTATTCTTGTCAACAGGATGTTGTAGCAACTGGCAAAATGTCTTTTCTTCTGTCTGTGTTGGCAAAACTAGCAGTAAATCCAAAGTCTGGGACAGATGCATGTGATTGGTGGAGCCCGGGTCACATGCCCACACACTAGCTGCAAGGGAGGCTGGAAACCTGAACCTCAGACAGTCTCTGGATCCCACCAGGAATCATCTATCAGTTAAGGCCAAAACCTAGAAAGGAGTTCCAAACAACAGGTGGGCAAACACACAGCATAGAAAAGGAATGCGGGGTGTGGACAAAGCTATTAATCACAACCCAACTGGGAGAGCTTTTATTTTCTGTGGCTAAATGCAAACACTGGGTTTTTGGCCAGCTTGACCAGTAACAAACAGGTGTTAATCATTGTCAATATTTGGTAACTCTGGCCTTCTATTTGTTTACTTTCATCTTCAGTTTTCCCTTCTACCTTTTATATTATATTTTTAACCCTGGGTTGGAAATACTGAGATTTTTTTAATGTTCTTAGTGGGAGAAGGAAAAGCAATATCCAAGATCAGGAGCCTCTTCAATTGTGTGCATTTATGAAGCTAATTTTAAAAGACAAAGCAAACCAAGCAGCTCTAATGTCCTAACAACTTTCCAGCAGCAAATGGGTTATGTCGACCATAAAGCAACACCTTCTTTTCTTGTTGGATTTGACTTTAAGACAAATGAGTGTATTGCCTGTTCCAAATAGGAGGCACAAAGTTCCAGCAATCTAAAGCTTACAAGCAACTAGAGACAGAAAGGGGAGAGTGTAGCCTTTCAATGATTATCTCATTAAAACCCTTCTTCTAAATTTAACAGGATTCTATAAATCTTAGAAACCATGGATCACATTCCTAGTATCCTAACCTGGTATCCAGGCTTTCTAACTCAATGATTTCTTCCAGTTAACAAAAGCCAAACTAGTCCTATTTCGGATAGAGATGGAACAAAAAGGGGGCAGTGGGGGCGTGTGTGCACAAATACGAGATGCGTATCCTTAGTGATGGAGCTAAGACTTGCAAGATCCAAGTTCAAAGCCCTTCCAAACCAGTTATCTCCCAAAATATACCAAAAACCCACTGGGCTTCAGAATCACTTCTGAATTCCCTTGAGCAGCTTTAAATTCTCCCCTGGGATTAATGTTAGTTCTTCCATCTCCCGAGAGATGAAACACTATCATCACACACAGGCCACCCCCTCTTTGGAAAACGGTACATGCAATTTTTACTTATGGGAAGTCACATCAGTTTCACAGTAAGTTTTCACAAGGCATAAAAAAATAAAATAAGACTTGTGAGAAATGATATTCAAAACCTAAAGCTCCAAAGTTAACTTTGGCACATCTGCCAAAAATGATTTTCCAAAGCTGAAAAGACAGAGGCCTGACACAGTAGGTGACACTTCTTTATCACTCCAAGAACTCCAGGGCACATAATTAGCACCCAATTAGTTATTAATAACTTAATATTCACACATCTGCTGAAACTCTGTAGGTGCACTGTATAATTTAAATGTGATTGTGATCGTCTCTGTTAGGGTAGGGGCTGTGTACATAATGGATTTGGTTCCACAGAGCAGGAAGGAGGACAAACTTGGAAGCCTCACCTGTTCCTTCCTACAAGGTGCAAATGGTCAACTCAGAATGAAAAGGGTATCCTAGTTCATCTATAAGAATCCAATTAAACTTAAATATTATATCATCAAACTGACCATTCAATAAGCATTTGCTGACTGTCCTCTATATACATTCACTGTGTTACAGTGGGTGCTTTTTTGTTTTTTTTTTTGAGACAGAGTCTCATTCTGTTACCCAGGCTGGAGTGCACTGGTGCAATTTCAGCTCACCTGCAACCTCTACCTCCCTGGTTAGAGCAATTCTCCTGTCTGGGATTACAGGCGTGCGCCACCATTCCCAGCTAATTTTTGTATTTTTAGTAGAGATGGGGGTTTCATCATGTTGGCCAGGCTGGTCTCGAACTCCTGACCTCAAGTGATTCACCGCCTCGGCCTCCCAAAGTGCTGGCATTACAGGCATGAGCCACCGCGCCCAGCCAATAGGTGCTTTTAAAATAAAAACACAAAGTTATTATTGGACCTAGAAAAATTTAACAACTCTCCCCTAATTTTGCCCCATTTCCAATCAGGGTTCAAATCTCCAAATGCCCAGATTTTACTAGTTAATTCATTTGAATTGGGATCTAAATAAGGTACATATGGAGATCAGTTGGTATGTCTGTCTCTGTCTGTCTGTCTCTGTCTCTCTCTCTCTCTCTTTCTCTCTCTCTCTCTCCCCAGATGGGGTCTTGCTATGTTTCCCAGGCTAGAAATGAACTTGTGGGGTCAAGCAATCTTCCCTTTTCAGCCGCCCAGGTAGCTGAGACTACAGACTTTCATGGATATGTCTCAAATTCTTTAATCTGTAGGTTTTCCATTCCATCATTTTTTCCTTTCTTGTAATTTATTTGTTAAAGAAAGCAGACCTTTGGTCAGTCTGGAATAGGCCAATGGTATCCCTAACAACATTGTTTTACCATGTTTTCGTGTCCTCTGTAGTTACTGTAAATTGTTACTTGAACAGATCAGCTGTATTTGTTTTTATAAGACTACTTCCTTGGAGGTAAAGTATTCTACTGTCAGGGGCAAACAACAGCTTATTGTCTCTGGAGGATATTACCAAGTGTCGATGTCTCATGCCCAGATCCATCAATTCATTGATGGGCTGCAAAATGGCAATTGTCTATTTCCATCACTCCATCAACTTCCCCTCATCTATGACTTAGTTACCCAGTATTAAAAGCCAGTCTGAATTTTAAAAATACAGACACTAAGCTTCTACCACATATAGCATGATCAGAAGCCATAACCAAAAGCTTCATTTCCAAGTCAAATCCGGGTTTTAAGGGGCTCCCCAAAGAGTGTAGATAGACAAACTTGAGTCAATGTCCATTCACTACAAAGGGCAGTAAGGAGAACAGGTGGAGTCTGCAGAGAACTCTGGCCTCCCTTTCACTCTGCGGTGCCAGGGGCAAAATGCAGACCTCTTCTGGGTATTGTGGGTCCAGTCACCAGCTTGTAGAACCAGATCACTCTTCAGTTGCTTTCCCAGAATTATCTGAGGACACTAAGCTGCTCTCCAAACCTGAATCAAGCATCTATCACCAGAACAGAAGATCTCAAGAGGCTGGCCAAGAAAGGTCCTCGCATATGAGCAGCAAAGCAGAGCAAAATAACAAACTGTACTTGAGAAAAATAGAACCAACAGCCTGAACTCAACTGAATGATGGCTTTACAAACTGCAAGGCTGACGGCCCCAAGGAGAGAGAGGCATACGCCACAGCCCGGGGTCAGGGCCCGTGGCTAGTGGGCAGCTCTGTGGCTGAGAAAAATGGCCAGAGGAACCAATTTAATAACTCGGGGTCAGCATCAGGGCTTCTGCCTTAGTCCTTTGATTTTTACAAACTAACAATCCAGGCGAGTGGGCAACACAAAAACAACTCTGCAGGTGAGCCCTGCAGCGGCCTTGCGGGCAACGGCACCAGGTTTCTCTCTGGGCTTCCAGATGAGGAGGCTGGGGGGTGCCCTCCATATAACCAACAAGGTCTCCTCAGAAGGCATTCATTAGCTAAATGTGCACCAGCCCACAGGAAAGGCACCCAGGCCATTAAATATAAATGCAAAACAAAATTAGACCCATCCATCCTTAAACCTCAGCAAGCAAGGTTTACTTCCTGCTTTGCAATTTTTCTAAAAGGCACTGAAATGATAGCCCATGTCCGTGCTTCTAGATTTGGGCCCACTCCTTCCAAATCAACCACAGAAATTGATTTTTTAAAATCAGATTTCATGAAGACATCTGTTGACACTACTAAACCTGGATTAGGTTTCTATATATGTAATGATGACCCATCTTTTAAACAGAACCGCAAGCCCATCTGTAGTGGGACAAAACACAAAAGCCGATAACCTTAAATGAATTGGAAACATTTACCTAAATGAGAGTCAGAACTAACTCGGTGATTCTTCCTTAAAAACATATCAGTAAAATGGGTGGCATGGAGAGAAGGCAAGGAGAAATACACATGTGAAAACTTTCTCTCCCCCAAGTTAATAAAAATAATTATTGCTTAACAAACTACTCACTATTCCTGCAGTCCACAGGATAACCATGTGCTGGGCGTCTTGCCCTCCCGAGATTTCCACTTTGTTCCCCAATAGAAACATCCCATAAGGACAGGGACTTCATCTGTTTCCATTCACTGCTGCATCCCCAGAGCCAAGAACAATGCTTGATGGTGGGTATTCTATATATATTTCAGGGAGGGAGGGGGAGGAAATCTGGAGAGAGGAGGAGGAAGGAACGGTGGAGGGGGAGGTAGGAATTTTATTTGTTTCACTAGAACTGAGAGTATTTAAGAGCTAACAGGCTACTCCAAGGAGTTGATGATCAAAGAGTCAAGCTTCAGATTATTCTCTGTAAATATGCCTCTAGTTGCATGTAGTTAGAAGATAACCTGCCTGGACATCTTCTAGCCGAAGCTCGAAGAATCTTCTCCTGATCTCCTCCTATCTCCACACCAAGTTCCTCAGAGGCACCTCAAACAGCAAGGGGCACCATGCAATCCAACAGTTTCTCTTCTGATGGGCAAACACCTTCCCACTTAAAACACTGAGGGAAGAGAAAAGAAACTCTAAAGGCTGTGGCCCTGTACTCCAGATCCATTATATTCAGAAAGTGATCCAAGAAGAAACCAGAAGTAGAAACGTGAAATATCCAAAAGCAAGTGGATCTTGATTAAATTACTACATTGCCTTTTAAATAACTGCAGTTTGTGTTAGACTTCGTTTCTTTAAACCTGAAAGTCCATTTTGCATCATGAAAAGGGTGAAGACTGCTTAATGGCAACCATTAGACTCTGATCAGACAGCTCAGACCCTTGCTAGCCACAAGGCTTTTAAAACAGCTAACATCTTTCCTTTAAGACATTTGCTTCATCTGTTAAATGGGATAAGAGTACCTCCCTTTTGGGGTCTTACGGGGATTAAATATGGTAATGTGCAAAAAGCACCTGGTATAGAGCCTGATCCTTGGTTTATGTTCTACAAGTTGTGTTCATCAGGAGAAAGAAGAGGAGGAGGAGGAGGAGGATCAACACATATACACTGGAGAGAAAGCCCATTTTAGTGTTGGAAATGGCCCCAGGTGTATACCCCAGGACCTACTCTGATCTCTCCAGAGGGCGGCTTTCATTTTGGGAAAAGACTGATTGTTGTCTGTTCTTTGCCCATCAACTACATTTCTCCCTTAAGGATGCTATGAATTTTCATGTTCACATAAAGCACTCAATCAGGAAACCAAGCTGTCAATCATGGACAATGGGCAGGACTCTTAAGAGGGTAGATCAAGAAAGGAAAATATCTGGCTGGTAAGAGTTTAAAGCAAGAGGCAAAGCAGTGAAAGTCTCCAGTGGAATGCAAACCCAGTTAAAGAGAAACGTAGTGTCTGTAATGCTTTCAAAGGTATATACCACTCCATACTTAGTATGTGTTGAGTTTTTATTGAATGAAAAACAGAATAGGAAAAAGACAGGGACACCCACTTTCAACACTCCTATTCAATATAGTACTGAAAGTCCTAGCCAGAACAATCAGGTAAGAGAAAGAAAGAAAAGGCATCCAAATAGGAAAAGAAGTCAAACTATCTCTCTTCACTGATATGACTGTATAACTAGAAAACCCTAAAGACAAACGCTCCTGGAACTGATAAACAACTTCAGTATGAAGTTTCGAGATACAAAATTAATGTATAAAAACCAGTAGCATTTCTATAGACCAATAATGTTCAAGCTGACAGCCAAATCAAGAACGCAATCACATTTACAATAGCCACAAAAAAGAATAAAATACCTAGGAATACATCTAATCAAGCAGGTGAAAGATTGCTACAAGAAGTACGAAATACTGCTGAAAAAAATCACAAATGACACAAACAAATGGAAAAACCTCCCATGCTCATGGATTGGAAGAATCAATATCGTTAAAACAACCATATTGCCCAAAGCAATGTACAGATTTAACACTATTCCTATCAAACTACCAATATCATTTTTCACAAAATTAAAACAAAAACTATTCTAAAATTCATATGGAACCAAAAAAGATCCCGAATAGCCAAAGCAATCTTAAGCAAAAAGAACACAGTTAGATGCATCACATTACTTAATTTTAAACTATGCTATAAGGCTACAGTGACGAAAACAGCATGGTACTATTACAAAAACCAACACATACACCAATGGAACAGAATGGAGAACCCAGAAATAAAGCCATACATTGATAGCCATCTGATCTTCAACAAAGTCCACAAAAATAAACAATAGGGAAAGGATTATCTATTCAATTAATGATACTGGGATAACTGGCTAGCCATATGCAGCGGAATGAAAGTGAACACCTCCCTTTCACCACATATGAAAATTAAGATGGATTAAAGATTTAAATGTAAGATCAGGAACTATAAGAATCCTAGAAGAAAACCTAGGAAACACCATTATAAACATCAGCCTTGGAAAAGAATTTATGACTAAGTCCTCAAAAGCAATTGCAATAAAAACAAATACAGACAACTGGACCTAATTAAACTAAAGGGCTCTGCACAGCAAAAGAAAAATATCAGCAGAGTAAACAGACAACCTTCAGAATGGGAGACAATATTTGCAAATATGCATCTGACCAATATCTAATATCCAGAATCTATAAGGAATTTAAACAACTGAACAAGCAAAAAACAACCTTATTAAAAAGTAGGCATGGCAAGGCTGGGCACGGTGGCTCACGCCTGTAATCCCAGCACTTTGGGAGGTCAAGGCAGGCAGATCACTTGAGGCTAGGAGTTCAAGACTAGCCTGTTCAACATAGGGAAATCCCTCTACCCCAAAAAAAAAAAAAAAAAAAAAAAAAAACTAGCCAGGCATGGTGGTGTGTGCCTGTAGTCCCAGCTACTTGGGAAGATTTTTTTTTTCAATTCTATGATAATCTAAAAATAAAATATTCCCATTTATGAACAACAAGCCAGGCAAGAACCCTGATAACTGGCAATCAAAAGAGACTTGCATGTAAACCTTAGGTTTACCTTATGTTTGTTGGGTTTGGTACAATTCACAGGGTTCTTGCAAGGTGCTTTCCCCTTTGAAAAGGGGTCTACACATTACTTAAATGGAGAGATGCTGCTCTACAGCAAGGTCCTGAAATTCTGCTTAACATAACAGGAAAAAAAAAACTACATACAAATATTAAATATCCTTCTAGTGGGTGCTCTTAAATACTAAAAAGAAAAAAATCAGTGTCATTTCTATATCAGCATCTGAAGAGAATTAGCAAGAAGCCTTTTTGGTTTTTATAAGGCCACTTGGGAATACCTGCAAATAATAACTTTGTACCACGATTTGGAAAACAGCAGTTGAAGAGTTAACAAGTCTAAGGACAACAGACTCCTTTTTAAAAGATAACCAAGAATTTTTTTTGTAATTACGTCCTTAAAATTCCAAAAGTGAGTCACAGTTCCAAGTGATAAGTGGAATCCGATTATCATGCTAAGATTACACACAGTTCTCTTAACGAGATCCAGTCTGAATAAATAATAATTCACAGACATGAATGGTAAGATGGCTATGCTCATCTCTCAACATATCACTCACTTGGTCGGTGAGGTTCTCAAAGGGCTGGGCTGGGTTTGTAGGCAGGAGTTTCCTGGGCAGCAGAGTTTAAATGTGACTGATATCTCTGTTTCTGGTGCATGGCCAACAACGATAAACACACACACACAAATCCACAGTTGGCAACACTGGTGAGGACAGAGGCGTGGAAGCAATGCGACGCAACCCCGGTGGACTCCTAAGAAGTCTACAGTTCCCGCAGGTGTGTGCTCCGGCATCACAAACAACTTCGCTTCCGTCTGAAACTGAAACCTGAAGGGAACAAGCCTTGGAAGGAACAGAAAGCGTTCTGCTTGATCTGCACAGTCTCAGTTTTGACATTCAGAAAGCCACAGAAAGTTCTCTGGCCTCTGTTTTCATCCTTGAAATCCAGCCCTTACCAACATGCCCAGCACATGATGGTGTATTGTGGGGACTGCTTCACTCAGTCCTCTCAAAAACCTTATGAGGTTAAGTCCTTCTACTATCCGCATTATCCAGATGAGAAAATTACCCAAGTTAACCTTCAAGTCATTTGCCAAAGGTCATTCTGATAATAAGTGGGACAAGAGCCAGAATTCAAATTGTAGTCTGAGCTGCTGGATGTCACAACTAACTACCTGACCAGAGATAGGCAACTGACATGAATAATTCCATAATGCCAGGACATCTTAGTTCTGGTACAAACATAAGGATTTTTAGAATTGAAAATATTGCATATGAATATAAAAATGTGTTAGTCCGCCAACTCCACACAGAACAATGGCTAAGAGAAGACTCTCTTTCCTCCACAGCAATAAGCTATGTGGCAGAGAGGCCACACCACTCAGCAATCAGTATACTGATCACTGACATGGATGAGGACAGAGAATGGAGATTTAACCAATTGGCATAGTACCCAAGGTTGAAATGAACAAATCATATGATCAATCAAAGAATCAAAATTTCAAACTTCCAGCAAGGCGGAACCAGACTAATACCAACAGTATGAGATTTTACCAAGTAAAATACTACATGAGATTAATCAAAAAATCATCACAGTGCAGGAGCAGACAGAGCAGTGTTTCATACAAAAAAAAAGCATTTGAAACAAATGTTTAGATCAGCACTATTCATGATAGTCAAAAGTGGAAACTACCCAAATACCCATAAAGAAATGAGAGTATAAACAAAATGTGGTATATCCATAGAGTGGACTTTTATTTGTCCATAAAATAAATGAAGTATTGATACAACAAGGCTGGGCGTGGTGGCTCACGCCTGTAATCCCAGCACTTTGGGAAGCCAAGGCAGGCAGATCACTTGAGGCCGGGAGTTCGAGACCAGCCTGACCAACATGGTGAAACCCAGTCTCTACTAAAAATACAACAAAAAAAGTACTGATACAACAAGATAGATGAACCTTGAAAATATTTTGCTAAGTGAAAGAAGTCAGACACAAAAGGCCACCTATTAAATGAAATGTCCAGAATAGGCGAATTTATAAGATAGTAATTAGTAGATGCTTAGGGCTGGAGGTGTTTAACGAAAATAGGTAACTGCTAATGGGTATAAGGTTTCTTTCGGGTATAATAAAAATGTTCTAAAATAAGATCATTATACAACTCTTTGAATATATGCAAAATACTTTAAATGAGTAAACTGTATACTATATGAATTCTATCTCAATAAAGCTGTCACCAAAAGGGAAAAAAAGCAACTGGAGCATTTAGTTGTCTGTGTGTTTTCAGACAGCAATATACAGTACTTTAGACGATAGGAAAGCTAAACTGACCTTCAGGATAGCTCAAATTTAGGAAGAATTTATGCAAGAATGAAAAATGTTGTCACCATGAAGTGGTGAGCTCTCCAGTTATTAGAAGCATTCAAGCAGAGGCTATCTAACTGTTGGTCAAGAACACTACTAATTTCACAGATTCTTGGGATTTGGAAAATAAAACACACTATCAAAAAGATGTGTTTCCATTTAGGGCTGAGAGCTCTAAGGAACCATCTCTGAGATACCAAAACTCTAATATTTTTCATGGATGACATTTACGTGACTGAGGAATTAGTAAATAAATTAGAAAATGTTCAAGAGTACAAAATGTGGAGATAGGCTACCTGGAATCAAATCCATAGGCCATCTAAGCCTTAGGGAAGCAATCAGCCTAAGACTCAAGCTTTCTGTTTTGTAAAAAGAAGTCAACAATAATAATAGTATTAATAATATAGGCTAAGTGCAGTGGCTCACATGTGTAATCCCAGCACTTTGGGAGGCCAAAGCTTGAGCTCAAGAGTTTGAAACCAGCCTAGGTAACATGGTGAAACCCCACCTCTACAAAAAAATACAAAAATTAGCCAGGCGTGGTGGTGCATGCCTATAGTCCCAGCTACTCAGAAAGCTGAGATAGGAGGATCACTTGAACCTGGGAGGCCAAGGTTGCAGTGAGCTGAGATCATGCCGCTGCACTCCAACCTGGGTGATAAGAGTGAGACTCTGTCTCTAATAATAATTATTATTTATATATATAATATATATATAAATTAATACTTTATAGGGTAATTGGTAAAAACTAAACAGCATAATGATAAGGCCTTTCTCATAGCATTTCATTGGAACAAGATTTTTAGCAACTCCATGACAGCTTGATTTTCGCCAACTCATTTTATTGGATTTTATTTTAACATTAAGAATAGAAGTCCCATGCAACCAAATCATGCCTGTAATATGGCTGTTTGACAGGCTCCATCAAGTAGAAGTTAAGTCTTTATTGCATGCTCAGGAAGTCCATATGTGAATTTAACAAGGTCTCAGCTTTCCTTCAAACCTTGTCTATTACAAATACAGACTTTAGATATATTCTCACTTTGAGATCACTTACACTGTCGACTATTTGCAGGGCAAACGAATGCAATCAAACACTGAAGTGTCAAGGAGATTAGAGAACTGCCAAGGTCTGAACTATATCAACAGCTTGAAATCAGCTCACTCAACAGTGTTGTGACAGTATTACACTGGCAAAACAAACACAGCATATCAGATATGGCATCACATTCCAGCAGTTTATTTCTCAGACTTATAGAGAAACATCCCATCATTACAGTTGTTCCCAGAGGATAAGCACAGGCATTCTTCTCGGTTAACTCTGTAACAAATGCTTAGTGACCTCACAGGAGAAGAGGGGAAACTTTCAAACCTCTGCTGAGTGGTGGTCAAGAAGTTCTGTCCTGCTACCTGCTTTAAAAAGAACTGTAGCCTAAAAGTTTAGGTTTCCACAGAAAAAGCATTTGATAAAATCCAACACAACTTCATGGTTTAAAAAAAAAACACACACACACAGCCGGGCACGGTGGCTCACGCGCCTGTAATCCCAACACTTTCGGAGGTCAAAGTGGCAGATCGTGAGGTCAGGAGTTCGAGACCAGCCTGGCCAACATACTGAAACCCCGTCTCTACTAAAAATACAAAAAAATTAGCCGGGCGTGGTGGTAGGCACCTGTATCCCAGCTACTTGGGAGGCTGAGGCAAGAAGAATCGCTTGAACCTGGGAGGCGGAGGCTGCAGTGAGCCGAGATCGCACCACTGCACTCCAGCCCAGATGACAGTAGGAGACTCTGTCTCAAAAAACAGGCAGTTTGGTGGCTCACACCTGTAATCCTGGCACTTTGGGTATTTTTGCTTCAGTAAGAAATTAATGTATATAGATCATATGGCACACAGATCTCTTGAGGCCAGGCGTTCAAGAACAGCCTGGCCAATATGGCGAAACCCCATCTCTACTAAAAATAAAAAAAATTAGCCAGACATGGTGGCACACTGCTGTAATCCCAGCTACTTGGGAGACTGAGGCATGAGAATCGCTTCAACCCAGGAGGTGGAGGTTGCAGTGAGCTGAGATCACACCACTGCACTCCAGCCTGGGTGACAGACTGAGACCCTTTCATAAAAAGAACAAAACAGCAACACCAAAAAAAAAAAACCACTCGACAAACTAGGAATAACAGAGAACTTCCTCAACCTGAAAAAGGGTATCTATTAGAAACTCACAGCTAACATCATACTCAATAGTAAAAGACTATATATTTTTCCTCCTAAGATAAGGTACAAGATAAAGATGTCTGATCTCACCACTTCTATTTTGGAGGCCACCTCACTTCTACACTGAGGTTCTAGCCAGAGCAATTAGGCAAGAAAAAGAAATAAAAGGCATCCAGATTGGAAAAGAATAAGTAAAACTATTTCTATTTGCAAATGACATAATCTTGTATACAGAAAATCTTAAGGAATCCACAAAAAATACTATCAGAGATCATAAACGAGTTCATCAAGGTTGAAGGATACAAGATAAATATACAAAAAATCAATCGTATTTTTATACATTAGCAATGAACAATCCAAAAATTAAATTAAAATGTTTCACATCATTTTGTCCCAAATACATTCCAAATTTCCAATCCATAAGCTGCATCTATAACTCATCCCAATGACTTTCATTTCTGGCTCTTGGAAAACCACTTGTAATTGTACCCTAAGCTACTACAGGTTCCTTTATTTGATTAACAAATGCTTACCAAGTGCTTCCTATATCTCAAGTGCTGGGGGAAACAGTAGTGAACAAAGAATCCCTGCCACTCCCATCATGAAACTCACACTCCAGTTGGGAATACAAGACAACATACAAATGAACAATAAGGACAACTTCTGATAGTGCTAAGTGCCATAACAAACATAAAACAGAGAAGAGAGATGCAGGCTCATGGGAGGATGGGATGTGCTTTAGATACAAAGATCAGGGAAGTCTCCCTAAGGAGGTGACATTCTAACAATGCGCCAAATCAAGAAGAAGGATGGTGGGGATGACTCTTTCTGTGTAACTGAACAGCATGTGTAAGAACCCTGGGGTGGAAAAAAGTTTCATAAATTCTGGAAACAGCCGGCATGCAAGGTAAGCAAGAAGGCTAGTCCTGGAAGAAAGACAGAAGCTGGATCATGTGGAATCTTGCAGAACATGGTCCAGAGTGAAAGCTTTATCCTACATGTAATGTGATGCCATGGGCAGGGAGGGGAGGGGGATGAAGGGGATGAAGGAAAGTGATGTAATGACTCTAGTTCTTTGTGAAATAATTGGTCAGAAATGCTCAACTTAAACACATGCTTACATCATCACTTGCTGGGTGGCCCTTGGTATGTTGCCCTACCTCTCTGGGTCATTATCTAAATTATCACAACTTCCTCCCAGGGTTTCCAAATAACTAGCAGATGATGTACTTGAAAGCTCTTTGCAAACTGACAATGGCTGCTGTGTCTATGGCCATGCCACCCTGAACGTGCCTGATCTCATCTGAAAATGGCTGCTGAACATATAGCAAAATTATCATCCTCCTCACTGAGGCCTTCCCTAATATCCTAGAACAGAAGTGATTTCTTTCTCTAGAAACAAAGAGCACTTTATCTGTCAACCTGCTTTCATACTCATCACTTCCTATCAATTATAAGCATTACACCTATGTGCCTTATAACTTCCTCTAGACTATAGATTTGTGTGTGTGTGTGTGTGTATGTGCGTGTGTAACAGGGTCTCACTCTGTCACCCAGACTGGAGTGCAATGGCACAATCACGGCTCACTGCAGCCTTGACCTCCCCAGGCTCAGGTGATCCTCCTGCCTCAGCCTGCAAAGTAGCTAGGACTACAGACACACGCCACCATACCCAGCTAATTTTTTTGGTATTTTTTGTACAGATGAGGTTTAGCCATGTTGCCAAGGCTGGTCTTGAACTCCTGGGTTCAAGCAATCTGCCCACCTCAGCCTCCCAAAGTGTTAGGATTATAGGTGTGAGCCACGGCACCCAGCTGACTATAGATTTTTGACCGAAATCTTACCTTTGCAGAATTGATCACTCCCTATATGTGGCTCCCACTGCCTCCAATCCAGGCTACAATCAGAGCATCTATATCATTTTACAGCAATTGATTATTTACATTTCCCTCTTTGTCACTGGATTATGAATTCCTTGAAGGGAGGTTCCACATCTTGTTTATATCTGTACCTCCAGTGCCTACATCACAAAAAAAATAAGGGGAAGCTTTTCATGTACTTGCAATTTCCCTTTTCTCTACTGATCCAGAAATACTCTCCCCAATGACTGAGTAGAATAAGCACTTTTATAGTATTTAAACTACTTTTGAAAACACAGAGCTTAAAAACTTTGGCAACATGGATTTTTATATAACAAACGCAATTTTTGGAAAATAATATAAAGCAGACCCACTCCTTATCTGAGGGGGATACATTCTGAGACCCCTAGTGGATGCCTGAAACCATGGATGGAGCTGAGCTCTATATACACTGTGGTTTTTCTATACAACTATATCCATGATAAAGTTTAATTTATAAATTAGGCACAGTAAGAGACTAACAATAACCACTAAGATAGAACAGGTATAGCAGCAAACAGTAATAAAAGTTATGTGAATATAGTTTTGGTCTCTCTCTCTCAAAATATACTATCATACTATATTCACCTATTTTCAGAATGCAGGCAACTGCAGATAACTGAAACCACAGAAAGCAAAACCGCAGATAAGGGTGGACTACTGTACTAAATTTAACAGATCAGGTAGAAATTGTCACACCTGGCAAAAGGTTGCTACCCATTTTTTTTTTCTTACCATACAATTTCAAGATAGTAGTAAAAAACTTTAATGGTCAGCTCTGCTTCCTCACTTCTGATAACAATTCCCTGCTTCCAATAGTCTGAAGATTTGAATTTTCATTTGTCTTTAAAAAAAAAAACTTTTTTTTTCTTTTTTCTTTTTTTTGAGACAGCGTCTCGCTCTGTCACCCAGGCTGGAGTGCAGTCGCACAATCTTGGCTCACTGTAACCTCCACCTCCCGGGTTCAAGCGATTTTTCTTCCTCACCCTCCCGAGTAGCTGGGACTACAGGCGCGTGCCACAACGCCTGGCTAATTTTTGTATTTTTAGTAGAGACACGATTTTACCATATTGGCCAGGCTGGTCTCGAACTCCTGACCTCATGATCTGCCCGCCTCTGCCTCCCAAAGTGCTGGGATTACAGGCATGAGCCACCGCGCCCCGCTAAAAATACATTTTTTAAGTAGTTGACAATCTACTTAAGTGCACACTTGCACTTTGGGGCAAGTGTGCGAATATTTCTTTCTACCCTTGTGGTCAAAGAGACTTGAGATGATAAATACTTTGAACCATGCTAAACCACAAACACATTGCAATGAATGTCAGCTCAACTGAAAAATTCCTAAAGTTGAGTCAATCCTTAAAAAGATCCCCTGAAGAGCTCTCCAAAGAAAAACAGAAACTGTTTTCTTTTCCCTGATCAGAGAGGAAGACAGGAGAAAACATCTTTTACTTGGGAAAAAAGTCATATTAATAGGAAAGCACACAATACTAAAGTATTAACCAGATATGTTACAGTTTAGTGCTTTAAACGCTAAGAAAACTTAAATGTTTTATTTCTATGTAACTTCCATATTCATACAGGATGGTGGAAAGCCAGAACAGTGGTATTTGTTAACATGCAAGTTAGCTCAAGTCAACTCCTTGAGAAGGAATTTCATGACAACACCTTTAACTAAATGAATACTTATCTCAAAATCTGCTCTATCTACAACTCCATAAAAAAGACCCAGAATATGGTCTAGGAGGCATTTACAGTTCTCACCCCATCATTTTATTTTGAACCAATAATATCATCTATTTAAAGCACACATCCAATCAACCAATTCCTAGCACCCTAAGGCCAAGAACCACCACTTATATGCATGTCTCAGTCATAAGGCCATGGCCAGGGTCTTTGGGCACATTACCAAAATTTGAGTAACTTCTCCAATTCCATGATTTATTGCCCATTACTTGAAAATGCTGCTCTCCATCCACCTTCTGTTGAACAAACATTTTAATATCGGACTTCATTTCTGGCATGGTAGCCCATCAGCTTGACAGAAGGGCCCTTGAAAGGCTAAGGAGCCTAAAGCTGAAGACATGTTACACTTAAACAATGCCAGTTAACACAGAGAGCCTCTAGGAGATCCACTGGAATCTATCTTTTATTATGACTTCAAAAATGCCATAGGCTTTCTAAAGAATCTACAGTAAACTTTTACCCTTTTTCTCCTTCTTACCTGAGACCGCAAAAGCAATATCAGTTACAAGGTTTAGGAAGAGAGTGCCTTCCTGTCAATGCCCACAGCTGGCAAGGAGCTTTCTTCACAAAGACCTCTCTCTACTACACCGTGGAGACTTTGTCAACTTTGATGTTAAAACAAAGCAGCAGCGCAGATGAACAGCTAGCAATTAATTTCACAGCAATTAAACCTAATAGTGTCTGTCCTTCCTAGGACCCTCTTTTACCCAGAAAACATTTGAGGTATAAATCTAACTCAGGGGCCGGGTACAGTGGCTTACACCTGTAATCTCGGCACTTTAGGAGACCAAGGCAGGCGGATCACAAGGTCAGGAGTTTCAAGACCAGCCTGGCCAACATGGTGAAACCTCATCTCTACTAAAAACCCAAAAATTAGCCGGTCATGGTGGTGGGTGCCTGTAATCCCAGCTACTCAGGAGGCTGAGGCAGGAGAATCACTTGAACCCAGGAGGCAGAGGCTGCAGTGAGCTGAAATTGCGCCATTGCACTCCAGCCTGGATGACAGAGCAAGACTCCATCTCAAAATAAAAAATAAATCTAACTTAGGACACCTGGAAGTTCATGCAGGTGCCCCGAGTGAACTGCTTGAAGGCACAAATGCCTCTATTTCCCAAGTGTCCCTCCTACTTCTCCCTAAACTTCCCAAATGAAATCAATAAAAAGCAACATCATGGTGAAAATGCATGGCAGACGTTTCACTGAAAAACAGCCCACATTACCTACCGTCTTGGAGAACATATGTGGTATGTTTGTTACAAGCACAGCTTTAAACAGACCTGGGTGTTTACCAACAAAGATGCTTATGAGTCGAGAGACTGTGATCAAGTTACTCAAGCTCAGTTTCCTTTCCTTCCTTGCAAAATAGGGGTGATTCTTATCTTGCAGGATTTGTGGATGAATAAATAAGCAGTATGGCACAGGGTCAGAGATGGATGAGTGGTAGCTGTTCACCTCCCCCTACCTTACCCCACCTCCAAACTGCTTCACCTTAACCACACCTTTTCCCCAAATCCAAATAATTTACCATCACCACCAACATTATATCATTAGAAGTTGACAGGGCTGGGTGCAGTGGCTCTTGCCTGTAATCCCAGCACTTTGGGAGGCCAAGGCAGACGGATCACCTGAGGTCAGAAGTTCAAGACCAGCCTGGCCAACATGGTAAAACCCTGTCTCTACAAAAAATACAACAATAACAACAACAACAAAAATTAGCTGGGTGTGGTGGTGCACACCTGTAGTCCCAGCTACTCGGGAGGCTGAGGCAGGAGAATCACTTGAACCAGGAGGCAGAGGCTGCAGTGAGCCAAGACCATGCCACTGCACTCCAGCCTGGGCAACAGAGTGAGACTCCATCTCAAAAAAAATAAATATATAAAAATGAAAAAATAGATAAGAAGTTGACAGGGCAATGTTGCTAGAAAAGAGAAAAATTACAAGCAAAGGGAAAGAGGGAAAACATTTATGTTCAAGTTAAACAAAAGAGCCACATATATCTAATTCTTATTTGTCTTATTCCCCAGTGCCTAGCACACAGCTAAATCCACAGTCGGCACTCCAACATATACTTAGAGCATGAAAGACGATGCAATATGGAAATAATGGCTTAATGTTGAGACTAGGGATATATCTGTCTGTCCATAAATCCTGGCTTATCTCAGTTATCTAAACTTAAGTTCTAAAGTATGACCCAAAAATGTTGGCACTCCTCCATGTCAGCCAGTGCTCTCTTCACTCAGGAATGTTTGACCAAAGGGCAGAAAGATTTTCCTTTGGCTTGGTTTACAATGAAGCTGCAAAACATTAAACCACACCTCATTTGACCTTAACAAACCTAGGACACAAGAGAATAGATTTATTCATTTCCCCCCAAGTTCTCTCACTACTTGATTCTTTCATATTTTAAACTTATTTTAATGACCTTCTACTGCATTCAGCAAATAAAGAATCCTCCCATTGATAATTAAACACCTGCTAATTCCTACAAAAGCATTCTAAAATTTAAAAAAGTGAACAGTCTGATGAATAAAACATTCCCTTTATTCCATGGGGCTGAGTTCAAATAAAGGAAAATGGGTCATTAAATAAAACCTGTCAGTTCTGTGAGACCTGGTTGTGCAGTTAGTGACCATATTTATACTTAGATTACTTTGAGGTAAAAAGGTTACATATTTAAATATTCATTACCCCACAAATACTTAAAAAAGAAGTAGGCCTGATAAAGCCAGCAGCCATCATAAAGAATAGAACACAGGTAAGTCATTATGTTTTAACTTTCTATTGTATTTCCAACATTCAGAGATAGAAGAGTCCCCACATAACCATTCCCTTACCCTCAACAATTATCGTATCAGGCAAATTTTATGTTTTTTTACCCCAAATCACACCTTACTCCAACCGAATTATCCTAAAGCAAGTTCCAGACATCATAATTTCCCTATAACTAATGCAGCATCTGTCACTAAAAGATACGGACTCTTTTAAAAAGTATAATTCCAACACTACTATTTTGCCTGTACTTAAAAGTGACAATAATTCCATAAATCAGGTAACATCCAGTACTCAAATTTCCCTACTTCAAAAAAAAAAATTTGCTTTTAACATTGATTTGTTCAAATTCAAAGTCCACACACTGCATTTGGGTGACAGGTCTCTCAAGTCTCTTTTAATCCAAAGGCTTTTCTCTGCCTCTTTAAGCCATTCCATACATAAATTGGATATAACAGGATCATTTGTAGTGTAGAATTCCCCTCATTGTGGGTTTTGCTGATTGCATCCAGGTGTCCCATTTTACATCAGGCTGTATCCCCAGCATTTGATCAGAAGCTTGATCTTGATTTGAGTTACTATTCCTTTTTCTAAGAATATATCCTAGGTGGCCATGTGGGCCATGAAAATGAAACTGGATGGCAAATGTAAAATACATTTAATAATCTGCCAACCAGCCTTCTCCCCCACCAGCCTTTACTCCTAACACTGCTGGGAAGTTGAGCACCTGCCCCACTTTGGCACCCAGCAGCAGGATGTGTGCAGCAATAGTGAAGAGCGACACTCTTACTTCCCTGGCTGGGACTATGACTCTGAGAAGGTTCACGATTTGGTGGATACAGACAGTGCTAACCGCAATGTCATCTTTCTGTCTCACATTCGAATATTCCAATTCCTTGGTGTACGTGGGTTTTGAACGGTAATACTAAGTGGAAAAGACAACATTCAAGTCACCTACCCATTCCACATTCTGCCAGTATGGAAAATGCAACCCCTTATGTTTTGCGTTAAAGAAAAAATGGAATTCAGGCTACCAAATCCCTTTTTTAATGGCATACCAGCAGGCAAATACAGATTTTCCAGCAATAAGCAATTTCTACTATCACTGCTAAGGGAGGGAAAAGAAACAAAAAGCAAAACACAGCCTTTCTTTTTTGCTGCTGTCAGGATGGACAATTAGAGACTAGAATAATGCATTTTTAGTTTTTAAAAAAGCTTTATCAGGAAAAAGCTGCCATAAAGTAATTCATCTACGAAGCAATAAGAGATGCCATCAATTTTACCTTACACTTGAATCACACTCTTGATTCCTATTCAGCTGTATTTCAATTATGCCTTTTATTTGAAGACAAGCCCCTACAAACACATAATGTCGCCTAAAAGTGATCTCTCCCGCCCCCCCAAAAAAAAAAAACAAACAAACCCTGTTGGGACAGGAAAGTTATTTATTTAATGCATAAATGACTCTGCTTTGCTCAGGAGGTAATGGTCTCAATGCTTGAAATATTTGCATAGAAAAGGAAAGCAGCTGTAGGAACACTGGGTTTCAAGTTTAAATGGAGTAAGTTCTGCAACAGTAAAATCTTCAACATTTTTAAATTTTTATACACGGAATATGATTTAAGCAAGTCCCACCTTACTGAGCTTATGTTGGAGGCTGAAATGCTTAAGAGTGTTCTTAGACACATTAAATATCCCCAGGCAGCCTGTCTTGGGCACTCTGTAGTAGATACTCCAGGGCACCAATGGCCAGTAAATTCATCGAGAGCAGCAAACATCCCATGACGTGTATGACTATGACCACATCAACACTACTCTAAAGAGTATGGAATAATAAACAGAAAACCCTTGTATTTCCAAGTCACGGGCTTGAAACACACCCAAGTGAATACTCAAATCGAAGAGCGTCCTAAGAGCCGATCATTACCACCCTAAAACTAACTGGAAATGTAAATGGCCCCATTACAAGCCCTTAGATTCCAGAAGCTGGGTTTAGTTGATGGGTTTAAAATGTAAGAGATGAAAGTTAAAAGTCATTTATACAACAGGACAATTTTGGTGGGAAGGGAAGCAATTTTTCATGAAGAAGTATTTGATTTTTTTTATAAAGAGTTTCTGTAATCAGAAAAAGGGTGAGAGACTAAAGTTTGACTGATAATGTTACGTATGTACTGTGATGGGTCGAATCATATCCCCCCTTAAAAAAGGTATGTTGAAGTCCTAAACCCCATCTAGTATCTCCGAATGTGACCTTACTTAGAGATAGGGTCCTTACAGAGGTAATCAAGTTAAAATGAGGTATTAGGTTGGACCCTAATCGAATATGGCTGATGTCCTTGAAAAGAGAGAAAATATGAACACAGAGATATGCGTAAAGGGAAGATGACACAAAGTGACACAGGCAGAAGACAGCCATCCACGAGCCAAAGAAAAGAAAGTTGGACAGATCCATCCCTTCCAGCTTCAGAAGGAATTAACCCTGCTGACACCTTGACCTCAGACTTCCAGCCTCCAGAACTGTGAGACAGTAAATGTCCGTTATCTGAGCCTCCCAGTTTGTGGTCCTTTGTTATGACAACCCTAGCAAATAAATACACATCCCTATATTTGATAATGGTAACAGTCATTTAAAAAGAAAAGTAGTAGCTGCCAGTCACAGTGGTAAGTACTGTGTATGCACTATCACTGAATCCTTAGAATGACCCTAGAAGGTGAGTACTATTATGCTCATTTTGCAGATGCAGAACCTGAGGTTAAGTATCAGGAACTGCATTCTGCTGCTGCTATCAGAGGCTTAAACATATAAGGGTTAATTTTCTTTCATATAACAAGAAGTCTGCAGGTATTAATAGAACTCAGCACCCCAAAGATAGCCATGTCTTTGCGATGCCCTTGGGCTTTCCCTCATGGTCCCAAAATGGATGCTGTGGCTCAAACCACCACATCTACATTTCGTATCTAAAATGCAAAATGTGAAAAATCAAAAAGAGCATACTTCTTCTCACCTTCCAGTGTTCCTGGAAGCCCAAAACAACTTCTAGTTGGAACTCACTGACCATCCCTACTGGCATGGGAAGTTGGGAAATGTAGTTTTTTAGTTGGGTTCATTGCCATGCCTAATAATACAAGGACTCAGAAGGAAGGAGGAGGGGGTAGATTTTCATTCAGCATATCTAGAGAGGCCCAGGGAAGTTAAAAGCTTGCTCCGGTTCGCAGCTATTAAGTGGTAGAGTCGGGATTTAAATTCACAGGATTATCTTAATCCCCAACCCATACTGGGACAGGGGACCACCATGACATACTGCACTCTCAGCAAACCCAAAACCTTTATCAAGGGGTGGGTCCCAAGTGTAAAGGAATTAGAGAGGGTTTTGATCTGCTCCTGAGTTCAGTGGCTGCTCTTTAGGGGTTTCAGGTAAACTGAGCACCTGAATGCAAGGAGGCAGTGAGGCTAACAGAACTTTGGATATGCCTTCAAACAACAGCATTTCCGAATAAACACCAGCGGCTGTATTTGGTGCTTGGCAGTAAAATTTAGAAATAGACTCATGCTGCCTGCTCCTGTCTCCTCAGATGTTTTGTTTCTTCAAGTGATAGTTATAATCCTCAAACAGGTGAAGCCTTTCACAGGTAGCCCTGTATGTGACTTCTACAAACAGCAACTGAAGGTTTTGTGTCTTCTTTAATTGCTCCTTTTCAATTATAGAAGGCCTATTTATAGACATCCCCTCCACAGCATTGTCAATATTTTATCTCTGCTAACTGAAAGAGATTTTCTTTCCCAATTTTAGATAATATCACTTAAGAACCAAATTCTCTAGTCTGTTGCAAAGCTAAAGAAAACCAGGTGTAACCCCAAGCTATACCTACCTCCTGAACAAGTCATTCATTCCCCAGGGCTTTGGTGAGAGTCGGGAGCCTCTTCCTGCTCCAATGTTTGAAAATCCACTCTATGATCAAAGCCCTGCACTGGATAACCTTAAAGAAAGCAAGGCCTAGTTGTAATTAACCTCAAGGTCCTTCCCCCCGATTTCTCTGTGTTCTAGTCCCCCAACTTTCCTCTGCCTTAACCATGCAGTTGTTCTGTCCTCCCTAGTCATGCAGATCAGAACCTCGCCCAAGGAGGGATCTGAGTCTTGGGAATGCCATGTCTAAAAACAAAACATGGTAGGGCCAATGTATTCCACCACCAACTTGCCATTAGCTCCCACTGTCCTGATTCCTGCCCCTTCCAAGGTTTGGTATCTTACGATTCTTAGACCCTGAGCAAAAAAATCTATCATACCCTTCCAAATCCAAGTGTTGGCTCATGTCAGTCATAATCCATTCTATTGTTTACAATCAAGGAAACCCTGTGATATCAGCTTGATGTGCCTGTGAGATATTTCCCTGATATTAAGATACACAGTGGAATACCAGTCTCTCCATCAGCTCCAGGGGGTGATGCCTGAAATTCTAGAACAGGAAAAATATGACATTATTACTTTTATTAAAAGCAGAAAAATAATACTGTCCCTTTTTTGTACTTAGGGTGCAAATGTACCTTCTTAAAGACAATTTGGGAAAAAAAGAAGTGACTATGGCACTTAATGTGATTCATTAAGAGGCAGTTACTAACTGGAAATAACCAAAATATATTTCCCTTCACCTTTGCTTAGTAATTTACACAATTTATACATCTTGTCTACTAAGGTAAGACTATTACTGAAGGCACAAAACCAGAAAACAGATTCCAAAAGACACGAAAAGTTTTACCTTGTTCAGTTATAAGGATTTGCAATTATTTGTATAATAAATCAGAGAAAAGCACTTTCCATTGCAAGAGGAAAGTAATTTACAAGATTTGTAAATCCTTGTTAATTAGTAAAATTAGATCTTTACCTGCAGTGTCTGAAATTCCGACAACATAATCTTTCAAATCAAAATGGGTGGCAGGTCCTAAAATACGTACTGCAATCTGTCACTTAAAAATAATAGCAAAAAAAAAAATTATCATCCAAAGTGACTGACAACGGAAAACTACAGAAATGTACCAACTTCTGTTAGGCACTAATTACAAATAGCAAACTCTCCTTCCTGAAATCCTTCCAGCTCCCCCTTCTTTACCTTGTGCAATTTCAAAGCAAGTCTTCTGATGCAACCAAAAGCTAAGGTTTGAAGAACTTAAACACAAAAATGTCTTTTTACCTGACAACTAAAAATTAGTTATTTGATTACCTGTTGAGCGAGGTGTTGGAGAGGGAGGCAAGAAAAGTCAACCACAAAATAAAGTGAAGACTTGGTTTCCTCCCTCTAGAAAGTTAACTTAGGCGGGAAAAGGAAAGTAAAAGAACACCTAAGTGAAAGATGTATGCCCCGCAAATACTGTACCATCTGTTATTTTGGTATCTAAGATGCTCTGAAGTTGAGTGATGACTTTCAAGAAATACTTTCAGGACTTCCAAGAAGGACAGGGACTGTGGAGATAATAATTACCCCAAAATTAAATGGGCATGTACACAATGCCAGACCATGTGCTGGCTATTTCCCGTGTTCTCTACTTAATTCTACAGAGAACCACATACATTAGCAACGATCTCCACTTCACAAATAAGAAAACAGAGAATCAGAGGAACTTACCAGCTTGCCCACCAATCACCTAACCAGCATAGTTTGGATGAAGGGACATATCTATTGATTCATTCATTCACTCATCCAAATACTATAATTATCCTAACTTCAAATCTCATACTCTTAGCCCACAAACTCCAACTGACCTGAGAGGATAAATATATTTGGAAAATACTGTGTCCCAATCTCCCCTGGCACGAATAAAGGAAGAACAGAAAGAGTGAAGGAGTTAAGGAAGACAGAGAGAGAAAGAGGGAGGAAGCGAAAAAAACAAAATTGCTGAGATGAATCAGAAAGTAAACTTCTAAAGCACAGTATCCAGGTAAAACATAAGAGGTGAGCTTTAGTTGACTTAAGCTATTTCATGCCTACACCCCACACCTGGGGAGAAGAACTGCTGCTGAAATGTTTAGTATTAATCCAATCCCATCTATAGCACATACCACGTAATCAGTAAAGTTTCAAGGTTAAGTCATTTATTTTAGCAAGATCCCTGCAGGATGGAAGGAAGGACGGCCCAACATTCTCCAGTGCCAGCCTCGTCACCTAAGGCAGGATTCCTGCTGGTCATTTCCAGCACTGAGTATCCAGGGGTGCATAAGACAATTCAAAGGGGATGTGGGAAACAATATTTAGCCTTCTATATCCAGAATAGTTTTGACCTCATGCTTTACATTTTTAAGGTTTTATAATTTTCATAGGATTTTAGTATAAGAACATAACAGATAAATAAATATACACACACACACACACACACACACACATATATATATATATATATACACACACACACTGGGGCATGGGTCCAAATTTTTTTTTGCTGATAAGGCAATGGGATCAGTGAAGACCACTGATCCACACTACGCTTATTAAAAGAGTAACTGTAAGGCCGGGCGCGGTGGCTCACGCCTGTAATCCCAGCATGTTGGGAGGCTGAGGTGGGAGGATCACCAGAGGTCAGGAGTTCCAGACCTGCCTGGCCAACATAGTGAAACCCTGTCTCTAGTAAAAACACAAAAACTAGCTGGGCATGGTGGCACACACTTGTAATCCTAGCTACTCGGGAGGCTGAGGCAGGAGAACTGCTTGAACCTGGGAGGCGGAGGTTGCAGTGAGCCAAAATCGCACTATTGCACTCCAGCCTGGGTGACAAGAGCGTTAACTCCATTTCAAAAAAGAAAAAAAAAAGTAACTGTTAACTTTAAGCATCTTCAACTGACAAACCAAATGACATTACTTTGGAACTGCTCCATTCACCGGACGAGGAACAAAAAAAACCCTCAAGTTTCATTTCAGTCTCTCCTTGAAAGGTATTTGATTCCTGGCGGATTCCAGGTGCAAATAATGGTTGACCATTACAAATCTGTGAGGCCACCTCATTATGAGTTCATATGGCAACCAAATCCCATTTTCCCTCTGCAAATTCAATCCGCATCAATAGCCCCATATATCACTGGCTACTGCTGTTGGCTGCCTGATTTTGAAACATAAAATTTTTTTTGAAAGATTACTGCCAACACGTAATAGGCAAACTGCAATTTCAATTCCCTACGCATGTGCTTGAAGTAGGGGGGACACACAAGCTACAAAATGTAAATGAACCCTGTTGTTATCAGCTGTTTAGAGGCCCCATGACATCTTCCTCCCTTATTCGTCCAGTCACGTAGGGCAGGGAAAAAAAAAATCAGAAGTGCCATCATTCAAGAAAGTCCTTTTATTATTCTACTCAATACTAGTTCCCTTGTCTCTTAATTTTCTGAACTGTGTATACAAAATGCAACAAAATGAAGCAGTAGTGGCTCTACACAGCCAATCTTCATTAGGCAGAGCTCAGCGTGAAGGAGTAACACAACTGTGTGATGTGTTTTATTAAGATGCTTTCATCAGCACCTGTTTAATAATCCATCACTTAGAAGAGTTAACATTTAAGAGGTGATGTTTACCCAAAAAAAGCTAGACTTCCTAGGGTTCAAAACAGTCCATTTCCCCAAAGCCCATAAACAAATCCACTACCAGGTCTGTTGTAAACTTCTGGCTCTGTCCACAATACCAGTTACCTGCTATGCCACTAATTCATAGCTCACCTTCCTTGTTGACTTCTTCCAGAAAACACCATTTTCTATTAATTCATGTTTCATACACCCACCAGTACTATAATGGGAAGATAAAATATAGGAAGCCCATGTTGAACCCAAGCCCATTTTTGCAGTGAGACAAAAAGAGGCACTAGAGGCTCATTGTTCAGTGTTGGGTTTCTCAAAGGCTGCATTGCTGACATTTTGGACTGGATAATTCTTTCCTGCGGTGGCTGTCCTGTGCACTACTGGATGCCCAGCAGCATGCCTGGCCTCTACCTACCAAATGCCAGTAGCACCATCCTCCCAGTCCTGACAGTCGAAAATGCTTCCAGACATTGCCAAATGTCCCCTTGGAAGAGAACAAAACTATTAACCCTCCCTCAGTTACAAACCACTGGTCTCGTGGGTGTACATACTCATCAATAGGCAGAAATTGTATGTATATAGAACTCCATACAGAAATTCATTAAAAGCCCAGACTGTCAAGCCCATCCTTTTTGGAGCACAGAACAAAGCCATGTTTGCCTACCAAACAGAAGAAGGCTCTGTATGCTAAGGTACCTTTTCTTTTTTTAATTTTTGAGACAGGGTCTTACTGTTTTGCCCAGGCTGGAATGCAGTGGCATGATCACGGTTCACTGTAGCCTTGATCTCCCAGGCTCAGGCAATCCTCCCACCTCAGCCTCCCGAGTAGCTGGGACCACAGATGCGCACCAACACACCAGGGTAGTTTTTAACTTTTTTTTTTTTTTTTTTTTTTTTGAGACAGGATCTCACTATGCTGCCCAGGCTGGTCTCGAACTCCTGGGCTTAAATGGTCCTCCTGCCTTGGGCTCCCAAAGTGCTGGGATTACAGGCGCGAGCCACCAAGCCCAGCCTAAGGTACTAATTATGATCACTAAAAGTGTGATGGTCAAAAGTACTCTTTATAATAACAATGAATACTGTCATTTTTTACTGTATTGACTCTCATCAACAGAAAGTCTCTGGAAAGTTCAGCTTTATGAGCCAAAATTTTTTATCTGATCAATTGTTTAAAAAGGCCTTAAGAAAAATTTCTTCAGAGCTAAACCCCTTTAACAGAAGATGGATATGCTGTGACATTTAGTTTCAAGGAAAGAAAGAGGTTACCGTTTTTTTCCCCTCGACATCCACTGCTAAACTTCTGCAAACCAATACTAAAAAAGACAATTTTTATTTAACAGTTAAAGAAACCAGCTTCCAAAAGCTCAATTGCCATCTGCAATTATAATCAGGCCCAATTTAGAATACCCCACCATGCTTTAGTCTTAATTAAAAATGGCACATCCTTGCAAGGGAATGCAATGTGAATTCACAATTCAAATGTGAGCAGGACACACACACAGGCACACACACCCCCCTCTCATGCTGGAGTCTAAGCTTGTGAGACTTAACTAATTTACCAGTTTCTTAATGGATATAACTTCAGTATAAACTTTATTTAATTTTTTATATTTTAAATTAGAAAGGCATGTGGATTATGTTAAGACAATTTGCCAGAAATACAAATGGATTTTTTTAAGCCTGCCATCTTTCACATAGCACATGGCTGATCCTGTATTCCAGCCACTATTATCTTTACTCTGCATAAAAAAGCACACGGCTTCAGTGTAATATTTCCACTGATGCAAGAATAGTTCTTCCACCACACTAAATACTAAGATTCTCCAAGTACCACCTGGCCGCTTTGTAAGCTTAATAATTAGTTATATAGTGTACCTGCACATTTATAATTCAGTGAAATTTTTAGATTTCAATTCCTTAAAATGGTCTGCAGCACTATCAGACGTTTTCCTACAGGACATTAATGCAGATACTATCTGAAAAATACGATACAAGCTCTTACTGTCAGTCAATGTCATTTGCCATTTAAAATATGACACAACAAAGAAGATATAGAAGGCAGGCCCTAAGAACAACACAGGCACACCTTTAACTCACAGAAGTAAAGAGACCGTTTTCGTATCTATCCACTGTGTGAGGACTCCTTGTAAAAATCCAACTTCTTCCAAAATTCTTCAGTGTTAGATTCAGGTTCCCTTGCTGGAGCCGAGCCTCTGGCAAGGAAGGCAAGAGGGAGGTTGAAAGCTGTAAACAATAAGCTTGCCTCCCCGGTAAGCCTGTAAAATTAAGCCTTTCTCAGTTGGACAATTGGTTTTATATAGCTAATCAGGAAGAAAGAAATGAAGGCCATCTGGTTCTTGGAAGTTCTGTATCTGATTAACACTATCTTCTTGAAAGTATACTTCCTACATACAAGGAGGCAAGAGAAAGCAAAAGGAAAGGAACACCCTTATAAATGGCCTGTACACCCTGAGCAACCCACATGCCGAACAAGTCCCTGACTATTTTATCCAGAAGCAGTAGAAGAGCCATTAAATACCGACACACCCTGGCTGGACAGACCTCATTTAGATTCTACCACTTATTAACAAGTTAGCCCTTGGCAAACAAGTTGACCTCTCTATAGTAGACTGGGTAATTGGCCCTGTCTGTATCCGGGTCCTTCTACAGGCAACTTTGCAGTTCCTCCCACACAGTGTAATTCCTGTCCCTTGACTTGGAGCTTGACCATGTGACTTGTTTCAGTTGGTAGCTTAACTTCAAGAGTGAAATCTTTTATAACATTGTCCCTCAAATACCAAGGGCAGGGATGCAGCTAGCCTCGGACACAAACCAGGATCAGGCACACAATCCTTTTACCAAAACTCCAGCAGTCCTCTTTTGCTATCTTCTCTGTCTACCTACTTTATGCCCCTCTTACTGAGTTTTCTGTTATCTTCCGGCATCGATGGTGGAAAGTCAACTACCAACAACACCCTTTCTGTTCCTAGGTTTAACAGAGCAGCACCCCTGCAGCAGCAGTGCCTCAGTCCCAAGATGGGTGCAGAGCTGGGGTGGGGCAGAGTCCTCAGGGTTGCCACATAAAGTTGCGTATTAACACAAAGGTGTCCGGTCAATTGAGAGAATGAAATCTAGCCAACACACCCTGCTTGCCAAGCCAAGTACTTTGCCATGGGGCTGCCCTCCACCAGGAGGAAGACATGCCTTATTCTGCAGAAGAGTACCGTCTGTCCAGAAGGGGTAACCAAGTGAGACGAGGAGGGTGTCTATATGGCAGGGAGAAGGGCTTGGCGTGGAGGTTGGTGTTTGAGGGAGTTGAGAAGTGTCTACACGGAAGAGTATTCCAACACACAGTGGGATGGACTGAGTAAATAAACATATTCAAAACAGTCGGAGCCCAGTTTCACCTTGTCACAGAAGGAGTCCCACAAATCCATGAAAGAGAAAACTAAAATAAAGCATGTGTTGTTGAACTTGTGAATGTTAACAGACATACAGATGTTAATGTGTGTATATGGACATGGACATACATACTTAACCCATAGATTTGTCCACTAAAAGGGCCTGGGGGCTGCAATATCCCAAGATATGCTCAGATGTTGGTTTCTAAATACCATTCTCAGCCGGGCATGGTGGCTCGCGCCTGTAATCCCAGCACTTTGGGAGGCCAAGGTGGGCAGATGACCTGAGGGCAGGAGTTCAAGACCAAGGTAGCCAACATGGTGAAACCCCCATCTCTACTAAAGATACAAAAATTAGCCTGGCATGGTGGCACATGACTATAATTCCAGCTACTTGGGAGGCTGAGGCGGGAGAATTGCTTGAACCCAGAAGGCGGAGGTTGCAGTGAGCCGAGATTGTGCCACTGCACTCCAGCCTGGGAACAGAGCGAGACTCCATCTCAAACAAACAAACAAACAAATAAGTAAATAAATACTAGTCTCCTCTAAAAGAAATCAGAGCTCTTTGGCTCCTCAGCTTCTTGGCCAAATCCAGAGCCAGGGCCGGCAGAGTACAAGATGAACCTGGAACTTCTTGTTCTAGACAGTAAGGAATTACTCAAATAATGATGGGGACATGTCAAAAGGACACAGGAACCAGCTGGCAAGAACTCCCACTATCTAAATGTGGAGAGATCTGAGCATCAAAATAATGATGGTAACAGACTATAACCCAAATAAAATAAAAATCCATCATCCAAACTGATGAGGATTTATGGATTAAGTCAAATAAAGAGTAAGTTGAAAGTTTATGGAAAGCAGTCTCAAAGTACCTGCTCAAAACACACTTATTACAAAGGGAAAAAGAAGAATAAGTTTAAGTGGGGAAGCCTGGCAGATGCTGCCTTATCAAGTGATCAAAGTTAACACCACCAGCAATGGGACAAATCAAATCACCTGATAGGATTGAAAGGCCCAGAGCACCACTCCGCTGGTGTTTCTGTCCCAACGCATAACCTGAACGTAATCACGAGGAAACCTCAGACAAACCAAAACTGAGTGACAGTCTAGCTAAACAACTGGTGTGTTACCTTCAAAAGTATCGAGGTCATAGAGGCCAAGGAAATTCCGAGAAACTGTTCCAGACCTGAAAGAGACTAACAACAGACACGTGATTCTAAATGGTTCCTTCTGTCATTGGGACAATTAGGGCATATTTGAATGAGTTCTGAGGATTAGACAGTAGTGTGGTATAAAGTTAATTTCACAATACTGATGGATGTATTGTGATACACGACTGTTCTTGTTTGTAGGAAATACACATTCAAGTGTCCAGAGGGGACAGGGTGCCAGGCTGGCAATGAATCCAAGTAGTTCAGCGAGGAAAAGTTCTTTTATGTTGTTACAATTTTTTCCATCTTTTTAAAACTATAACGGGTGGAGCGCATGGTGTGTTTGGAAGCGGTAGGTTCTTTCAGAAGCTGGGTGGGAAAGTCACTCTGAAAGAAGACACTAGAGCTGAGATGTACAAGAGAAGGAGCTGCCACATACAAATCCAAAGGGCAGACATAATAATGAGGATGCTAATTTTATAACAAAACTGTGCCACAATCTATACAGTGCTACTGAGCTCAAAGCAGTGGTCTAAAATTCCTTCTATATTTTAATTCATTCATTCCTCAACAAAAACCTAATTAGAATTATTAAGTATTATTAAAGTAGGCTGGGCACAGTGGCTCACGCCTGTAATCCCAGCACTTTGGGAGGCCAAAGCGGGTGGATTGCTTGAATCCAGGAGTTCAAGACCAGCCTGAGCAGCATGCTAAAACCCCATCTCATAAAATACACCAAAAAAATTAGCTGGGCGTGGTGGTGCACACCTGTGGTCCCAACTACTTGGGAAGCTGAGGTGGCAGGATCACTTGAGCCCCAGAAGCAGAGGTTGCAGTGAGCCGAGATCACGCCACTGCACTCCAGCCTGGGAAAGATCCTGTCTCAAAAAAAAAAAAAAAAAGGTATTATTAAAGTCAAATTATTATTATACCCAACTTAAAGATGAGGAAACTGGGACACAGAAAGGTTTTAGTAACTCACTCAAGGTCATAGGGTTGGTTAGTAGCACAGCCAGGATTGGAATCTACCAGTTTGACTCCAGAGACTATACTTAATTACTCTGCCATTGTGGCAACCCCAAGCAACTAACAGAAGGATGGGGAGGCACAATGGAGCCAGGCCTGCTGAACCATCCCAGCCATGAAGGCTGGAGCTAGTGAGTGAGTGAGTGAGGAACAACAGGCGAAGAGGTGAGAGGCGGAGGCAGGCCCATGGGTGAGAGTTTGGATTTTTTCATCTGTACTAGGAAGATGTTTCTAAAAGGAGGAAGATCACTTAGAGGGCTACCACCATATTTTAACCCAGGGAGGATGGTAGCTCACCAAGTCAATAGCAGTAAATTTAGAGAGCACTGCTCAGGGAGATTCAAGATTTATTTGGGAGGTGAAACCAACAGGATGTGAGGATCATTCTAGAAAGCCATGCCCTGAGATTACTCTAAATTCCTTGGATTAGTCTCCGCACACAGAGGTCACAGTATATTGCTCATGGTTTTGTGTTGTGGTCACCTCACAATTCTTTCAACAAAATACAAAAGCACAACTGTAATAAACCACCTCTACCCTCTTCTATTAGGAGGTCTTCAGTAACCTAATAATGGATCATGGTTTTTGAGACTACACCATCTTCAATTTATATAACCATTTCCCCCTTAACAAACAATGCCCAGTTCATTCTGATTTCATAGCTTGCCTTCATACAAAGAGAATCTCTCCCACACAGATTAATTTGTTTTCCCTGAATCTCATCAAAGATTGTACCTGGCACTGTAATTGGGTGGGTTTTAAATAGATAATTTAACCTTGAGAGAATGTTCATTTGACTCAACACATCCTTCCAATCTAAGAAACACACAAATTCCCTTTCACCCCTGCATGTCTTTCTTTAATTGTGACAGCAGTGCTGAGAAATTCATCTTCAAAGAGCTGATTGAGCCACAAGGGAATATTAATACCTAAATATTGAAGCAATCCTGATGCTTTGCTTAAAGGAACGCTGGCTTTGCTAGATGAAAAGCTTCCAAAATGTCTCTGGTCTATGCCTTTAAAAAAAACATGATTTTAGCATATTTTCATCTCTCTGCATTAAGTCAGAAAGTAAAAGGCACAGTTTATTCCTCTTAAAAATAGAAAAAGCCCTTTGCTTTCTATTGCCAGCAAATGCATTTGCTAGGATTCTACTAGGCTTTTGAGTGTCCTAGTCTAAAGGGTGTGATTTCCCTTGAATATGGAGAAATAAATGTTCTTTTGACTCTGACAGTCTAAGCGTAAGCCACTCTGCTGCGCTATTGGTGGCTTTATGGAAAGCATTTCTCGTCGAAGGTGAGCACAGACAGCAAGGAATGGAGGGAGAGATTGAGACAAGCTGACCTGTCCTTTGTCATCCTCTGGTTCACAACAAAGGCTGTTCTACCAAAAGATTACAAGTGCGCACACACACACACACACACACACACACACAAATTAATTCCAGGAACCAGAGAATTCAGAACGAGTAATAGGATCCCATTCCCCCGAAGCTGATATCATCAAATTCTCTCACATGATTTACAACCTGGCAATCTATCTCTTTCCATTGATTATCCTGCCATTATGGGACATAACTGCTCTCTGCCCATTCCAAGAACTCTAAAGTGTTGCACTGAGAATACACTAATGCACCTTTAATGTAGAGAAGACGGGGGAAAAAAACAGAGGAACAAAATAGGCTAGAGAATGCATAAAGGTGAAGATCCTTTCAAAAGCAGTGGAGAAGTTAACAGCTTCTCAGAGAGTCCATCAGGCAATTCGTGCCCAGCACCTACCTGGGCTCACAGTGTTGACATTTCTAACTGGAAACAGGCCACATGCAGTACTGCCGAGAACTACCTACAACTGAACTGGAGGCACATGTGCATCTCACTTTAGGCAAAGGTCATCCAAGAGAACAGTTGCTCAACTGGATGGAATTGTAGAGTCACGACAAAGGTTACAGAAAGATGCTTCGCATTCCAAGAAGCTCACCAGAGAACCTCTTTAAATGAGAGCCTTCTCAACTGCACAGATTGCAACAGGGCTTATCAAAAGCCTTACAGTGGCCAGGCGTGGTAGCTCACACCTGTAATCCCAGCACTTTGGGATTAGGCCAAGGCAGGTGGATCACCTGAGGTCAGGAGTTCAAGACCAGCCTGACCAACAAGGTGAAACCCTGTCTCTACCAAAAATACAAAAATTACCCAGTCATGGTGGCAGGCGCCTGTTGTCCCAGCCACTCGGGAGGCTGAGACAGGAGAATTCCTTGAACCCGGGAGGCGGAGGTTGCAGTGAGCCGAGATAGTGCCACTGCACTCCAGCCTGGGCAATGGAGCAGGACTCCATCTCAAAAATAAAACAAAAAACCCTTACAGCAGGGGTTAACAAACTCTGACCTGCTGCTTCCTTTTGAATAGTCCTCATGTAAAGAAGGATTTTTATATTTTTAAATAGTTTTTTAAAAGTCAAAAGAATATTTCCTGACACATGAAAAGGATATGAAATTCAACTTCAGAGTCTATAAATAAAGTTTTATTGGAACACTACCATACCCATTCATTGATGTACTGTCTGTGGCTACTTCTGCACTACAACGCAGTGAGTATGTCCAACTGAGGCATATGGCCTGCAAAGTTGAAAATGTCTATTGGGCTCTTTACAGAAAATGTTCGCCAACCCCTGCCTTAATTGACCCACAAATTTGGGGAAAGCAGCTCCAAATAAACTGAAGGCCCACTAGAAAAATGTACTTACTAATGCAAGAAAAATCGCTCTTTTCCTTCTAAACAGGCTCCCTTCTCCAAAAAGTCTACTAGAAAAATCAGTAAATGGCACAACATACATAAAGTCCCCAAAAAAGCATTCAAGTTTTTTTTACTTACCAGTCAAGATGGTAGTTAACATTGAGTGGGAAAAAAATGAAAATTAAAATGATGAGAAAGGCACTGTGCTTGTCACTTTGTGTACATCTTTCCATTTGATCCACACAGCAAGGTTCTGAGGGATGGTTATTCACCTTATTCCAGGTAAGGAGACTGAACCCACAAGAAGCTGAATAACATTCTGATAAAGTCACAGCGGTATATGATACCTTCAGAGCTCAAGCCCACGTTTTACTGGCTCTAAGTCTCATACTTTTAAACTATTACAGGATGATTAGGATCTCTGTTCAAAAACTTGCTTTTGCCGTTTAGAAAAAGAAAGAATACACCGGACTCGGTGGCTCATGCCTGTAATCCCAGCACTTTGGGAGGCCAAGACAGGAGGATCACTTGCGTTCAGGACCAGCCTGGCCAACATGGCAAAGCTCCATCTCTACTAAAAATAGTTTTAAAATGAGCTGGGTATGGTGGCACACACATGTAGTGACAGCTACTTGGGAGGCTGAGGCAGGAGAATCACTTGAACCCAGAAGGTAGACAGTGCAGTGAGCCAAGATAGTGCAATTGCACTCCAGCCTGGGCAACAGGAGAAGAAAGAAAGAAAAACAAAGAGAGAGATAGAGAAAGAGAGATGGAGAGAGAGAGGGAGGGAGGTAGGGAGGGAGGGAGGGAGGGAGGCAGGGAGGCAGGAAGGCAATGAGAGAATAAGTAATACTCAAGTGAGTGAAACGAAAATAACTACCTACCTGTGAAAGGAATGGTCACTTAACAGAGGAATATTTGTCTTATTAAATGCTGCATATGCATTAGTGTTGAGCTCTTAAGTAACATTCAGTTCCTGTTCTTACTATCACCCTAAGTACAGCCAAATCTATGTAGGCAAACATACGATATAATCTCTTTATCCATCTGCTACGAAGACTGCTGGCTATAGCCCAGCATCTTTGCCCCATGGAGGCTCCTTTTCCTAAGCTTACCTGCCTGGGCAATTTTTTTATATTCAGCAGTAAATCACTTGTAATCTAAGAGACAATGACAATACATCTACCAAATGATTTGGGTCTTGCAAAATCTCTTAGCAAAGACTGATGATAGAGCCAGTAGTAGTACTGCAGATTTTATTACTGTTATTTTTGACTATGCATAGAAGTGAACACACAGCACTTAGACTGCGCCAGGCACTATTCCAAGCACATTAAATGTATTAAATGCATTAAACTGTTAATCCTCACATCCCTACAAAGTTGTACTATAATTGCTCTCATTTTACAGATTAGGAAACTGAGGCACAACAAGATTAAGTGATTTACCACTAGGTAGCCATGCTGGGATTCAAACCCAGGCAGTGTGGTATCGGAGTTCATACTCCTTACATCACATGCCTCACTGCCTCTCCATACTAGATACAAATAAAAACATTTTAAAGTGTGAAAATAATTTGTATATAATCAAAAGTTATCTGCATTATTAATAGAAGGGCTGTCTTTAATTGTTAACTTGTTGGAAAAAAGTTGGAAAGAATAATCTGTGTAAATTGATAGAAATAAGAAAACAAAATGCAATGCTATTTTATTTATTTATTTTGAGATAGGATCTCACTCTGTTGCCCAGGCTAGAGTGCAGTCACCGCAACCTGGGCTTCCTAGACTCAAGTGATCCTCCCACCTTGGCCTCCCAAGTAGCTAGGACTACAGGTGCACGCCACCACACCCAGCTAATTTTTTTGGTATTTTGTGTAGAGGGCGGTTTTGCCGTATTGCCCAGGCTAGTCTCAAACTCTTGGGCTCAAGCAATCCACCCAACTCGGCCTCACGAAGTGCAAGGATTACAGGCATGAGCCACCACACCCAGTCTTATTTCTTATTTTAAAAAAAGAAAGAAACATCTGGAATGATAAGAGATGTAGAGTGCTTGTAGTTGTTGGTGAACCACCTTTTCTGTTTGTACTACTCTTAAGAACCTGAAACTGTGGATGATACCACATACAACTCAGCTCTTCCTTGAAAGGCGAAGCTCCCTTCTCAGAAAACTCCACCAGAAAAATCAGCAAACAGCACAACATATATAAAGTTCCCCAAAAGGCTTTCTAGGTTTCTGACTTGGTAGCCAAGATGATACGTAGAAATGGAACAGGAAAACATGAAAATTAAAATGAGAAAGGCACTGTGCTCATCACTTTACATACATAACTTCATTCGACCCACACAGCAAGGTATAGAGGGATGGTTAGCCCAATTTTACAGATAAGGGGACACGGCCTAAGGGAAGTCCAATAACTTCCTATACCTTGATGAAGGTATATCGTCCTGAAGAGTAATTTTCATAAATGGAAAAGGTCATAGTTTAGTATCAATCTATATCTAACCCTCTCTAGAGACCAAAGGCTTCCGTATCATGTTCAGGCTGACCCAACCTCACACATCGAGGGCAAACACTGGTACTCCTGCCACTCCTCATGCTGAGCCCCCATGGCAGATGTAAGTGATTATGCTCTTCCCCACTGAGCCCAGACCTCAGATGGAGTATTATCTTGGATAATCCCCTAAAGGGACAATAGCAAGGGCTCAGCGTAAAGACGATGAAATCCTTCCATCATCTAGCCCTGAATTAGTGGCAGCTTAGCCTGGCATCAGGGAAAGCATCCTTTATCACCAATAGTTCATGAAGTCTAGAAATGGACTGAGGTCCCTCTCCTAGTCTGCTTCCCAGGCCGACTCATGCTGCCTTAAACAATAAAACATTTATTGTTTCACACAAATGGGAGTCCAAAGGAAAGGCAGGCTTCCAGAGCCAGCTGATTGAGCAGCTCAAAGAAGTCGAACAAGAATCCAGGTGCTTCCCTTCCCTTCCAGGTCAGCTCTCCTCAACCTTGTACCCTCAGGCTGGCAGCAGGATGGCTGCCACATGCAGTTGTGGGTGGCACATCCTGGCAGCACCCACAGCAAACAGAATACAGATTCCCAGGCTTCAAGGAAAGATGCAGCTCTCCACGGAAGGGCCCAGCACACACATCCTCCCAATTCCATTACACACGTGGTGAGATCACATAGTTGCTCCTGAACCAATCCTTAATGATGGCTGTGAACCAAATATAGCCAACCTGGAGCTAGGGTCTGGCTTCTACCCAACTGCTGGGCTTCTCCCTAGTGGCTCAGCTTCTCCCTTGCTGCTCAGCTTCTCCCTAGCTGCTCAGCTTTATGGAGGAGGACAGATATCTGTACAAAACCGAGGCTCTGTACGAAGAAGGAAGATAGAAATGGATGCTGACAAGGCATCAAACAGCATCCCCGATAAGCCTTCTGCCCTGGCAAGTTGCGGACCAGAGATCAAAACTGGCCACCCACAGGACAAGTCTAGCCAAAAGACAATTATTTCAGCCCTCATGCAGTAATAAAAGCTGAATTCATTAAAAAAAAATAAAAATTGGAAGTAATTAGGTAAAGTTTAAGATGTCTAGTTTCTCTGGAAATATTAGAATGATCTAACAATGCTGGCTCAAATTCCAACAGGGTAATCCTCACCCCAAGCCCAACCCCGCCAGGCCTGGAGAAGAGGCAAGTCGCGTCCAGTTCTCCACAGTCCAGCCCCTCGCTGTGGCTCTGCACCTCACTCTTTCACTTTAGCTTCCTGAGCCCACATGGCATTTATTTATTTGCAACCCGTTTCAGCCATCACAGAGACCCACTGAAGAAAGTGGGCCCTCAAACTGATAAAACCTGAATGCTACAACTTCCCCCTCCTGGCCTCTCCACAGAGAATGTCACTTCTAAAGAGAAGCAGGAGAGAAGAGTCAGATTAATAATTAAGTTTGTAGCCACTCTGTTATCTTTGCTCAGACCTTCCCTCTACCACTACCAAAACCAAAAAAAAGTAAGGTTTAAAAGAGTTTGTCGAGCTGCCTTTCTGTGGGAAAGAAAACTCCTATGAAATGAGAGCGGTAGCGATGTGGCTGAGCAGTCTCAGACTGACAGTAGTGTTTGATGCATCTGGTAAGTGTTTTGGCCCCAGGCATTTCAGTTTTAATGGATCCCAAAGAACACAGTTTGATCCGATTTCTGAATTCATATGGCATTTTCTCGGGACAATATTCTAAGTATTTAAAGGATACTCATGTCAAGGAGACAGAGGATTCACACCAAAATGAAAACCTAACAGGGACTGCTCTGTACCCACAGCTTTATTTCACAGGTGGCTGTCCATACCACTACAGTGTCAAGGAAGGAGGTACACAGAATACCAATTCTAGACCCCTAGAATGATAACCAAGTTGATCCGTGTAGGATGTGCTGGTCACTCTAAGTTCCAAAGTGGGCATGTGTTATCCTTACCTGCCCAAAGCTCCTTCTCTCACCTCTTGGCAGAGAGTCCTCTTTCCTAAGACAATGCTATTCCCTGAGGCTGAAGTGGGGGCTTTCATCCTCACTTCTATCACGTAGGTGGGGACGTCATCTGAGCCTGTTCAGTTATTGGTCCAGCTGAACGTGACCCAAATCTTGATCATTAAGAGTAAGGCATGATATCTGGTGCTATGGTTAGAGTGCCTGCCCTCCAAAATCCAGGTGTTGCCAATGTGATAGTAATAATAGTTAGGGCCCTTAAGAGGTGATGAGGCCCTGAGGGCTCCTCCCTGGTGAATAAAATTAAGGCCCTTATAAAAGAGGACCCACAGCGCCTCCAGGAAAGCTGCCTTTCTTCCTTCCACCATGTTGAGGGCAGTGTTCCTCCCCTCTGGAGGATGTAGCCCTTGCCAGACAAGGAATGCCTCCAGTGCCTTGATCCTGGGCTTCCCAGCCTCCAGAAGTGTAAGAAAATTAATTTCTCTTCTTTATAAGTTACCTGGTTGCAGATATTTTGTTATAACAACATACATGGACTGACATTGGGACACCAGAAGAACTTCTCTCCTTAGAAATAAGCTCTGTATATAGCTCCGCAGGAGTTAGGGATATTGCAGATGTATATCAATGGCCCTGATCAGCTGACTTTAATTTAATGAAGAGAATTTATTCTAAGTGGGCCTGACCTAATCAGGTGAGTCTTTTAAAAGAGACTACAAATAGCAGAGACACCCTGACACCCCGCACCCCCACCACCTTGTTGGCCTTGGAGAAGCAAACATCCACATTGTGGAGACAGCCACGTCGCAGGCAAAGGCAGGCATCCTTCAGGAGCTGAGGCCTCAGTCCTACAAACATGAAGCGCTACGTTCTGCTAACAACCAGCAAGCCTGGGAGAGAATGAGCCTCCGATGAGATCACAGCCCTGGCTGGCACCCTAATTTCAGCCTGAGCAGAGGACCCAGCTAATGCCCAGACTCATGACCCATGGAAACCGCAAGATAATAAATGTGTGTTGTTTTAGATTGCTGAGTTTATGGTAATTTGTTATACAGCAATAGAAAATGGATACACCACATGGGGTGAGGGGTGCCACCAACCAGGAAAATGGAAAAGACAGAGGTGGGACCTCATGCCCTTTTAAGGCAGCATGGCAGTGGGAGATGCCAAAGCCTTCTAGTTCTGGCAGCCAAGCTGTTCATATTTATTCACAAGTCAGGCTGGGTGTGGTGACTCACATCTGTAGTCCCACTGCTTTGAGAAGTGAGGCAGGAGGATTGCTTAAGGCCAGGAGTTCAAGACCAGCCTGGGCAACGTAGCAAGACACCATCTCTACAAACATAAAACTAGAAAACTTAGCCAAGCATGGTGGTGTGTGCCCGTAGTCCCAGCTACTTGGGAGGCAGAGGTGAAAGAATCACTTGAGGCCAGGAGTTCAAGGCAGCAGTAAGCTATGATCACAGCACTGCACTTCAGTCTAGGTGACGGAGCAAGACTCTTTCTAAAAATAAAAAAAACAAAAAAATAAAAAAATTGGCTTGGTGTGGTGGCTCACACCTGTAATCCTAGCACTTTGGGAGGCCAAAGTGGACAGATCCCCTGAGGTCCAGAGTTTGAGACCAGCCCAGTCAACATGGCAAAACCCCGTCTCTATTAAAAACACAAAAATTAGCTGGGTGTGGTGGTGTGCACCTGTAATCCCAGCTACTCAGGAGGCTGAGGCAGGAGAATCACTTGAACCTGGGAGGCAGAGGTTGCAGTGAGTCGAGATCATGCCAGTGCACTCCAGCCTGGGTGACAGAGCAAGACTCTGTATCAAAAGAATAAAAAAGAAAAAAATTAATTAAAATAAATGTTTATTTACAAGTCACAACCCACCCCTAACACAGTCCTCAGCACATCGTTAGGGTTCTCTCAGTACTTAACTAACTGAATGAGAAAATAAACAGACGCGTGACTAAATCCTCCAGCAAAGAGAAGGATAGCGAATGGGAGATGCCAGTTTATCAGATGTTGGATGTGCTGAAGGACAGAGTGTGGCATGATCCAACAAGAAAGGCCTTTAGGTCCGAAGAGACCTGGGCTACCTCGTCAGTTGTCCCCTTTACCAGCTCTGTGTACAAAGTTCATTTTATTCCCCTCCAGTTCCATTTTCTCATCTAGCAGACCGAGTGACTTGTAAAGTTGTCATGAAGATCAAATCAGGTAATATATATCAGGGCACCCTGCCTGGACCCTGAATCTACAAGGAGTTTTATTGAAAAACAGATACTCCTTCTCTCCTACTTTGCCACAATGAACCCTCCATGTGGCCGTGGCACAGCTAATAGGGTTCTAGGGGGAAAAAAAAACTCATGGCAAGCAAGCTGATGAATGGCAGTGTTACAATACAAAAGGTCACAGACCTGCGTTCAACTACCAAGTATGCTACTTGTTAGCCAGGACAATTATTCCAGCTTACTCAGTTTACCAAATTCCTTATTTGGTAAATGGAAAAAATGGTACTTACATTACAGGCTGGTTGAGAGGGTTAAAGGAGAACTGATGTGACAAAGAATAATACCTGATGCATAGTAAGCCACTAAAGTTCTTAGACATATGGGCCTTTAATGTTTATTTGTATGATCTGAGCTGGGCTCCTACAGGCCAGATGTCACAATAGGCAACTTAAAACCACTGGCAGAAGTTAAAAGTTGAATTATTACAACCTCCCGTCACCATCAAAGAACAAGATATGTTAAAGTTCTATTTTTTATTTTATTTTTTTGAGACGGAGTCTCACCCTGTCACCTAGGTTGGAGTGCAGTGGTGCAATCTCTGCTCACTGCAACCTCCGCCTCCCAGGTCCAAGTGATTCTCCTGCCTCAGCCTCCCGAGTACCTGGGAATACAGGTGCCCACCACTATGCCCAGCTAATTTTTGTATTTTTAGTAGAGACAAGGTTTTGCCATGTTGGCCAGACAGGTCTTGTACTCCTAGCCTCAAGCGATCTGCCACCTCGGCCTCCCAAAGTGCTGGGATTACAGGCATGAGCTGGGTTTACAGGCATATGTTGACAAATATATGTCAATAAAACCGTGCCCAGCCATGCTAAAGTTCTAATGCCCAGTACCTCAGAATGTGACATGATTTGGAAATAGGGTCACTGTGGATATAACTGGTTAAGGTGAAGTCATATTGGAGTAGAATGAGCCCTTAATCCAATATGACTGGTGTCCTTATAGTAAGGGGAGAGAGACACTGATGGTAGGATGAGCATGTGAAAACACAGACACAGGTAGAGTGCCATGTGAAGATGGAGGCAGAGATTGGAGCCACATCTGCAAGGCAAGGAATGCCAAGGATTGCCAGCAAGGACCAGAAGCTACAAAGTGGCAAGGGACAGATTCTCCCTCAGAGCCTCCAAAATGAAAGCAACCTTGCCAACACCTTGATTTTGGACCATCTGAACTCCACAACTGTGAGGCAATAAATTTCCTTCTTTTTTAACTCACCAGTTTGTAGCATTTTGTAATGGTAGCTATATTAGGCCATGATTGCATTGCTATAAAGAAATACCTGAGACTGGGTAATTTATAAAGAAAAGAGCTCACAGTTTTTCAGGCTATACTGGAAGCACAGTGCTGGCATCTACTTGGCTTCCGGTGAAGCCTCAAGGAGCTTTCAATCATGGCAGAAGGCAAAGCAGAAGCAAGTGGGGGTAGGTGAGGGATGCCACACAATTTTAAATGACCAGATCTCATAGGAACTCACTATGGCATAGACAGCACCAAACCACAAAGGCTCCGCCCCTATTATCCAAACTCCTCCCACCAGGCCCCACCTCCAGCATGCTGAATTACAATTCAACATGAGTGTTGGGTAGGGACAAACATCCAAACTTTATCAGTAGCCCTAAGGAACTCAGAGGATGCCCCAAGTCAGTGGTGGTTTGGTAAACACTTACCATCCAGTTCCAGCAGGGTGGCTGATTTATAGTGTTTGCTGATTTCCATGGTATAAATATTCCCATGATGACCCATTTCAAAGCACCAAAATGAAGTAACATCACTAAATGTGAAGGAGGAAAGATGTGCAGTAGCAAACCATTATACAGTAATACTACCACACACACCACAGATACAACCTCCGGAGCACAGATCAGAGTAAAATGCAGGAAAATCATTAGGAAGTGTTGAGCTTGAGATATTTGTCACTTCTTAAATGTAATTTAATTGTAAGTTTACATAAGTCTATGTTTTAAAAGACTGTGTTTAATAATTGGCTCTCAAAATTCCTGAAAATGTAACAATCAGTTCTCACCAGCCGGCACAAGCAGTGACCCAGGGAAGGAAGTAGACAACAGATGAGAAGCCCAAACCCTCCACCCTTATAGGTCTAAACCAAGCCTGGCCCTGCAAGCATGGGCTGCAAAACTAAGCCCCTGTGCCGAAGAGGGGGTCCTGCTGACTGTCAAGATAGTAATAGACAGTGTCTGGTTAATTAAGCAGGTTTTACTGCAGCTAAAACCCTGGGCCTATCTTCTCCCTGATCCCATAAAGCATTCATGGCAGTTCAGTTTTTAACCAATACAGGCGTAATTTGAAATCAATTTCCTCTCTCCTTGATGAACAATGGACTATTTAGTGTGACCCACAGAGAAAATTAGAAGCCCACGTGTGTGAGGTAGCTGGACACTTGACTGGTCCCACCGTGAGGATGCTGATTTCATTTCCCTCTGGATTGTGTACACTGGGTTGGATGTTTGAACTTCTCTTTTAATTACAAGGGGGCAGGTGGCATATTTTTTCCTTCTTGTTTAATCAACACATGTAAGCTATGAACGAGACACTGTGGAAACCCAAGTGAGCAAGACAGGTACAGTCTCAACCCTATTGACTAAGACAGCCAGCCAAAAGGCTAGAAGTACCCACAGAAATTAAAAATTTAAAAAAAAAAAGCTAGGAAGGCCTGAACAGAAGCCCAAGAAGGCTTCCATTAACACAGTCACATAGATACATTTGTCCAATTAGCCAGCTGCATCTTGCATAAAGCCACCCACAGGCTGGGAATTCCACCACTGTTTCCTAATCACTTCATCCTGGACAACGTCAGTGTTGGCTGAAGGTTGACAGCAACGCTCTAACAGCGTTGTTGTAAGGTTCAAATGAAACCACGCATGAGAGTGAGTAGTATGTTCCCTCTGCTCCTAACTTTTAACTTTACCTCCTTCACATTTCTGCTCAAATATTAACTTCTTCCAATGAGGTCTATTTAAGATAGGTGGCAATCCACCCAACTCCCACCCAATTCCTGATTTCCATGATTCTTCTTTCCTTTTTACTGACACATGTCACCTTCTATCATGTTAGTCTGTTTCCCCCCACTAAAATACAAGCTCCATAAAGGCTGATATTATTTGTTGGTTTTGTCACTTTTCCAAATACCTAAAATAAGGTATGGCACATAGGAGGTACTCAATAAATATGAGATGGATGGATAAAGAGAAACCAAGAACTCTTATGGAAGAGACTCACTGATCCTTTGACCTCCAACATCGTTTTTGTTTTTGTTGAATAAGTGAACAAAAGAATACACCATCAACACTGATTTGAGCCCATAAATACTGGAGATTACCCAAAGGATATAATGTTGCAATTTTCCTCTAGATAATAAAACTCACATCAAATAGCAGAGGCCAACATGCCCACATTCTACAGTGTTTCAGTGTCTTCCCAAAGTGTGTTCTGGATGAGTTAACTCAACTCAGAAAGGTGGGAGGCAGGCATCGAACAGAAGCCGATACCCTGATTCAGAAAAGCTCCTTTTGTTTTGTTTTGCTCTGTTTTGCTTTTTGAGACAGAGTCCCCGTCTGTCACCCAGGCTGGAGTGCCGTGGTGCAATCTCAGCTCACTGCAACCTCCGCCTTCAGGGTTCAAGTGATTCTCCCACCTCAGCCTCCCAAGGAGGTGGGACTACAGGCGTGTGCCATCACGTCTGGCTAATTTTTCTATTTTTTGGTAGAGACAGGGTTATGTCATGTAAGCCAGGCTGGTCTCGAACTCCCGACCTCAAGTGATCTGCCCGCCTCGACCTCCCAGAGTGCTGGGGTCACAGGCGTGAGCCACCACATCTGGCCCAAAAAAGCTCTTTTTAAAAATCTGTTTTATACATTGAGATTTGAAGTAAGATTTTATTTGCAAAACAGGTTCCACTTCTAAAGGCAGGCTTGAAAATACCCAACTTTAAGACATTTTAAAAAACAAAAACAGGCCTGGTGCAGTGGCTCAAGCCTGTAATCCCAGCACTTTGGGACACCGAGGTAGCAGGACTGCTTGAGCTTAGGAGTTTGAGACCAGCCTCGGCAACACTGGGAAAACTCTATCTCCACAAAAAAATTAAAAATGAGCCAGGCATGGTAGTGCACACCTATGGTCCCAGCTACTTAGGAGGCTGAAGTGGGAGGATCGCTTGAGCCTGAGAGATTAAGGCTGCAGTGGGCTGTCATTGTGCCGCTGCACTCCAGCCTGGGTGACAGAACAAGACCTTGTCTCAAAAAACAAAAACAAAAAACAAAAGAACCAAAACCACATCATCATCAAACTTTAGTAAGAAGTTCAAAAGACAAAGTAAAAGGTTTCATCCAGAGTCAAAATTACCCCTGACAAATCCCGTGAATCACTCAAAAAGTACAGTTCATGTCTTACGTAATGATACAGTACATGTTTTGTGTAATGTCAACATTGGCTGCCCACTGAGCTTGACTGAAATCAAAGTCTTCATGCAGGTGACTGGGAATTAGAATTACTATGCTTTTCAGTACCCAGAAAGGAATAAAAGATGAGTAGAAGATTCTAAAGTGTGCCTGCTTGTCTATAAAGTTCATTCTATTTTACACACACACACACACACACACACATATATATATATATATATATTTTTTTTTTTTTTTGAGACAATGTCTCACTCTGTCGCCCAGGCTGGAGTATAGTGGCTTGCTCTTGGCTCACTGCAACCTCTGCCTCCTGGGCTCAAGTGATTCTCCTGTCTCAGCCTCTTGATTAGCTGGGACTACAGGTGTACACCACCACACCTGGCTAATTTTTGTATTTTTTGGTAGAGATGGGGTTTTGCCAAGTTGGCCAGGCTGGTCTCAAACTCCTGGCCTCAAGTGATCAGCCTGCCTCAGCTTCCCAAAGTGCTGAGATTACAGGCGTGGGCCACCCTGCCCAGCCATTCTATTCTATTCTATTATAAAGCCTTTACAACTTTCAGAAACATGAATGCATTTGTTTGCTGTGGTGAAGAATGCAGGATCAGCCAGGTGCGGTGGTTCATGCCGATTATCCTAGCACTTTGGGAGGCCAAGGCGTGCAGATCACTTCAGTCCAGGAGTTCAAGACCAGCCTGGGTGACATAGCAAAACCCCGTCTCTACTACAAAAAAAAAAAATTAGGGAGGCATGGTGGTGTGCACCTGTAGTCCCCGCTACTTGGGAACCTAAGTTGGGAGGACCACTTGAGCCCAGGAAATGGAGATTGCAGTGAACCGAGATCATACCTCTGCACTTCAGCCTGGACGACAGAGCTAGACCCTGTCTCAAACTAACAAACAAAGAAAAAAGAATGCAGGATATGTGAAAGCACCTAGAAAAAAGTTTCAATGGCCAAGCACAATGGGTCATGCCTGTAATCTCAACACTTTGGGAAGCCAAGGCAGGTACATCACTTGATGTCAGGAGTTCGAGACCAGTCTGGCCAACATTGTGAAATCCTGTCTCTACTAAACATACAAAAATTAGCCAGGCGTGGTGGTGTGCCTATAATGCCAGCTACTTGGGAAACTGAGGCAGGAGAATCGCTTGAACCTGGGAGGCGGAGGTTGCAGTGAGCTGAAATCGAGTCATTGCACTGCACTCCAGCCTGGGCGACAGGGCAAGACTATCATTAGTTAATTAATTAATTAATGGTTTAATGCACAGTAGGTGCTAATTCCAAATCTGTAGGTTGCTTGACTGAGGTTGCTTGACTGCAGCCACTCTTAACTAAGATTTTAGAGACACAAAACTAGCTATCTTCCTATCCATCTGTATGTGTTGAATTGAAATTGGGTCACTGCAGATATCATTAATTAAGATGAAGTCATTAGGGTGGGCCTTATTCCAGTACAACTGGTATCCTTACAGCAAGGAGAAACTTGGACACAGACACACACAGCCAGGGAGAACACCAGGTGAACATGAAGGAATTACGTCGGTATGGTGCTTCCGCGGGCCAAAGAATGTCAAAAGACCACCAGAAGCTAGGGGAGGGCACGGAACAGATTCTCCCTCACGACCCTGAGAAGGAACCAACTCTGCCTACACTCTCAGATTTCTGCCCTCCAAAACTATGAAACAATACATTGCCATTGTTAAAGCCACCCAGACTGTTGTAATGCTGTTGTACTTTGTTACAGGGGCCCTAGCAAACGAATATACCATCCAAGCTCACATCTTCTCTTGTGGCCCCACTCAATGGCATCACATCTCTTGGGCACTGGTCCCCGACTCTAAGCGGAGTCACACCTTAACTGATGGCCGAGTTTAATGAGCGTGTCTTATAGCTCTTCACTCTATCATCAAGTAATAAAGCCCCAAAATAAGAGACAGGACGGGGACAGCACAGGACGCTCAACCTCACATCCTAGTTCAGAGATAAGAAAAGGAATCTCCAGGGTAAAAGGACAGACACTAGCTGCGCTGCCTCACTGAAGCAAGAAAAGCCGTTCTTCTCAATTTTTCTACTTTCTTGGCCCACTCCTTTTCTTCCCGTGGTGAATAAAAACACCCAAGGGGAAATGCGGACCCATTCATCAACATTCCTAGCCAGACAGTGAGCTGCTTAATGGCTTTATCGATTCCTTGTTTTGCTCTACATTATGTGTTACATTGGCTCAAGCAGTCCATACAAGAAGAATCAAGATGGTGTTGGCAAAAAGGCATTATTTCACTTTTAGCTTGTTACCACTGAGACCGGTCAACCCTGAACAGAGGTAGCCGAGTTTCAAAACAAGCATGTTCAAAATTTCTATTCATTCAGTGCCAGCGGTTCCTTCCCATAGCCAGTGCCCCTCAGTTTCAAAGCCGTATCTTGGTTGGTAAAGAAAAACAAACTGTGGCAACTACTGTACCCTTTAAGTGGATTTTTCATGCTAGAATAATGTTTAGCTTTGTTTTATACTCCATGACAATGGCTCCAAAATGCTTTAAGAGGATAAATTTCTTATTAGTAAAATGTCCCTAATGACAACTAACACAAATCACTCTATCCATTTTCACATAAATATCAATATTTAGCAAAAATAAAGTGATTCAGTGGCTCACAGAAATCTGTCAAAGAAATACAGGGTCTTCAACATCCTTGCAGATTTATCCATTTTAATAGATTAAATTAAAGATGACATAAGCCCACAACACACAGGAAATCCAAACCAATTTATTAAGTTCAGGACAATGACCTAAAACCAAATCCTACATGGTAAAAAGATTAAATCAGACCCTTTAACAAATGGACTTACATGCCCTAGATAATGTGGGCAGCTGGTGGTATTCTAAACTAATAGACCAGGGAAAGTAAAATTCAACATTAAATGTTCTATACCATTTATTTCCATCAAATATGCAGTCAGGCCTCCCTAACAGCAGCAGGTTCCACATCCTTGAATTCAGTCAACAGCAGATCAAAATCCAAGGATCTAGAGGGCCGACGATAAGGGACTTGAGCATCTGCAAATTTTGGTATCCACAGGGAGTCCTAGAATCAATACTCAGCAGATATGGAGGGCGGATAATACAGTATGGTCTGAATCTGTCGCCCAAAGGTCATGTGCTGGAAACCTGCTCCCCAATTCAGCAGTGTTGGGTGGAGCATAATGGGAAGTGTTTGGGTCATGGGAGCACTGCCCTCATGAATGGATTAATGTCATTAAGGAGGGAGTGGGTTTGTTACTGGGAGAGTAAGTTCCTTATAAAAGGACTAGTTTGCCCCTTCCCTACCTCGCCTTCTCTTTGCCTTTCCACAAAGGGATGACACAGCGAGAAGACCCTCACCACACGCTGGCCCCTTAATCTTGGACTTCCCAGCCTCCAAAAGCCTGCACTAATAAATTTCTCTTCACTATAAATTACCTAGTCTTAGGTATTCTGTTATAACAGCACAAAATGGACTAAGACATATGTTACTAAAATATAGGTTAAGCTGCATAAAAACCTTGAGACAATTATTCACTTCTAAAAAGTAATTCTGTCTCACTAGGGAATAAGAGTAAACATAATAATAATAATAATAATAAACTAATTGAGACTCTAAACTCATATTCATGCAATTCTCATTTTTGTTCATTGTCTTTTCTACTTGTGAAAAAGGAAACAATTACAAACTAGCAAAGAGGAGACCTGGGTTCAAACTCACTTCTCCCACCAACTCACAGTGACTCTGAATGGGTCTCGGACTTTCTGAATCTCAGTTTCCTCATCAGGAATGAGAGAAGTGTTACACTAGATAAAAAACAAATAGCTTGCTTTAAAGCCTCAGATAGCAAGTGTCTTGCCCTACACTGCCCCAGTTATTTGTCAAATAAAGAGGTCATGCTACGTGTTTCATATACTGTGCTTCAACAACAACAACAAATCCATCCGAATTGAAACAGATTCTGTGTTTTGAAAACCACTAGTGAAATCTGTTTTTCTCTTGCAAAAATTCCTGTTGTTTTTATAAATGAATATGTATGTTGTCTCATACTCACACAGTAAAAGTAATGTGAAACTATGGTACAATTCCACTTAATTTAAGCTAAATGTACATATCCACTGTCTTCTTACAATGGAAAACAAGTTGAGACTGTGGGGTTCAGGAATGAGGGGGTGACAACGATAAAATTTCTACGTTAACCTAAGCATTTCAAAGATAAGCAACTTTTCAAGAATACTCTTTGTCCCAAAATATCCTTTGGCCAAAAGTTACTGAAAACTGACTTAAGAAGAGTACATTTTCCATTTCTAAAACCAAATACAAATGGAGATTGTGCAATTTGTTTTCAAAATGAATTGTCCTTCTGCCTAAATGGATTTTTGCCTTGAACGTAGGCTATGTATAAATTACATGGGGTGGTGGAGCTTTCTTTTCAAGAATACCTTCAGTTTTTCCAAGACTTGCTAAAAAAACACAATGGTACTAACACTTCAGGCTATAGCTGCTTATTCTTTAAACACTTTGTTTACTGAGAGAAACAGAAGTATAAAAAGAAATACAACATATAAATTATCTAATCTTTTCCCTTGGAGTGAACACTAGATAGATTTCTTAGCTACTATATGAATCAGTTACCTAAACCTATAAAACCAATAAAGACTCCAAGACCCCAACCCAGTTTTACATGTGAATATTAGACAGTCCCACTGAGCTTGACAGATGCTGTGTCAAGTATATAAATGGTATTCCAGCCTACTAGCCTATGAATATAATGTCTTTTCAATTAGGAGAAGGAAGGGTCAAGGCCTAGGGCCAAACTACTAAAGTTACCAAAATGAAATTCTCTACCACCTTCTCTCAAGCAGTCACAGGAAATGCCTCCTTTGCCCAAGTTCTGACATCTAGTCCCTTTCTTGGAATTGCAACACTGCTGACCCATCTTGGAGAATATACAAACTTTGAGGACACATTCCCAGCTGTAAGAAGAGACATCTTAGAGTCCCCAGAGTCTTACTTCAGTCAATTTCAATTAACTTTGAGCAGCTACGTAACACTATATAATCAGATTTTTTCCCCTTCTGCAAAGGAAGTACAACGTTAATATGTACTAGCACCTAGCATAGAAACAAATAGTTCACCAGCGAACACAGACAATTAAGTTCCCACATTCAGAGTACAAAGGAAAAAAAAAAAAACAAACACATCTTGTTCGGTTTCGTCCAGGGGAAGTGGGAGATTATTGCTGCTCTCATTATACAGACACATGCAGCATGTCCAGACAGAAACCAAAGAACGTAGACCGTCATCTGTGTGTTTTGACAAAATGACAAACATCTGTAAATAAACAGATCAGTTTTCTCGCTTTTCATCCGGAGAGGAAAAACTTTCATTTTCCCGCAACAGACAAGGAATGGTTAAAAGAAAAAAAAAATCAGTGCACTAATTGTAACAATTCCCTGTCAATTTCAGACTTTAGCTATGCTTAGATCAGGCCAATTTTATTGTAACATCGTGTTTCTTCCTGTAAACTATTTCCCCAAACACACTGTGCGCATTTCTCAGTTACGCTTTATTGATAAGAGTCAGGCTTGAAAGCAGGACTGCCAGATTATTAGTGTAGTATATAAATTACCAACATGCAAAGTAGTGATGGATGTCGGCGCCACTGGCACAACCAACCCAAGGCAGGTTTGAGGTTCAAACAAAGGACCTGGCACAAAGTACACACCTAATAAATATCTGCCAAATGAGTAACAGTCTACCTAACAACACACAAAACATCATCAGTCCTGGGTGTGCTTCCGCAGAAATAACTGATTGGATGGAGGAGGTGGTATGCAGATGGGGGGTGCTCCTCCAACTCTCCGAAGTTGCTCTTGTCCTCTAAATAGGCAGTATTTGTAATCACTGTCTTCTCTTCTGCTTGCACTCCCAACGTCTAACAGCCACAATTCAGGCCTGACCTACTTTCCTTGAGCCTATCTGCACCTCAGGCACCAAGTCAATTCACACTTGGTCCACTCAGAATGGAAGAAATGCCCATGTAACTAACAGCCCACAGCTGCACCCTACACAGGCAGAGATGCAGGGCTCTGCATTGTAATCCACCCGGCGCCCTCCTCCCGGAGGAGTATTTTCATCCTCTCTTTGTGTTTAAACCCATTTTGGCCCACAGCATTCTGATTAGTCCGTGCTGGGCAGAGGACAGGCTTCCAAATACTTATTCACTCAATCCAAACATTCAGGAACAGGTAGGCTATTCTGTTAAGAACCATGCCTAGTATACAGTTTAGATTCTGCTTTCAAAATTCTATTTTTTTCAAAAAGTAATTCTAAAAATCAATACACATTCATTACGAGCCACAGTGAACATCCTGAGATGCGTTTTATTTTTTAAAACACAGCTGTCCGTCTGCTGCCTACATTGCTTTACCAAGCTCTAAGTGATTAAGGAAAAAAGAGAATTCGTTTGCTGTGATAATACACAGATCTGTGTATCTTTCCAATTGCCTTCAAGGTTGAAAGAAATGAGGTCTTGATGAGTACCAGCTAGCTATTAATTAGATTTAGTAGCAACAAAATATTACTTTTCAAGCACTTTAAAGAACTGAGAACAGCTACAGAGCTCAGCAGAAGAGTTTTTCTGGCTTTTTCTTCTTTTTTTTTTTTTTTCCAGTTTTCCTGACCCCCTTTTCTAACTTCTCTCCTCATTAAAAATGCCTCAATCTGAAAGGAAATGAAGAGAACAGGAACAAGAGCTGATAAGTAAATGCAACTGATTATTATAAGAACCTCATTCATCTCCAATTTTTGAAACCCAGTTCATTTTGTTTAGCTAAGAAAAGGAGAACTGTATACACAGCTTGTTTTTAAGGAATAGATTTAAGCCTTTATGCAGCAATTCCCACCCATGTAACCAGTTATTTTAACTGTGAGGAAAACCTGGACCATCTTTTGTGGTTGGTTTTTTTTTTTTTTTTCCAATTCATTATTTTTACCTAGCTAACAAAGGAAATGCTGATTCCTGGTCTTAAAGGAAACTATAGGAACATCTAAAAGCAATTCATCATGGTGGGGCCTCTCTTGACACACACTGCTTTAGGGTTTCAAAGGTGTGAGCCCTGGTGGGAGATGGAGGTGCCCAGTGTGTATACAGGGATATGCCATGAAGAAGAGATGGATATGGGCCAGAGTTCCCTGACTTGCTCCAGCACTGCACACATCTCAAATTCCAATGTGCATAGGAATATGTTAAGAACAGATTCTGATCCATGAGATCCCACAGTGGGGCCTAAGAGTCTATGAGTCTGCATTTCCAACAAGCTTCCAGGTAATGGTGATGCTGCTGACCAGAGCATGATACCCTGAGTAGTAAGACATAGAATATCCTAGAATACCCTAGGCCCAGTCAGCACCTATATTGTTTTTGCCTGCCCAGTATTTATTCTAAGGAACCACCTTCAGCACAGCCCCACGGGCCATACTTAGGTCAAGGATGGGGCCATGCCCCAAGTTGAGTCCAGTAAGGGTCAGCCCCACGGCTTTTATGGGAACTTGTGGGGGAAAATGGATGTCTTCCTAACAGGGCTATTCAACCGGTGGAACACAAACTTGTGGGACTGCCTTCACCAGAATTCAAGGAGGTGGGAGGGTGATTTTCAGAGACAGGGTGAATATTGAGAGAGTCCACAAGCTAGACAGATCACCCCCTTTCTTAAAAAAAAAAAAAAAGAAAGAAAGAAAGAAAGAAAAAGAGAGAGAAAAGAAAAAATTGGTGTTTCCTACAATGACTACTAAGAAAATAATATGCAACTATTTTGATTAGGCTAAACTTTATATAAAAACAAAAATTGCATGCTGCAACATCCATTCACCCTGGCACAGTTTAAGCTTCAGAGAAAGGGAAAATTCAGTCCTTTTTTCCCCCAGTGCCTCTTACTGAGAGAAACTCCAAGCAGTTTGGGCTCATCCAACATTGTATTCATGCTGATTGACTTACACAGCAGTTTCTAGGCCATACTTGCTCTGAAGGCGGGAACACGTCTTATCCTTTACAGTCTCCGCACAAAACTAGGAACTGACATACAGCAGAGAATTAACAATTAGCACTCCACTGCTGGACGCGGTGGCTCACACCTGTAATCCCAGCACTTTGGGAGGCTGAGGCAGGCGGATCACCTGAGGTTGGGAGTTCGAGACCACCCTGACCAACATGGAGAAACCCTGTTTCTACTAAAAATACAAAATTAGCTGGGTATGGTGGCCTGTAATCCCAGCTGCTCGGGAGGCTGAGGCAGGAGAATTGCTCGAACCCAGGAGGCGGAGGCTGCGGTGATACGGAGATCATGCCGTTGACTCCAGCCTGGGCAACAAGAGTGAAACTCCATCCAAAAAAAAAAAAAATTAGCACTCCACTGTGTGGAGGAGCACTTCACATCTGTTTTCTTCTGGAACATCCCCTTCTACCCCTTTGAGGAACAATTCTTAAGGATCCTTGGGGAAATCAAGTTCAGAATAGGTTGAGTAACTTAGCTAGTTATGCCTAGAAACAGGAATCGCACCGTATCTATCTACCAGTTCCAAAGCCCTTGTCACCATCTACCCAGTTCCAAAGCCCATGTCCCCAACCCCAACCACTATACATAGTGCTTCAGTGAATATTTTTAAGCCAGAGCATATCATGCTTCCACCACCAAGTTCAAAACCTGAGGTCTACAGGATTCTCTCTAGTTCCTCTACACACCTCACTGCCCTCTCCTCTTCCTACTCCTTCTTCATCTCCTTTCCATGCCACTGGCCTAGAGAAGGAGAAGCCACTGGTCCCTTTTCCCTCCTGCTGAAAGGCAATTCAGCATTAAGGCAATTACATCTTATCTGTCCCTTAACAACAGAGGGAAGAAAACCCATTGCAGGCCCAGTGACACAGCAGATAGGAGGTCCTGGATTCATACAAACTTGGCCTGCAATTATCACAGCAAGCTCATCCCTGTGCCCTCTCAATCTCCAAAAAAAGAAAGAAAAACAAATAGCATCCACAAGAAGAAAAGCTAAGAGGACCAGCTAATGGAGACTGAATCTTGCCCTCGGGTATCCAGTACCATAAGAAGGGGAGGGCTAGCCAAGACCCTCGTTTCTATTATCCTATGATCCAACAGTTCCAAATCTCTGTATTGACCCTAAACAAATACTGGCAAATGTGCACAAGGAGGTACATATAAAGACTGTTTTCTGTGAAGTGGCCTTAATGGCCATCAGCAGGAGAATGCCTAATTACATTTGCAGCATTTCTTTTTTTGGGACAGGGTCTTGCTCTGTTGCCCAGTGGAGGTTTCACTCCACTTCCCACAGGCTCAAGCAATTCTCTCACCTCAGCCTCTCAAATAGCTGGGATTACAGGCATGCACCATCATACCTGGCTAATTTTTGTATTTTTAATAGACATGGTATTTCATCATGTTGGCCAGGCTGGTCTTGAACTCCTGACCTCGAGTGATCTGGCATCCCAAAGTGCTGGGATTACAGGCATGAGCCACTGCATATGGCACCTCTGCAACATATTTTCAACAATAGAATACTATACTGTAACTAAAAAGACTATGCTAAATGTATTAGGGGTCAACAATCAAGTATTTTTTAAACTATTACCAAATGAAAAAAACAAGCAATACAATGATAAATACAGCATATTATTCATGTAAAAATAATCTATGTATTTCTATAAATATACTTTTGTAAACCTATTCAAATCTCTTCATACTCTAGGGCAGCAGGACAAGAGGGAAGTAGTCAACAGATGTAAGCCTTAGTTGAAATGTTCTAAGAAAAAAACGTATTTATGTATTATACTTTTTTTTTTTGAGATGGAGTCTTGCTCTGTTGCCCAGGCTGGAGTGCAGTGGCACGATCTTGGCTCACCACAATCTCCACCTCCCAGGTTCAAGCGATTCTCCTGCCTCAGCCTCCCAAGTAGCTGTGGTTACAGGTGCGTGCCACTACGCCAGCTAATTTTTATATATTTTTTAATAGAGACGGGGTTTGGCCATGTTGGCCAGGGTCGTCTTGAACTCCTGACCTCAAGTGATCCGCCCACCTCAGCCTCCCAAAGTGCTGGGATTACAGGCGTGAGCCACCGCACCCAGCCTATTTTTTTTTTTTTTTTGATTAAAGAAAAAAATAAATGCCAACAATGCCTACTCCAGGAGTAGATGCTGCCATGCTCCTGGCCCATCCATCTCATTCTGAAATAGAAGATGATGCCATCCTGAGAAGGATTGTGCCCAATGGTACACGGACACAAGCTCTAGGCATTTCCAAAGAGCTGTGTCATCCTGAGTCACCACTTACCACGTGTCTCGGAAAGCATCAGTCTGAAACCCTCTGGCTCCTAGCATCATCTCTGGCCTAACTCCTCAACTTCTCACCACAGATTCCCTAAACTGTGGGTCTCTTGCTCTAGCCAAATGTGAGTGGCTGTTTTCTATAAATCTAGTCTAGTAACTGACCCTGACTACACATCCATATTCGACTTTCATTTTCCATGCTGAGTTTAGGCATCATCTATCCATCCATCCAGCTGTCCACTATCCACCTATCCATCCACCCATCTACCCATCCACTCATCCATCCACCCGACAACTCTTCACTAAGCAGCTGCCACGTGTCCCCATGTGCTAAGCATACAGCAACGGACAAGGCCATCCTGACACGCAGACCAGTCTAGTGGCCTGAGCTACGCATACTGACACCCCCACCCCACCCCATCAACCACCTGAATTCTGAAAGTTCAGAATGACTTTGAGTCACCAACAACCAAAATGGAAAAGAACTGCTTTCAAATCCTAGCCCTGCCACTGGCCAGTTGTGTAACTGGGGGAAATTTTTCTGTGAGCCTCAAAGTTTTCTCACTTCTATGGCAGAGACAGTATCTTAGAAGCAGATATCTGAGAAGACCCTTGTATCTCATGGGTTTGGGGCAAAGATTAAATTAATATATGCAAAGTGCTAAGTTCAGGACCTGGAACATATCATTCAACAAGTGATAGTTTCCTTAATGAGATGGTATTAGAGTAAGAGTTGGCAGCCTTTTTCTGTAACAGGCCATATAATAAATATTTTAGGCATGCAGGCTACACAGCATTCTTCCATTGTGGTGCTGTTCATAAAAAAACAGATACGGCTATTTCAATAAAATATGGGCATGGGTATTTCAAGAAAACTTTACTTATGGACCTGAAATTTGAAAGTCATATAATTATGTCCGTCTCAAAATAATATTATTTTTAATTATTTTCAACAATTAAAAATGTAGCAAAATATTCTTAGCTTGCTAGCTGTACAGAATAGGCAGTGGGCCAGACTGGGTGGTCCCAGGCTATGATTTGCTGACCCCTGTTTTACAGGAAATCCTATAAGCTATGGAGAGATCAATAAATCCCAACTTAGCATGCTATGAATTCTTCCTCCCTGTAGAGAGGTGACTACAACTGCTGTTTGTTGCAGAAGTCTCCAGCACTGTGCTACTTGAAGAAAACAACAGAGCATCTATGCATACATATACACGGATGCATATATGAGTATGTGTGTGTATATATTTTTTTCATATATATGAATGTTAATGAATATTTATCCCTCCTAGGGCCGGGCGCGGCGGCTCATTCCTGTAATCCCAGCACTTTGGGAGGTCAAGGCAGGCGGACTATCTGCGCTCAGGAGTCTGAGACCAGCCTGGACAACATGGTGAAACCTTGTCTCTACTACAATACAAAAAATTAGCAGGGAGTGGTGGTGCAGGCCTGTAGTCCCAGCTGCTCCAGAGGCTGAGGCATGAGAATTGCCTGAACTCAGGAGGTGGAGGTTGCAGTGAGCCAACATCACATCACTGCTCCAGAGGCTGAGGCATGAGAATTGCCTGAACTCAAGAGGTGGAGGTTGCAGTGAGCCAACATCACTCCGGCCTGGGCAACAGGGCAAGACTCTGTCTCAAGATAAAAAAAAAAAAATTATCCTTAAATTTTGTATTTCTGGAATGTTTTATGATAGATATAACATCAGTATAAGAGTACAACTGTAATTTAGGAAAGTATGTATAATAGGGGTATATGTTCAAAACTTTCTCCCTGCAGTAAGAGTACCAGATCAAAAAGAGTTGAAACGAGCTCTCCATGCCTCCTTTCAGAAACAGGACGCATAACTGTAATAAAAAGCAAATAATAACCTGAATCTAACCACAGGAAGCATCACACAAATCCAAAGTGAGGGAGAGTCTACAAAATTAAGTGGTCTGTACTCTTGAAGGGGCAGGGTCATGAAAGAGAAAGTTCCTAATTTAAGAAGACTTTTTAAAGCGACAAGACAACCCAATGTAACACGGTGATCATGGATTTGGATCCTGGACCAGAAAAAAAGTTTAAAAAAAAAAAATGGGACAGCTGCAGTGGCTCATGCCTGGAATTCCAACACTTTGTGAGGCCAAGATGGAAGGATCACTTAAGCCCAGGAGTCTGAGACCAGCCTGGGCAACACAGTAAGGCCACCTCTACAAATATAAATTTTAAAAACTAGCTGGACATGGTGGTGTGCACCTGTAGTCCTGGCTACTCAAGAGGCTGAGGTGGGAGGATTGCTTGAGCCCAGGTGGTTGAGGCTGCAGTGAGCTATGATTGTGCCACTGGACTCCAGCCTGGATGACAAAGTAAGACCCTGTCTTAAAAAAAATAATAAAATAAAATAAGATAAAATGAAAAACTTTATTGTTTCCTATTAAATAAAAGACATTAGTGGGATAATTAACTAAATTTGAATAAGGTCTGTAATTACATAACAGAATGTATCTGAGTTGGTTTTCTGATGTTGATGACTGTATTATACTTAAGCAAGAGAAAGTCCCTGTTTTGAGGAAACACATCTTCAAGTCTTTAAAGGTAAAGAAACATCACGGCTGCAACTTAAACTGCTCAGAAAAAAAAAAGTGTGTGTTTGAGAGAAAATGAGTCTGACAGAAAGAGTGTATGTGCATAGAGAGAAAAAACAAATGTGATCAACTTAACATTTGGAGAACCTGAGAAGGGGACACAGAAATCCTTTGTACAATTTTGTAAGTTTTCTAGAAATCTGAAATTATTTCAAAATTTAACAATTTAAGGACAAATTATAAGTGATAGCTACAAGTTCCCTGTTAAAAGCCCTTTATACACAGCATGCCTGTTTGCTTTCTACATTTCTATTTTACACAATAATGTAGGGAGATATTTGCCATCAGTGCTACAAATAAACTAACATCAAGACTGTGTATACTGTCACCATAGGCCCTTAATTTCTGCTGTGAGTAACATAAAAAGGAGTCAGAACACTACCCCCATCCCCCGTAACAGTGGCCCCTGCAATGGGCCATCACAGACTCCCCTGTTCTTGGCATCCACCAGGTGAGTCACACCTGCTCTGTGTCCTACATGTGGGCAGAGAGCTGGAAGCAGACACATATATCTGGGCACAGAAATACCTGGGTAACACGAGGTCTACAAATGATAAGGAATAAACAGGGAGAGAACACGGTAGCCCAGTCTGTCTGATGATGCTCTAGCATTTCCAAATCAATGTTAGTCAAAGAAGCCAAGTAGATTGTTTCTGGGAGGCAGCCCCGAAACAAATGGGACATCCAGACCGAAGGGATGTGTCAATGCCCTCCTGGTCCCACTGCCTTTCCCATCCCTATGTTTCCAGTTTGCAAATTCTCACAACCCTATTGGTCTCATCACTATGACCAGTTCCTTCCCAGGAAGTCAGGCTCTCAAAAGTAGCAACTTTTCAGTAATGTTGGCCCTGCAGACAAGATAACTTTAGAAACTGGTGGTGCAAACGAACAGAAGGAACAGTCAAGCTTTAGTTTCCTATCAGTGACCTGTGGAGATCCAAGGCAATGAGATCTAAAACCACCTTCAATTCCCCTGCACTGGGAAGGTGCTCACTGGTTGCCATATCATCTTCATACACGAGAGTCCAATCCCAAACTTTTACATGAAAATGACCTGCTAATTGGGTCCCCAGTGCCTCCATCATAAATAGATACTACAACTGGCAGTGTAATTAGCAAGCTTCCGCTGCCAAGACAACCACCTTTTTTTTTTTTATTTCCCACTGAAGAACTTGTCCTTCCTGACCTTAAGTTTCAACTCCTAGATATTTGGGGATGGAAAAGGTCTACTCAATCAGAGGAATCTATCACCCAATGAAAGCAATTAAAGTAGCAATTAAATCAAAATCCATACTAGCAAAACAAGGCAAAAAATAAAAAAGAAAAAGCAGAAAACAAAATGCATTAATAATTTCCTTTGTCTCAACCGTCCAGAGGCTTCACTAAAAATTCATGTTATAATCCAATAGCCCAATCAGTGTCTTTTCATATTCCACTGTGATTACCAACTAGACGGTTCCCCAAGGTAGGCAGCAGCACCTGGCACACAGTAGGTCCCCAACAAATGAAACAGGTTTGAGAGAAAAGAAGGTTTCTTCAAGAATTTTGTGCCACTGACCAAAACAGAACTTGGATCTTCATCATTCATCTCCTAAGAATCAAACTGCATGCTGAATAAAAGATGTTTTAATATTTGCAATATTGTCCTAATATTGTTTTCTTTTGAGACACGGTCTGGCTCTGTTGCCCAGGCTGGAGTGTGGTGGCACCATCTCAGCTCCCTGCAACCTTTGCCTCCTGGGCTGAAGCCATCCTCCCACCTCAGCCTCCCAAGTAGCTGGGACTATAGGCACACGGAACCACACCTGGCTAATTTTTGTACTTTTTTTGTAGAGACAGGGTTTTGCCATGTTGCCCAGGCTGGTGTCCAACACCTGAGCTCAAGCAATCCGCCCTCCTCAGCCTCCCAAAGTGCTGGGATTTAGGTGGGAGCCACCACACCAGCCTCTAATATTGTTTTTTAGAATGAATCAACAACCCACCCAATGGCTATAGTACCAAATGGCAAGTCATAAGACTGCGTGTTGAGGTTACAGATGATTTACAGAAGATTGCCATTTTCCTCCACGTACCTATATGAATTATTCCCCTATTTTCTTTTCTTCCTTTTTCTTTTTTTTTTTTTTTTTTGAGACAGGGTCTCCCTCTGTTGCCCAGGCTGGAGTGCAGTGGCGCAATCTTGGCTCACTGCTACCTCTGCCTCCCAGGTTCAAGTGATCCTCCTGCCTCAGCCTCCCAAGTAGCTGGGACTACAGGTGCCAGACATCAGACCAGGCTAATTTTTGTATTTTTAATACAGATGGGGTTTTGCCATGTTGGCCAGGCTGGTCTGGAACTCCTGAGCTCAAGCAATCTGCCCACCTCAGCCTCCCAAAGTGCTGGGATTACAGGCGTGAACCACCACACCCAGCTGAATTCCCCTATTTTCTGTAACGAACATTTGCTATACTTCAATAATTAGTGAAAAATTTATGAAGAAACGTGGAGATTAGAATGACATCCCATTCAAACACAGAGCAGTCTTCAAACTCCAACATGTACCAAGTCACCTGGCGATCTTGCTGAAACACAAATTCTGATTCCATTGGTCTGGGGCAGGCAGAGATGCTGCATTTTTAATAAGATTCCGTGTGAGGGCTGGACAAACTCAATGGAGCTGTGATTACTAAGGACCTACAAAACACAAAAATGATTCAGATGCCAACAATCCCAGTTTTAAAGAGATGATGATGGTAACAAGGCCTTAGATCAAAGCGGGATAACATAAGCAAACTCGTACAATGAAAAATTAATGCATTTTGGGCACCAGACAGAAAAAGTAGAAAAAAAAAAAAAAACCTAAACTTTACTTGAAAGTACAGTGCTCTGCTGGAAGCGCTCATCTTCATAGTTATAAACAAATGAAATTGCTTCGTATTGATTTTAAGTTGTAACACTTGCTGTCCAATAATGCCAGAAAAGGAAATGGAGCGAGGGACAAGATACGATAAGAGAGAGGAACTCTGGAGGTAATCAGACACTGCTGACCTCCACTCTAAGGAGTAGTTAAAACATGACAGAAAGGATTAGGTGTGGACAAAATACATGCCCAGACACACAGCTCAGCATTCATCTCATCCTCCAGGGCCTCTTACCATTATAGACTCTTTTTATTATTATTTTTAATTCAGGCTCTAAATGTTGTACAATTAAGTTTTACTCATTTCCTTACAGATCCTTAGGATTCTAATTTACAAATAAAATCAAGAGAAGCAGTTAAGGCTAAGTGTTATCAGCATGTCTCCTCCAGAGAGGCTGTCCCTAGCACCAAAATAAAAGTCCTCAGATTCCCGAAGATAAAAAGCTCAAAATGAATGAACTCGAAAAACCAAACAAAGAAATGAAACCACTATTAAAGGATTATTTTTGGCAGGCAGGGGAGAAGGTTCCTGTCCTTCTCAACACATCTAGTTATCTATCCTTCTGTGTACTTCCAGCTGATATTGGTGCCCTTTGATTGAAAATGACCCAAATCAACCCTTGGTTAACGTAGGCATTAAAAGAATGTATTGAGAGAACCTTGGACATCTCAGAGACACCAACCAAGAACCAAACAATCCAGCTTTGAAAGGGCAAGGATCAGAGTGGCTCTGAGCTTCAGGGAGCAGGAATTGAGAAAGATGAGGATGTCTTCATGTCACGTGGCTCAAGATGCCAATTCTAGGGAGAAAAGGTGTATCGAGCCCAGCCTGAGTTTTTTACCACCCTCAAAAAGGTGTGGACAGAGCTCCTTAATCAGCAGATGATCCCATCAAGAACACAGAGAGGAGAGGAGATCAATACCCAAAGAGTAGCAAAGGTCCTATTAGCAAAGAATGTTAAAAGAGATGCTAGGCAGGCAAAAATAATAGCAGTACAATAAAAACAACAATAATCATGTGTTTGCTAGGGACCAGTGCTTTACTTACATCCGCATCCAATTCTTCCATCAGCTCTATGAGACAGGGATCATCATCCCATCTTATAGATGTACTGGGGCCTGAGGACACAAAGCTAGTCCATGACCAGCAAGCACAGAGACACTATAGTTTACAAGACCACTGTAAGGAAGCCACTGAGCCCTTCCCTGTGCTCAGTCTCCATGGACAATGCCTCAGCCTTGCGTTCAGGGGCCAGTCAATGCATCCAGCATTGGCTCCCATGCGTATCAACATTGGCTCCCAAGCCTCTCAAATCTCTGCAGGGCCCATCTGCCAGCTAGCAGTCACTAATGGCTTTATACCATGAGGAAGCACCTAAGATACAAGGCAGATATGGGTCCAAGTCCCAGACATGCATGATTCATCTCTAGGAATAAGCCCATTTGCCTCATGGTCAACCACCGTATGCTCATTATTGCCTCTGTTCACTTTGTGTTCACTTCATTGTGTACATAAAATACCAGCCAGGATACCCGTAGGAAGGTATCTTATCTCATTATTCTATCGCTCCTGAACACTTGGGATCTGAATCAGTATTTCAGCATGTTATTAGCTTCAGTCTTACACTGCAACACATTGCTTTAGGGACTTTTTGCACACATTTTTTGAACCCCCAAAACCCGAAGCAAAGTGCTAACACATGGCGTTTCCACTAACAGTTGACTTGAATCCATTATCTTCCTTGCAATAATGTACAAGAGGAAACTCCCTAATAGTTAAAAATCATAACGTCCCACTGGACATCTCAGGCATTCATTTCTGTATCTACAGCCTGGAAACAGGAAGGTCCAGAAGTCAACAGCTGGACCCAAGAGTGAGCCTGGTCATCCTTCCCTTCACAGCATCCCAACAAACACAGAATACATGGTTAAAGTTAACATGAATTCCACTCTTATCAAACATAGGCAAAGGCTTCTGGGTTCCTATCAGGCTACGTCCTGGCTGCACTCGCCACTTCGGATAAATTGTTCTATCTCATGCTGTCCCCATTCCCCCCTAGAGAAACAGCATCAATCTCAGAGTTGTGCCAGGACGAAAAAGAATGTACTGGACAGCTTTCCACTTTGGCTACATGTGGTTGCTACTCTTGTGATTTTTATCATTTAGATATAATGACATGTATGAATATATGATATACTCAGCATTCCCAGCACCAAAAAATTAATAAATAAAACAAAATAAGGGCCAGGTGCAGTGGCTCACACCCTGTAATCCCAGCACTTTGAGAGGCCAAGGCGAGTGGATCACTTGAGACCAGGAGTTTGAGACCGGCCTGGGCAACATGGCAAAACCCTGTCTCTACAAAAAATACAGAAATCAGCCGGGCATGGTGGTACACGTCTGTAGTACCAGTTATGCGGGAGGCTGAGATGGGAGGATGGCTTGAGCCCAGTAGGGGGAGGTTGCAATGAGGGGAGATCACGCCACTGCACTCCAGCCTGGGTGTTAGAGCAAGACTCTGTCTCAAAAAAATAAAAATAAAAATAAAACAAAACAAAATAAAATAAGAGTACAGTACATGCCAAGATAAAGAAGGACCTATATGCCAGGTACAGGCTCATACCTGTAATCCCAGCATTTTGGGAGGCTGAGGTGAGCAGATCACTTAAGGTCAGGAGTTCGAGACCAGCCTGGCCAACGTGGTGGAATCCTGTCTCTACTAAAAATATAAAAATTAGCTGGGCGTGGTGGCGCGTGCCTCTAATTCCAGCTACTTGGGAGACTGAGGCATGAGAATCACTTGAACCTGGGAAGCAGAGGTTGCAGGGAGCCGAGATTGTGCCACTGCGCTCCAGCCTGGGGGACAGAGCGAGACTGTCTCATAAAAAAAAAAAAAAAAAAGAAAAAAAGAAGCAACCATGGGTTCTCTCATTAACTCTGCCCTGCTCCCCCTCTCACATTCTCGTGGCCACACGCTCTAAAACTGAGAAGCACAAACCTAACACCACAGAAGACAAAAAGCCCCAGAGCTACGCACAGCCTGCACTCAGAAATGAATCAAATGCAGAGTCAGGGAACTAAGGTGGGGAAAAGGATGCCATGAAACCTTGCTACTAAAACCAGGGCTTCTGTTGTGTGTGGAGAAAGACCGCTGATTTGACCTTCCTTCTTACCCCAGAGCTTTTACACTTGAGTCTGATTAGCTAGTGTCTGGAACTAATTAACAGGTGTGGCATGAAAGAAAGACAAAAACAAACCCTGGCAACTTTCTCTGGGGGAATTAACGACTAGATTTACAACGCCTCCTCCAGGCTAGAACTAACTGAGAGCACAGTGAGATGGGATTCATTATTCAAGGAGTATCCACCTCCAGAGAAGTTTAAAATTCATCCCTGGCTACATGGCTGCTTCCTTGGCTATAGATGGGTACAAAAAAATACCATTGAGAAAAACATCAGAATGGACCAAGCCCAGGCTTTGAAAAGTCAGAAAGCAAGAAGGCATGTCTGCTATGCTCTAGGACTAACATGCCAATGAGGGAAACACAAATATTTTCTCTCCATCAAGACATTACTTCCCTGTAACTACTCCAAAACCTCCAGAAACCAGTACAAATCACACAGTACCTTGCTAACATGCCCTCTGCAGACCAAGGGTATAATTATATCCTGTTACCCAAGGTAACTTAAGAAGATCTACTGAAGGGTTTCTGCAGCCAAAAGAAAATAATAATCGTTAAGTCCTTTTATTTTATTCTTAGCCACAGGAATAAAACACACTTACCCAGTTAGGTTTTTTTCCCTTACTTTTATTAACATATGTAACACTTACTAAGTTTAAAATACATTATAGTATTTTATCAACCATAAATCAGATGGCCGGGCGCATTGGCTCACGCCTATAATCCCAGCACTTTAGGAGGCTGAGGCGGGCACATCACAAGGTCAAGAGATGGACACCATCCTGGCCCACATGGTGAAACGCCGTCTCTACTAAAAATACAAAAATTAGCTGAGGCAGGAGAATCTCTTGAACCTGGGAGGCAGAGGTTGCAGTGAGCTGAGATCACGCCACTACATTCCAGCCTGGAGACAGAGCAAGACTCCGTCTCAAAAAAAAAAAAAAAAAATCAGAATAGAGTTGACCCTTGAACGACTCAAGGGTTAAGGGTATTGACTCCTGCACGGTCGAAAATCTGAGTATAACTGTTGTTTGTTTTTTAATTTTGTTTGTTTGAGATAGGGTCTCGCCATGTTGCCCAGACTGGCTGCAAACTCCTGGGCTCCGACAATCCTCCTGCCTCAGCCTCCAGAGTAGCTGGGATTACAGGTTCCACCGTGCCTGGCTCAGAGTACAACTCTGGACTCCCCAGGAGCTTTACTAATAGCCTACTGTTGACCACAAGCCTTACTAATAACATAAACCATCAGTTAACACATTAACAGACTAGTATCTACATGCATCTTATGCATTTATGACATATTTTTTATTTTTTTCAATATTTCTCAGCTACATGGTTGATGTGTGATTTTTTAAAAATTGTCACAAATCTCCAAAAAATCTTCTAAGACATTTATTGAAGAAAAAATCCATGTATAAGTGGACCCACACAGTTCAAACCCATGTTGTTCGAGGGTCAGCTGTGTATACAAAGACTTCACCCTACTCCATGTATCCCTACAGTGGCCAAGTGCCAGAAAATGAAGATATCAGTCTAAGTTAGCCTTCTGTCCTCGCTCACCTGGCCTTTCTCCTTTTCAGAACTCAGCTCTTAAAGTACCCAAAATTCAATCCAATAAGTGCAATTCACAAGCTGCGCGTAGATGGTATCCATGTATGAACAGAAACACCACACTGTTAGAAAGAAGAGCACTGGCTTTGGAGTCAGAAGCCTGGCTTTCGCCGCTTTCCAAGTTACGTGATACAGGGCAAATTTCTTAACTTAGCAAAACCTCAACTTTTACACCTGGAAAATGCAAGGATGAATTACAGATAAAGTGTGTCCAGCCCCTAAGATGAAGTTATTTTATTTTACCAGCTCATGCTCACAGTAGGTGCTCAAAAAATGGTTTGTGTTAGCCACATTGTAAAAAACACGTGTCGGAATAGCAGCAGAATTTCAGGATGCCCTCCCTCACCCCTGGTGAAGGAGATGTTCTTCCCTTGGGGCTTTCAGTGGAAAATACTACACAAGAGTAAAACTCCCAGACCCCATGAAGGGACACGGGGAGAGGGAGCTGTCGCTAGAGGCAGATGCAGGTGATCACAGCACTCCCTAGAAAGGGTTTGCCTTGATAACGTAGCAAGAGATAACTTGGCCAAAGTTCCGTGTGAACAGAAAGGTCTGAAGGACTAGTCTCTTTCAGAGTCACTCTGAAGTCTGGCTCTGCTGGAGGGTATTAGCTAGTCCTCAGGGAACTCTTTTTGTTCCCACTCCCATGTGGACACTCACAGGCTGCTCTCAGAAGCCCTCCCCTGAGTTTCCAAGGCTCGAGATGGGGCCTGAGGATCCTCCAGCGCCCCTTCAACACACTAACTGCAAGACTTTAACATCCTTGTTTATCCCTCGTAAAAGAACTTACCACTGAAACCCAGATTCTTATCACCTGCACCAAACAAAGGGCATGTGTCCACCCTGCCAAACATTCCCTGGGAAGGAAGTATTTCCATCGGGGGAACCTCAAAAACAATTAAACAGGGATGGGGTTTTCCCAGCTGTGCCTTTGCATCCCTCCCTAGCCATTAGCCACCACTGCCCATTTCCTTGGCCTGTGGATGCACATGGACTCAATGGGATCCAAGCTAGAAGCCCTTCTGGGCAGACCTAACTGTTTTCTCAGATGGGTATGTCCTGTCTGCCTCTCACATTCTCCACATTTTAATTTCCAAATTAAGTAGCAGGCTGGAGAGTAGAGAATATTCACCTTACTTGGAAAAGCCACCCATTTTAGCATTCTGTTGGAGAAAGGAACCAAACATCCCAAGAGGGGATTTTGGATGTCTCTACACTACTCAGATGCAGAGACCACCACCCAATCCAACTGGTCAAATAAATCCACAGCTGTATTAAAGCCTGGACCACTGGTAATACCCTGGAGTCCACAGCTTGGATCCTAAATGAGCTTGGCTATTCATGAAATACATGAAATTATAAAGCTCTTTCATCAGGCACCAGGGGCTGATTGCTGCAATGGATTATATCAGTCTGTCAAGAAGCTTCCGCAGGCCGTGTGCAATCTCTGAAAATCTCCAAGTTCCCTTCTACCTTTCAAATTGCTGAGCAGGAGCTCAAGCGAGATGTTGTTCCTGGATTTTCTAGGTAGCAGGGACCAGTCTGCAACCCACACAGGTCCCACGATGTAGCACCAACAGGAACTAGGAGAGGGAGAAATCAATGCCAGGAACTCTGCTAAATGTCTACTCATGAGCTGGTAAAATAATAACAACGGCTTTTATTTTCAAGTGCTCCCTAGATGCCAAGGCCTGTGCCAAATGCCTTACATGGTTTACCTCATTTACTCCTCCAACAACCTCACAGAGCAGGGACTGTTAAACCCATTTCACAGATGGGTAAACAGGCACACAAAGCTAAATGACCCTAACCTGCTATCCTAACATACCCGGAATATCCCAGAGGCAGTATCTTCTAGGAGACAACCTTCTCCATCAATTACAAGAGTTTCTCTTAGCCCTACATTTTGAAGGGGTAGGGAAGAGAAAACAGGTAATCAATGTCACACAGGGGATTACAGCTGTGAAATGCTCTTCTGGAAGGTGAGAAAAGGTTGGAAAGAGCTCTCTAGACCAGTGCCGTCCGATAAAAATACAATGCGAGCTACAAATGCGAGCCACATGTGTAATTTAAAATTTTATGGTAGTCACATGAAACAGTAAAAGGAAACAAGTGACAGTAATTTCAATGGCATTTTCTACTTAATATATCTAAAATATCATTTTAATAGGCAGTCAATGAAAAGTTTTAATGAGATATTTCACATTCTTTTTTCATTTGTCTTTGAAATCTGGTGTATATTTTACACTTGAAGCACATCTCAATTTAGACATGCCATACTTGAAGTGTTTACTAGCCACAGGTGGCTGGTGGCTACCATATTGAACAGAGAGCTCTATAGACATTTCACATTCATTAAGCAAAGGCTCAACATCAAAAGGAATCTTGAGGTGGAAAAACTCATATACAGGAAACAAATACGGGATTACCTGATGTCATCCGAGTACTTGGTATGTTACCAAGCACCTAAAATTTATCTGATGTCAGCTTTGCAAATGAATTCCTTTCACCTTTCATGCCTACTCTTCAATTTCCTTATCAAAAATAACACTGATCAGAGGACCACTCAAATTTTGAGAAACAAGCTACCCTAAAGGTAACAATCAACTTATTCAGAACAAACATAAGATACTCTGTCAGGTATAAACAACAGAGGGAAAAGATCCAATAAGTCAATCACAGTTTTAAAAACTGCTGTCACCAAGCCCATTCTTAACACTTACTTAAATAGCTAAGAATTCAGAAAGGTGTCACTTCGGAATATAAACACTCCTACAAGCGCCATAATCTGATGCAAAACCCCTGGGCTTTGAAGGAAAAATAAGCAAGTGAATTTAGATCCCTATACCTCCATTAGTGGATCTTACCAATTAAAATATGATGTAACCACCATCAAGAGACTGGATTTTTTTTTCTGAATAAACAAATGTGAGTCAAATATAAGTTCAAATCAATTTTATGGACAAGCAAACCTTAAAAATTGCCCATGTAGCAGCACACCTATTTCCAAGAATACAGTAGCCACTTGGATACACCTCTCTTTCTCATGCTATTTTCGAAGGTTGGTTAATCTGCCTTATTATAGGCACAGAGATGGCACAAAAGTCCTCTCCCAGACCAACTATTGAAAATGATTCTAAGACCTCGTTCAGGCTTCAGTAGCAAAAAGCTCTGTGATCAATTAGCAACATCTACCACAGCTATGGGAATGGGGACCATTGGCTCAAATGCCAACCTCCAATTCCTCTGTAGAAAAACTGCAAAATAACACACAGGGACAGGAAGAAGACATATGCTGTTCACTTTCACTGAATGTCCCTGTTTATATGCACCTAGGGGGTGTGACTGGCCCCATATTAACACAAAGATATACAGCAAGGCATGTGTACCCTACTCGTGCTGATAATTTCAGCAATGAGAATATGAAGAGTAGCTATGAACCTTTTTCTTCAAGGTGGGAGATATAGGACAAATTAAATCCTAAAAGCCATCTTTGCTAAACCTCTGTCAAAAAAACAAACAAACAAACAAAAAACCTCTTCCTGGTAGCCCTGTGAGCCTTAATTCATCACACTCCTGCTCTGCACAGAAGAAAGCATGACAACAGCCAAAAGCCAGTTCAGATTCTGGTTCTGCCACTTTATTCGCTGTGGGATCTCTGCTGTCACAGCTCCAGCTCTCTCCCATGTCTTCACAACAGTGGCATAGCATTCGTTGAGAGCGTGTTTAGGCACACTTTTGTTTCATGAATCTTAAACACTGGCTATTAAAAACAGGTACCATTTATAAAATTTTGTGTGCCAGCCGGGCACAGTGGCTCATGTCTATAATATCAGCTCCAGCACTTTGGAAGGCCGATGAAGGCACATCACCTGAGTTCAGGAGTTCGAGACCAGCCTGGCCAACATGGTGCCAACATGGTGAAACCTCATCTCTATGTAAAATATAAAAATTAGCCGGGCGTGGTGGCATGCGCCTGTAATTCCAGCTACTCAGGAGGCTGAGGCAGGGAGAACTGCTTGAACCCGGGAGGCAGAGGTTTCAGCGAGCCGAAAGTGCGCCACTGAACAGTCTGGGTGACAAAGCGAGACTCCATCTCAAAAAAAAAAAAAAAAAAAAAGTTCTGTGTGCCTAATGCTTTTCTGGTGCTTTGCACACACATCTCATTTAATATTCACAAGGACTCAAGAAGGTTGAAATTCTCATTATCCCCATTTTAAAGGTAAGAAAACCAATAAAGTTAAGTAACTGGCCAAAGTTAGCAAAGGACAAAGCTAGGATTCACTCTGGTACCTGCAAAAAAATGCATTTTTTTTTAAATACACATTTGCCACTGGCCTCTTTCATCAGAATCCACTTGTCTTCAAGTCTCATTCCCTCAACCCCATTTAAAGGTTCCAAGGCATATAAGATTTATTTTCACAAAATCCTTTGTTTATGTGGTCAGAGTGCTTACATTTCCCCTAGACTCCCCAGAAATCAATTTTACCTCCACTTCGCATCATAAGGAGCAGCAGAAATTTCAAGAACCAGCAACTCCCTCATTTCAGTTAAGAAACTTCACTAGCAACTGACGTGTTCTTCTAAAAACCACATCCTAAAATATGTTCAGAAAGAACTCTAACGCTAAAGTTATGCGCTGCTATGGTTTCGGTCTGTCCTCACCAAATCTTGTTGAAATTTGATCCTCAACATGGTGGTGCTGGGAAGTGGAGCCTAGTGGAAGTTGTCTGAGTCATGAGGGTGGGTCCCTCACGAATGGCTTGGTGCCATTCTCGAGGCAGTGACTGAGTTCTCATTCTGGCAAGCCCGAGTCACTTCTCGTGGGAATGGATTAGTTCCCTTGAGCGGGGTTGTTACGAAGCCAGGGCATCACTTGGGTTTTGCCTCTCTTTGCACATGTCCACTTCCCCTTCCACCTTCTCCACCATGTTATGATGCAGCACAAAAGCCCTCACCAGACACCAGGGCCGTGCCCTCGAACTTCCCAGCCTGTAAAACTGTAAGCTAAATAAACCTCTTTTCTTTATAAACTACCCAGTCTCAGATAATGTTACAGCAACATAAAATGGACTAAGACCTCTAGCATGCAAACCTCTATCACATGAAATAATTTCAGCAGCTTCTGCCCAAATTGACTGACTGGGAAAATGAGAAGCTAGTGCCTAAAACTGTCAAGAGATTTTCTGCACCCTCCACTCGTAACCTTTACACACATGTAAATAAGAGAAAATGACTAGTTTTAGAAGAGAAAACAACTGGTGGGAAGAGGGATAAAACAGGGCAGGCATTGACTAGCAATGTGTTCTAGAAAACTTAGCTTCTGCCTGTGCACATTAGAATCACCATGATGCACCAGCCAACATCTGTCTCATCAAGGGCAGTAGATCTGGTGACCAACTAGTACTTGTCAACCAAGCAAAAATGATCAGCTCAGGCAAGCCCTTCTCCTAGTCCAACCTGCACAAAGCCATTACTGGGCAATGGCATTCATTTTTGCGCTCTACTGTCAGCTGAGGCAAGCTCTGCTGCTCTCTGCATACCTCATTCACTGTTTCTGGAACAAAGCACTAATAAGAGGGCTACCTTCTCCTGAATCACCTAAGAGCCAAGGCCACTTTTGATACAATGACCACCAGATTCACAGAATTTAGCTTAAATTATTCCACAAGAGAGGAAAAAAAAAAAAGGTTTACTACCATTGCAACCATCAAAACATAACCCTGCTGTCCTATAGACATTTGTCCTCTAATTAGAATGGAATCCCGTTCTCAGCAACAGATACCTTAGCAGCCAACAGAAGGTACGAATTTAGCTTCTCTTTTTAAAGATAAACTTCAACCACCATGACAATATATATACTCAGAATTCTCTTAAGGAAGATATTAACCTTGGATAGTGTATCTCTTAAGACACAATATACAAACATGAGATATCTTGAAACTACATACAGTGACATCAATGTCTTCTAAAACATCCTATAATCATTTGAAGAGCATTATCTACTCATTCTGTCAGCCCTCATACATGACTACCACTACTGACACACCAAAGACACAGCACAAGGAGGAATGTGGTCCTGCCCTCAAAGAACATAGCCTAATTTGGCTCTGAATCACATGTGGGGAATTCATGTAAATGTATTGCGTATCACGGTGACCACTTAATGAACATGTACTAAAACAAGGGTGAAGGAATCATCCCCTCAAATCTTCCATCTGTAATAGTCAAAAGCTAGCCACTCTATTGTACAAAGTTCAGGCTTTCGCATGTTGTTGTTGTAAAAATTAAAATGTGCACTATTTCTATCATTTATTGGAAATCCATGTGCAAAAATTAGGAGGGCAGCAATATTGTGTAAAAAAAACTAAGTAGCAAGGGACCCACTAATATGGCATCTCCAATATTAATGTACTCAGATCCTACTCTATTAATAGTCACTGGCTTTCCCCCCCTTGTCCCCCGACATCATACCCCTTCTTGGGCCATCTGATAACAAGAAACTGATCAAGAGAACCAGCTCTTAAATGAGCGATTTTTCAAAACACACTTTTGTCTTAACTGAACAAGCTAACAGAAATTCAAATCAACCAGGGAAGTCAACACATGACTGTGAAATATCCAAGGAGCAGGCCATTTGTAGAGCCAGAAAACGACACAGCCAGGAGAGGTGAGCTTCAGCTTCATAAGCAAGATTGACAGGAAAGAAGTCATGTCATCAGCCAGCAATGCACCTGTGTGCACTAGCGCATGTGCCCACGCACATGGTTATACATGACCAATCCAGGCAATACAAAACCCCAAACAAGCCCAAAGAAAAAATCTGTCCCTCAGGAAAATCACCTATGCTTGGGTGACAAACACCTCCAGGGACCAGCTGAGTATTGTAAATAACCACTACGGGACAGGTGTGTGCCCCATCCCAAGGGGTAGCACTATTTAATTTCAGGTTAATGTTGTTGCCAAGCACTAACATAGGCCCTAGGCTGCTAGACCTTCCTATTTTTCAAGAGTAACCCCACTTTCACGGGAAGCTGTCATGAGGGCCGGGGCTTCCATCTGTTTTGGTCACCATTGTCTCCCCCAGTGCCTAGAACAGCACCTGGCATGCTCTAGGCACCCAGAAACTTGTTGATGGCATGAATGCAAAATGACTGATTTTTAATGCATTCTTAATTTTTAATTTATTTTTTCTTTTAAATGCAGTATGGCCAAAAGAACATCTGTAGAATTCCAGATAACCCAAATAAATGCCTGTCCTTTCTCCATTTCTCCTTTCCAGACACAAGATCCAGAACGAGCTTCGTTTCTCATTTTAGACAAAGACGTCTGCCCCCACCACTCCAATCATAAATCACATTAGATAGTTTTAAACGCTATACACATAACTTTGTTGACATGAGCAAATCTCCATATTTTTTTTAACTTGGTCTCCAGAAGAAATAAGGTTTCATGTTTAAAAAACAAACAAACAAACAAAAACATAGCTTATAGGCATTCCATTAACCAAGTTCCACTCACCACCTTGTCTGCTACTCCCTCAGGATAATCCGTAGCAAGGTTAGCAAGATAATGGAAGGGTTCTCAACGCCTTAGGAAGCAAACCCTCACAGGAAAAAGTCAACAAGTGCACCTCACAAATCACAGTGTGTCCTGGGCATCTGACTTGCATACTGCAAAAAGACCATAACCCTTCCAAACTGCCTAGCCTGGAATCAACAATCTCTAAAATTCCAGAAAAAAATTTTAGAAGCCATTTAGTGAAGGGTGAGGCAAACAACCCGAAAGAAATTGAGGGTCTTGCCCAAGATCCCACAGCTGGTTTGGCTGGCTCCCATGGCTAGTTCCAAACTCCAGAGGAAAAATGCAGAATCCAAGCCATTTCTTGCCAAACACAACACCCTCAGACCTTTCCTGAAGTTATGATTCAGAGCCTGCTGCCCACACTTAGATGATATACATGGGACAGTAAAAATACCGCATTACTACAAAGTAACCATATTCAAAGCCCCAAACAAAAGTTCTCAAATTACAAAGCAAATCAATTTAGGTAATTTGGAAGAGGAGTAGTGTCAAAAAAAAACTCACCACCAACAAATTCAGACTCTATCCACAGTTATTATCAGCTTATTCAGAAGCTAAAGTAATTTGCTGAAAGGTCATCTCTTCAACGTAACCAAATAAAATCCTATACTAATTGCATTACTTACTTATTTAATTGTAGCAAGTACAGGAAGACACCTTTATTCCACCCAGTGTTCATGGCACTTGCTTATATGGGAAAAGTAACAGGGTGAAATACATAAAAAGCTAGATCTTTCAATTGGCCCTCCTGTGCAATTAGGAAAAATAGTTTCCATACTCTCTTCAAAAAGCAAATGGTCTGAAATAAAATTTAAAAAAAATCCTGAGCAATGATTAGAGAAACATATTACAGTCACCGCCCCCCACCGCTCCCCGCGCCTTGCTACCCCGGTGACCTTGGACCTACCTTCTTCAACTTTAGTTTCCTAACCCTACAGTGGAAATAATCATGGTTCATACTTCCAGGGATGATTAAAAGCATATAAAATGCTCAAGCACGGGGCATAGATCACATGTGCTTGGTAAGCGTAGGCTATTATAATTACTATTCCCATTTTATAGATTAAAAGGGTGAGGCCCATTTGCCCAAGGTAAATGCTGTAATGAACTAAGAATTTCAACCCAGGTCTCTGTGGTTTTGGTGTGGATTCTGAATAAGAGATATGTATATCTGAAACTCCCAGAGCCCCAGCGCCACCCAACCCCACTTCCGTAAGATGTTGGGTAACCACCCTTAGCTACCCACAGACAGAGCTAAGCCTCCACACTTACTGAAGAGAAACGCTTCTGGAAAAGTGTCATTTTAAAAACAGGTAGAACTCATTTATAAATAACCACCGCTTTGTAAATAAATCCTTTTGACAATTCTTAAAAAGTTCTCGAGACAACCTTAAAAAGTCAGTAATATTTCCTCACTAATCTGGACTATGCTTTTATGCTTGGTCAATTGCTTATGGCTGTGTCCCCTTATCCAAATCATTCCCAATTAATGAACAGATCTGATTTAAGTGCACTGCAGGATTCATGAGGCAGCAATGCTATGAAAACTCAAATACCTCTTAGATGTATATTGTAACTAGTATGAATTCCTCAAAAGTATATCCACTGCATTATACAACACCCTGCTTCACTCACTTAGAAAGACAGTATCACAGACCCAAAAATAAGACCAGTTGTCCTATTTTCTTACATGGAAGTGTTACATATTCCATGAACTATGCTTTCATTTTTTTCTTTTTTAGTTGCTAGAATTCAGCAGCCAACTGTGTCACTTTGCTACTCCCCAAAAATAGCTAAACTGAGTAGTTTAAAATCACATTTTGTTGTTTGGCCAGAAAAATATCATGCTGATTTCAGTCTGCAAAAAAAAAAAAGAAAAGATTAGAGGGTACGAGGTGTGCATCAGTGTTTGGTTCTCTCTCATATGCTCTGTAGCTCTGAATCCATGAACATATAGAGACAGGACATCAATGTGTTCAAGTGTCACACAAGTGTAAAATAAAAGCAAACACCCAACTACTGTTTGCTTCCCATCAGTGGAGCCAAATTGAATCCCAGTAATGAGTAACCTATTTCCCTCCATTACCACACTGTCCATAAAGCCTGAGAAGAGGAATTAACATCTGAGGGTGCAGGACTAGGCGACTCTTTCTACACAGGGATTTGGAAGACTTATGAGACACATTTTAAGCCCACAGAAAGCATTTTTCCCACTTTAAGCTGAGAAAGCAGAGACCTCCTTTGCAATGTGGGCAAGGTGATATCTCAGACTTCATGAGGACTTTCTCATTTATTTAAACCTCAAAATGTAACCTGTTAGTAATCTTACATAGAATGTCCCCATGCTGATCCCTACTCCTCCTCACCCTCAACAGCAAAGACAGATACAAAAACCCATCACGTATGTTTATACAATTTTTCAAAAAGTTGTCTATACATACAGTTGTCCTTTTCAGTTCCACCGTCCGCTTTCCATACACTCCTATCCAAATCTCTTAAGAACACTTAAAAACGGTGGCCAGGAGCAATGGCTCAGGCCTGTAATCCTAGCACTTTGGGAAGTTGAGGTAGGAGGATCACTTGAGGTCAGGAGTTTAAGACCAGCCTGGGCAACACAGGGAGAGACCCGGTCTCTATAAAAATAAACATATAAAACTTTTGATTTAAAAAAATGGTTATTGAGCACTTACTGTTTACCATGCACAGCACTAAGTCCTTATATACATTCTCATTCAAGCCTCACAAAGACTTTAGGAGTTAGGCTTCTATCACCACCCCATTTCACAGAGGAAGAAAAAAATAATGAGGCACAGAGAGGGTATGTAACTTTTCTAAGGTAGCACGGCTAGCAATGGCACAGGTAGGCTGGCTCCAGAGGCCATATTCTTACCTATTTTGCTATGTTCTGTATAACTCTCAATAGCCACCTAGTTTAGAAAACAAATAGAAAAGCATTAACAAGTTCCAGGCTCCTAAAAGATTTTTCTTCCTGCTACATGCTGACAAAATAGTATGGCAACTCTCATCAACTGGCTGACACATGAAGTTTTCATTCAATGTGTAAGTTACCTCCATCCCCACACCCACCACAAGTACAAGTGAAACACTACCCAATTCCGTTTGGGAGGCTTCCAAAACAGAAACCAGGCACATATAGAAACCTCATCAGCTGTCATTCCTCTTCCTATCCCTGGAAGCACTTAAAACGAATCTTTTTTTTTTTTTTTGAGACGGAGTCTTGCTCTGTCGCACAGGCTGCAGTGCAGTGGTGCAATCTCAACTCACTGCAACCTCTGCCTCCTGGGTTCAAGCAATTCTCCCGCCTCAGCCTCCCGAGTAGCTGGGACTACAGGTGTGCACCACCATGCCCAGCTAATTTTTGTATTTTTAGAAGAGACAGGGTTTCACTATATTGGCCAGGATGGTCTCAATCTCTTGACCTCATGTTCCGTCCGCCTGGGCCTCCCAAAATGCTGGAATTACAGGCATGAGCCACCATGCCAGGCCAAAAAAAAAATTTTTTTTACAGTTGTATTAAGGGCTGCAATCATAAAAACCTTAGGCCTGCATAGATCCAGCAAGCTATCTCACACAGAATATATTTTTCTGTCAAAACACCAAATATCTTGCCACAAATGATACCAGGTGAAATGGTCCCTCCAATTATAGTTGTCCCAATAGAAGGGGACAATCACTCAAGAAGCCCTCTAGCTACTTAAAGCAATCTTGCACAGCCATCACTTATACCTAACAATCCTTTTCATACTGAGTTAACCACAAATTTATCTGTTCTACATCTCAATCATCACAGACTTTCCTGACAGTGAAATTTACCTGTATTACTTTAAGACATCTTTTAAAGAGACATTAACAATCCCATGTTCTTAGAAATTTGCAACAGGCAAATTGTAGGGAAAAGCAAGGAGACGTAAATACAGGTTTCTGGAATATACTTATCCTTTTTATTGATTTTGTTGGTTACAACTCCACATAAACACAATACCAAAAATAAGTCAAAGCCAAGTCCGATAACTCTTTTTTACACAAGTATAGTTGATTTTTTAAGTGCACAGAATGTTGCCCTAGTCCTGGATATAGTTTGTTTCCAAGTAAGATGGTTGCTCCCATTTCTCAGACTGGCAAATGAACTTTTTTTTTTTTTTTTTTTTGAGGCAGGGTCTCACTATGTCGCCCAGGCTGGAGAGCAGTGGCACCATCACAGCTCATTGCAGCCCCAAAGTCCTGTCCTCCACCTCTGGAGTAGCTGGAACTACAGGCGCATACCACCAAGTACAGCTAATTTTTGTATTTTTTGTAGAGATGAGGTCTCACCATGTTGCACATGGCTGGTCTTGAACTCCTGGGCTCAAGCAATCTGCCCACCTGGGTCTCCCAAAGTGCTGAGATGACAGGCATGAGCCACCATGCCCAGCCTACATTTGATCTTTTAATTTTTTTTTTTTTTTTTTGAGACAGGGTCTCACTGTGTCACTCAAGCTGGAGTGCAGTGGCATGATCACAGTACACTGCGGCCTCAACCTCGTGGGCTCAAGCAATCCTCCCATCTTGGCCTCCCAAGTAGTGGGGACAAAAGAGTGCACCCAGCTAATTTTTCTTTTATTATCTGTAGAGGCAGGGTCTCCCTATGTTGCCCTGGCTGGTCTCGAACTTCTGGGCTCAAGTGACCCTCCCGCCTCCCAAAGCACTGTGATTATAGGAGTGAGCCACAGTGCCCAGTTTTATCTTTTAATCATTTGCACAGGCAACCTCATTCTGGGACAAATTCAGTGACTATTGCCAAATCCCACAAGAAGCCCTCACAGAGCAGGCTCTTCTCAGCCCCTCCTGAGTCCCTCCTGAGCCACTCCCTCTACCTCGTCAGTGGCTGCTTAACCTAGATCAAGCTCAGGTGGAAAATTAAAGGTGGGGAGCAGTGTACTCCTTGGCTTCTATAATATTAATAAAACAGCCCTTTTATTCTCTAAACAGGATACAGCCGAAAACAGTTTCAGTGACCACCACCCAACATCTAACAGAGGTCAACTCTGAACCAAAGCAAACCAAGGGCTAATTTCTGGGCACCAAGTGCTTTAGAGGGAACTTCAGATGCCCTAAATTTTTCCCATAAGCTCCGGGTTATGGAATGTGACCACATGAAATGTAACCCAGGATGACAGTATTAACTACAATTGTTTAAATCTCTTAATTCAGAATGTACGCATATTGCAATCTTCAACCTGCCTAGAAATGGCATTTCATTGTCCCACATGCTGAATGGAAATCAAGATTTAAAAAGAACAAACAACGTGTCACTGTAAAAGCAAAGTGTTAAAGCAACAGCCCAGTAGCAATGTAATCCCAGCACTCTGGGAGGCCGAGGTGGGCAGAGCACCTGAGGTCAGGAGTTCAAGACCACCCTGGCCAACATGGCGGCACTCCGTCTCCACAAAATTACAAAAATTAGCTAGGCATAGTGGCACGTGCCTGTAGACTCAGCTACTCAGGAGGCTGAGGCAGGAGAATCGCTTGAACCTGGGAAGTAGAGGTTGCAATGAGCTAGGATCTCACTACTGCACTCCAGCCTGGGTGACAGAGTGAGACTCCATCTCAAAAAAAGAAAAGAAGTCTCCAGGAAAAGGCAGGGAGACAAGGGAGTAGGAGAGGCTCCTGAGTAACTACTCTAGGGCATTTTAAGTGATCTCACGTGAATGCCAAGGAAGTTACTTTCAATCAGCACACAGGTGTATAACTGATTCTACTCTGTTAACTTGGGAGCTGTTTAGAATAGAAAGGCAAATCTGAAAGGGCTGTTTGTTTTGCTGCATTAAATCATCAGCATTCGCTGGATCGCTTCATGTAAACAACAACATAATCTTTTATTCAGTGAAAACAGGTCCATAATTAATGGGAGATACTCAAAGCTTCACTATGGAATAGTCACTTTTCCCACATCAGCCAACCCTTCCTATGACCTTTCTTCTTTCAGCAACAACAGCAACTTCCCCTATTTCCAAAAGGCCCTGTTTATGCCTATCTTTATTAGTGTTTTAAGTCCATCAACCCTCAAATGTGAACACTGTTTAGAAGGAAACATCAAAGATTTTATTCCATAACTGTGTCAAAGGAACCCAGTTTAGAGACTGGGTAAAGATTCTTCATTTTCAAACATGATACATGAGGGAGAGGGAAAAAAAACCTGTACAATCTCACACCCTGTAAAGAGAAAGATTGCTGATTTCCAAATATTACTTTTGCCTTTTCCTAAGGCCATAACGGATGCCCATCAGAACTAAAGCCCGCACATGCAAATAAAATAAGAGACAGCTTAGAGGGAGATTCATGATTCACCCGACATTAATCATGGAGCCTCCAATTCTGACACATCCAAGGTACACAGCTGAGCTTATCCATCTGAACTGTTTCCAATGGCAGCATCCTAGATATAATGTAATTACAATACAAAACATATCAAAACCAGAGTTTCACTCTGAGGGCCGAAAGACAAAAATCAATTAAAAAAAAAATCTGCTGAGCTTGAGAATGTAAACTAGATAAAAGGTTAACACTCTGAAGTAACATATTTTATACTGTGTCAGAGGCAATTAAATTCCCAGTGATTGGAGATATGTATCAGAGTTTGAATGAACTATGTGTAGGATTTGCTTTAAAATAATAAGGTGTTGGGGAGGAAGAGATGAGAGAAGATTGAGTTGTGAGTGTTGAAGTTGGGTGGGGGATCCATTATATTTTGCTATTTTTGTAAACGTTTCTACAGTGCTTTATAAAGATGTATATAGCAATGTAATATGCCTAATATCATGTTTGGTAACACTCTTAGCTTTGCACTTGGAAAGCATCACTTGAAGCATTATTAACCCTGAATGGATCCCAAACCTGCCACACTGCTGTTCAAAGACTAAAATCCACTGTTTCCAATCCACTGGGAAAAAGCTCATGCCAGGGCTGTGTTTCCAAAACCCTGCCCAAACTACAGCTAACCCATATCCTGAACAGGAGCTGAGAACTCAAATGCAACTGAAGAGTTATGCTGAGTTATGATTCTGAGAGGAAACACAAAAATACTAAATAAAAAGGGATTTTGGCTAAGACCTCACAAGGACGACCCTACTCCAAAACAGAAGCATTTTTATCCCTCATGTCAAACAGATAAGCGCTTTCGAGGTCATAGCAGGCAAGAAGTAGGGGTCCCAAGGCTAACTCCAGCCCCCAGCGGGTTTCGAGAAAGCCAGGAGCAGCATCGCCAGGCCGAGGCCGCCGCCTCGCGCCAAGGCGCGTCTGCAGCCCCAGAGCCTGGGAACCCGGGCACGCGCGCCCCATCCCTGAGGCGTGGAGGTGGCCGAGGCCGACCAGTGTGGAGGTGGCAGGAGCCCCACCAGTGGCTCGGGGGCGCCCCCTGAGGTCCAGCGGCGTCGCGGCAACCTCGGAAAACGAAAAGCCAGCGTCTCCCAGAGCTCTGATATTTTAACTTTACCTTGCTCCAAAGCCTGCTGCTCCCTCTCGGGCTGCACTTTTCCAAACCAAACCGCCCTCTTCCCTGCGCCTCCCACCACTGTCCTTTCCCTTTCCCACACCCCTCGGCTCCCGGACCAGGAAAGGGGCTATTTACCTCGCAGCGTGGGCGCGAAAAGAAAATGAGAAGACGAAAATGGTCCAAGCCCCACGAAGGCTGGTTCCCTGGCAGTCCCATTTTGGATCTCAAGCTTCCTCACACACCAGGGAAAAGAAAACCACGGTCAGCCCACTGACTGCATCCCCGAGCGCAAGAAGGACAGAAGTGGAATTGGAAATTCCTCTAATTTGCAAGGCAGCCCTCCACGACCTCCCACTGCACCCATTAAAGAGTGGCCCTCACAAAGCTCAACCCCTGTGTGCACCTGAGCCCGCTCAGTCGTCAAGTCCGTGGTAAAGCAGGGGAGACTAGAAAGGAGAGATGATTAACCCAAATACTGAGCAGTGATCTTTTAGTGAATGAAGGCAGCTGTTTCTAAGGGGAGATGTCCCCATGGCCTACACTACCGTAGAGGCCGTAGAGGCAGGACTCCAGTGGGCAAACCCCAGGCCCCAGTGTCCTACCGTAGAGGCAGGACTCCAGTGGGCAAACCCCAGGGTGAGTGTGGACGCACGTCCTAGCTCGGCCTCCGAGCTGCGTTTCTGGGCTGGAGCTCCGTGCCGCTCCGCGGGCAGGAGGATGCGCAGAGAGAAAAGGGGGTGCAGAATACCAGACGGTGTTTTCCCTTTCTGCCCCTCGAGGCCATCCCCGATTCTGCAAAGGGGGCATTCGCTGCCAGTCCCCCGAGGGGATCCCCAAGGGCGACGAGGGCTCCCGCGCGCCCTGCTCCGGGTCGCACGACGGGACTAAGGGACCCGCTGCACCAAAAACGGGCGCTCCAGCCGCCCGAGGACAGGCGTCTGTAACCAGGCAGAGCGGAGACCTCGGGGCACATTCCTCTTTTTCTTGATTCAGATAACCTCCACCTCCGGGTATGCAGGAGTTGATGGATGAGAGGGCAGAAAAACGGGGAATTCTCTGTCCTTAGGGGAGCGAGGGATGAAAAGCAAATCACCCCTTCTTCCAGCCCTTCCCCGGGCTAGGGCAGGACTTGGCCTCCACCCCAAGGGACAGCTACGAGGGAGCTCGGGGCTGCTGCCCGGGGGACCTGCAAGAGAGGAGAGGGAGGCAGCTGGCCTCTGCCCTCCCCAGGGGAGAGAGGAGGGGGAACTGCCAGCTGAGAGCTGGAAGTGGAGGGTCGCCGAGCCGCACACCGTTACGTGCGGTGATTTATTCTTATCAACGGCCAGTATTGTTCCTGTCTTAACCTGGCCAGAAAGGAGCGAGACTGGGTCTGCCAGCCGCGAACAGCCTGCAAAAGGGCAAAGATGAAGGTAGGCAGGGCGCGCGAGACAGGAAAAAAATCAGCCCCGGCGCGAACAGCAACCCGGCCGCCGAAACCGCCCCGGCCGCCGAAACCGCCCCCGCCCCCTCCCCGCGTCCAGACCCAGGCAATCCAATCGAGCAGAGCAGCGGAGGGAAAGGGCCACGGGCCGGGGCTAGGGGAGACACGGATCTCTCCGAAACCGCCTGCGCCCTGCCGTCTCACTGCGCCCAAGGAGGCTGCCTCACGCCGGCACCGAAGTGCTGCCCGCGCCCCAGCCCCCAGAGAGAGGGAGGACGCCCCCGACCCAGAACGCAGGCTGCTCCCCACACATCCTCAGTCCTCCGCAGCCAGCCTCCGACTTCCATTCCCCGAAACCTAGCCCTCCCAAAGGGATGGAGAACAGCAAAGCAAACCCCCACCTTCTGAGTTCCTTCAATACCCGCCAGAGCGAGGGGGCTCATCCCGGGCCCCCCAAACCCACAGAAGCATCCTTTCCATGGCCTCAGTCTCCCCAACCGCCCCACAACTCGAGTTCTCCCGATCGGCGACGAGTCAGCAAAGCAAGTCCCCCTTTCTCCCGATTCCAGCTCCCCAGGACCCCCAAAAGGGAGCGGGAGCAGACCCCCGCGTCCCCCAGCCCCCTCCCCGGCCAGCCCCTGCCTCCACCTTCCTCGACCACTAGCCTGCCTCCCTAAACATCATCCAAGCCAGCGGAGCAATCCTTTTCTCCTATCCGGGCGCCGGGCCACCCTCCACCCTCTCCAGGGTCTCCCGGACGGGCGCCGGAGCTCCGCGCCCAGGCGACAACTCCGCATCCCCAACGCGCGCCGGCCGGGGCCGCATCCCCTCGGCGGCCGGCACTCACCGGGGAAGCACACGACATAATGGAGCACGGAACTGGTGATTTTCAGGAACAAAATCCACCAACACGGTTCCAGTAACCTCCGCATGTCCGAAAACGCACATCGAAAAGAGGAAAGCAGGGAGGTAAACTTGTTGAATAAGTTCTTGCCTCCGTGCGAGCCTCCGCTAAGCCGGGGCGCTTCCCCGGCTCGCCCGCTCCACGGGCCCCCCGCGCTCGGCGGCCCGAGTCCCCTTGGAATCCGGGAAGCCGCCGAGCGCCCCCCGGAAAATCTCAAAAAGTGACCGGGAACGCAGAGCCACGCTGGGGACGATCCTCTCGGCGGAGAAAGGCTGCTTTCCGTTTAAAAAGGAGAGAGCCGATCGGGCAGGGCGCGGAGTCGGCGGCCGGCGGCGATGCCCCGGGCCTGGGGCAGGCAGGGACCGCGGGCGGCGGCGGCGAGCAGCCGAGGATCCCCAACTTGAGTCGGCAGCGCAGCACAGCCCGAGAGCCGGCGGGCGGCGGCGGGGCTGAGCGCGGCGCGGCGTCTCCGGGCTTCAGGCAGGCAGCTCCTTCCAGGGCCCCGGGAAGGAAGGAGGCATGTTTGCGAGAGGGGAAGGGGAGGGGAGAGGCAGGGGGAGCGGAGAGCCCCCCAAAATAGAAACGGCCGGAGGAAACGGAGGAAAACACAAAGGATCTCAGAGGGGCGCTGGGGCGAGGGCGCCTTCAGTCCATGCTCCTGAAAGTTGTGGCTCCGGCGCAGGCTGGGAAGGAACGAAGAGCGCGGGGCTGGAAACTGGCCATGCCTCCATACAGGAAGTAACATGTGAGCATGGATCCTGGCAGAGACTTTAAAGCCGGCGAGCGAAGGAGCGAGCGAACAGGGGGCGCGCGGTGGCGGCGGGGGCGCGCAGCCCGGGCCAGCTGGCGGCGGGCGCGCGCTCTCCGCGTTCTTAAAGCAGCCGCGCTTGGCTCCCGCCTTGCGCTGGGTCCCTCGGCTCTGCTCTCTCCGCGCGGCCTCTACTGGGACAGTTTGGGGACTGGGGGCGATTGTAGCCCGTGCGCGGAGAGAGGAGGGAGGCTGCCTTCTGGGGCCGGCTTGTTTTTTGCTGGATTCCCGTTGTTCGAGCTCTTAAAAGACGCCGCACGGTGCTCGGGTTTGGCGAGATCCTCCGCGCAGCTCGCGGATCCCGGACTTGAGGGGCCCCTCGCCCTGGCGAGGGGAAAGGGGGAGGGCGGACAGCTGCCTTTTTAAAGCGATGGGGTTTTCTGTTCGGCTTCACTGCCCTGGCATTTGCAGCGGTGAGGCTCACCGTCTGCGGCTCCTGTTCGCGCCTCCAACACAGCGCATTCCCCCGCCGGGAAACAAAGCCGAGCGGCCTTTGCACTCCGGCTACATTGAGATTTAATTTTTTTTTTTTTTCTTTTTCGGGCTTTCATTGGCCCAGTCCAAGGCTGGGGAAAGTGGGGGAGGGGAGGAATGTCGATCCCAGGATTGCGAAATCTAGCCCTTCCGAGCCCCGCATCCCCTTTCCCGGCGCCACGATGGATCGGTGGCGGAGTTTCCCCAACTCGCAGCTTCTCTGGAGAAGGTTCCCGCACCCCGGTTTGGCCGCGGGGAGGGCGCAGGAAGTGCGCCTCTTACACCCTGCAGGGTGAAAGCAGCGCCGCGGGGCCGGACTGATTTCCTGGCAGCTACCCGGGGAGCGGCTGCTTCTTTAGCAATCGGGGAGAGGCGTCCGGGGGAAATGGGAGGACTAGGCTTATCTGTAATGAGTTTTGTCCCTTGGCTCTCGGTAAGAAGATCTTTATCGCTTAGACTTCTAAGCGCCCTATTTTACATTCTTAACGCTGGGGCTAAAAGTGGGGGAGGCGGGCTTTCGAGTAAATGTGTAACTGAGCCAAGGTAATTAGCCGTTTGACATTTTTTGCCTAATTTTTCTGCCTGTGTTTCAAAGCGATCTTGACGTGGGATTGTTTTGTTTTGTTTTGAGACGGAGTCTCGCTCCGTCGCCCAGGCTGGAGTACAGTGGCTCGATTTCGGCTCACTACAACCTTCGCCTCCCGGGTTCGGGCGATTCTCCTGCCTCAGCCTCCCGAGTAGCTGGGACTACAGGCGCCCGCCACCACGCCCGGCTGATTATTTTTTTGGTGGTTTTTTTTGTTTGTTTTTTGTTTTATTTTGGTTTTTTTTGTAGAGGCGGGGTTTCACCGTTTTGGCAAGGCTGGTCTCGAACTCCTGACCTTGTGATCCGCCTGCCTCAGCCTCCCAAAGTGCTGAGATTACAGGCGTGAGCCACCGCGCATGGTTCTTGTGTTTTAAACGTGTCCCTGCTGTTTCATCCCAACACGGCAGGGTCCTCCACCCACCCAAACATCCCAACCGGATGCTAGGTTTTCAAATAAAGTACAGATGGTCGGAGATCCTCCCGTTCGATGTGATTAAGGAAGCATTTTCACACCCACACTTCCAAAAGAAAAACCTTTGAAAAGTTACGTATGGGATTACAAACTAATAAAAGCCAGGAAGTTCCTGGGGAGGGCCCTAGCTCTATCTTTAGCAGAACGGGGGTGAACACCCTCCCCCAGGGTGGGGAATGAGGCGAGTTTGTTTGCTTTGGAATGTGGTCCTTCCTGGTTTTATTGGAATCCTGACTTCTTTATAAAGGATTGCGAGGGCCATTTTTCTTGGAAGTGTTGTAATGAGGGATATTCGTTCCTCAAGTTAGATTACCCCAGCATCCCTGACTACCTTCTTAATGTCGAGTGATAAAATAGGAAAAACTCGTCAAATACTTGTGTCAGCGTCCTCAGGTGAGGTTTCCTCCTCTGTGAAATGGACAGTAAAAGCTGTCCTTTGTGGAATGCTTACTGTCTACCAGGCATTGTGCTGAATTCATGCCATAAACTGCTTGCTCATTCAACAAATGTATTGAGCACCTACTGTTTGAGGGACACACTGGGAACACAGCCTCGAACAAAAAGGGCAAGCCCCCATGCCTTATGGGAGCATACCTTCCTAAGTCCATGCTCCGTTCTCTCATGGAGTTCTTAAAATACTGCCAGCTGTGAGAATTATTTTCCCCATTTAATAGACAAGGAAACATGCTCAGAAGAGTACAATGATGGATCCTCAGCTAGTGGGCAGCAGAGCTGAGATTCTCAACCCAGGCCTGTTTGCCTCCACAGCTGTGATTCAAGGCAACAGAATAATGGCTTGAGAAGGCACCAAAATGTGGAATGTAAAAAAAGAGCTTCAGAGTCGGGGAAAACCTCATATGGGTTTGCAGAGTGAATTACCACTACCTTAGTAGTGTAGGAGGCCCCATGCTAAAACTTCACATCCAATTCGGTATGGACTGGTGACTGTCCTAGGACCCCAGGCTGAAGGTTACCCCCAAACTACCCTTGGAAGCACAATCCAGGCCCCACCAGTTCCTACAAAAGATAAAATTTTGCAAACATACATCACAGATGCCTTTTCATTTATTCTGCAACCAATTACAGAGCGATTCATATATAATAGACACTTTCAAGTGCTAGTCACACAATAATGACCTAGCAGTAGCCCTGCCATGCTCCTACCTGGTAATTACAATCCTAACCCAGGTGATATGGGAGCTCTATGATAACAGTGAGCAAGTTGGTGTGAAAAGCCCTGGGAGTGCCAAAGGAGGGAGAGCCTAGCTACCCTGATGGAAGATAAAAAGGCTACAAAGAGAAGATGCTGACGTTAGTAACAAATGACCCTCAAATTTAGCAGCTTAAAAAAATATATACTCATTGCCTGTCACTTTTAGAGGTGAGAAGCTGGGGCACAGTATGGCTGGGTCCTCTGCTCAAGGGCTCATCAGGCTGAAATCAAGGGATGGGCCAGGCTTTCTCATCTGGAGCTTGGGCTCCTCCTTCAAGCACATTCAGGTTATTGACAGAATTCAGATCCTTGTGGTTGTAGGACTGAGATTACTATTTTCTTGATGGCTGTTGGCCAAGGGCTGCTTTCAACTAGTGGTCTAAGCCACACGGCGCCCTCACAACATGGCAGCTTACTCCTTGAAAGTCAGCAGGAGAATCCTCCTACAGGAGTCTAGAGAGTGACCGTTTCATCACTTTTGTCATATAATGTAACCTAGTCAAGGGAGTGGCTATCCTGTCATGTTCACAGGTCCCACCCACTTTCAAGAAGAAGGAATTATATGCCAAGGGTTGGGGATCTTGGGGACCATGTTAGAATCCTGCCTACCATAGTGCTGGTGACCTATTTTGAATATAGACTGGAGGTTAAAGGCAGTAGCTTTCAAGCCAGTCTAGTTAGATTCTGATGCTACTCATATATGCATGACCATAGGCAACTTAATCACTTTATGCCTTGGCTTCCTCATTTGTAAAGTAGGAATACTATAATAACCATACATCTTCCTAAATAGAGAAGAATAAGAGGAATTAATATACATAAACTATTCAGATCAGTGCTGGGAACCTAATAAGCATTTAATAAGTATAAGCTATTACTGTTATCTGTTTACCCAGCCTATGTAATAAGAAGTGAACATCTGTTATTTTCTACCTGCTCAGCGTCCATTTCTTTTCTTCTAGTAATAGTGTCCCAGTTTTCCTTTGTGCCAGTCTCCCCAGATGGTCTTGGTGAGCCTAACCCTTTCTTCCCCTATCCCTACCTCCACCTCTCCACTTCACTGGGTTAGGTGGACACGTGCCCTAGTCCTGACCAAATGGAGCATTTCATCCCTCTGACCAGACTGGTCTAGGGATGGGCACATATTTCTAGTAGGTCCAATGAAAGTCAAACTTCCTTTTAGGTTTGCCAGGCCAGATCAACTTAAACCTCATACTGCAAGGAGGGCCCTCACTTGGGGCAAGCCCATCTGAGAATCTGACACAAGAAGAAAAAAAGAATACAGAGGTGGGGGCCAACAAATCCCTGATACCTTCATTTGAGTCCTTGAATCAAGTCATACCTGAAGCCAAACCAACTCCTTGACTTGTCAGTTACTTGAGCTAATAATTTCCTCTTATTCCTATCCCTTACGTTTTTATTCATTAAAACTGAAAACCTGAAACCTGGAACCAGTGGTGACAGATGAGTAAAATATCTACATTTTACAAAAAAGGAAGCAGGGGCTGTTAGAATTAAGTGATTTAGTTGAGGCAATTCAGACTGTAAACAACAGAAGACTCAAGCTTTTAACATTCTTCTGTATCAATCATTTATTGTTGTGTAACAAATCACTTCAAAACGTAGTAGCTTAAAACAGTAGGACAGAAGTTTGGGGTGGGCTCAGCTGAGTAGTTCTTCTGTTGGTTCTGTGTGAGGTCACTCATGCATCTATAGCACCAGAATCCAGATGCTCAGCTGGGGCTTCGTAGTCTAAGATTCCCTGACTCAAATGCCTGGCAATTCGTGCTGGCTGTTGGTTGGAGCATCTCAGACCTCACCCACTAATCTCTATAGCAGCCTGTCTCAGACTTATTTACAAAAAGATCTCAGGTAGGAGAGTGAGAGTGAAAATTGCAAGGCACCTGGAGACCTAGACTTAGTAGTTGTGTGAAATTACTTCCATTTCATTTGACTGGTCAAAGCAAGACAAGGCCAGGGCAGATTCAAGAGGAGGTGGAAATGGACTCCAGTTCTTGATGGGAGAAGCAGCAAAGTCAGGAAGCAAAAGGACATGAATAGAAAGGTAGGAGGAAATTTGTGGCCTTCTATACAAACAATCTACTTCATCTACTGTTAAAAGTGAGTAGTGCCTGTTATGGGTTGAATTATTGTGAAGTAATGTTGAAAGAAGGTATCTAACCCTTAGAAGCTCAGGATGTGAACTTATTTGGACATATGGTCATTCCAGAGGTAATGTAGTTAAAATGAGGTCCTTAGTGTGGGTCCTAATCGAATATGACTGGTGTCTTCATAGAAAAGGGAAGTTTGGGCACAGACACAGACAAGCACACAGGAAAGATGAGGGGAAGACACAGGAAGAAGACAGCCATGTGATTGGAGTGATGCATCTACAAGCCAAGGAACACCAAGTATTGCCAGCAAACACCAAAAGCTAGGAAGAGGCAAAAACTTCCCTTACAGATTTCAGAGGGAGCATAACCCTGATGACACCTTCATTTTAGATTTCTAGCCACCAGAATTGTGAGACATTGAATTCCTGTTGTTTTAAGCCATTTAGTTGGATGTACTTAGTTACATCAGCCCTAGGAAATAAATACAAAGCCCATTTACCTTTTACCCTTCGTTTGTTTTCATGTATAGACAAAACACATTTGTGACTGGGCTTTCAACTTCTCAAGTGAATGTTTGTACAACAACAACAAAACCCATTGTAATCATCCTAACTTTAAATTTTGAGGCAATGTTTATTTTAAAGAACTTAAGACTTAGCAAAGCCTATTTATTCTGAAAATATATATAACCATAGAAAATCTCTTAAGTCCCCTAATAATAACTTTTGTCATTACAAAAAGCCCTATATTCAGTGGCTGAAAGAAAATGAACATGCAGTGGCATTTTTTTTTTTTTTGAAACAGAGTCTTGCTCTGTTGCCCAGGCTGGAGTACAGTGGCACAATCTCAGTTCAATGCAACCTCCACCTCCTGGATTCAAGCAGTTCTCCTGCCTTAGCCTCCTGAGTAGCTGGGACTACAGGCGTGCACCACCACGCCCAGCTAATTTTTTGTATTTTTAGTAGAGATGGGGTTTCGCCATGATGGCTAGGCTGGTCTCAAACTCCTGGCCTCAAGTGATCTGCCTGCCTCCGCCTCCCAAAGTGCTGGGATTACAGGCGTGAGCCACTGCACCCGGCCATATAGTGGTGTTTTAATACACTATTTAACAAGTAGGATTAAGTTTGGGTGTGGTGGCTTATGCCTGTCATCCCAACATTTTGGGAGGCCAAGATGGGGGGATCACTTGAGCCCAGGAGTTCAAGACCAGCCTGAGCAACATAGTGAGACCCCAGTCTCTTAAAAAAAAAATTAGCCAAGCTTAGTGGTGTGTGGCTATACTCCCAGCTACTCAGGAGTCTGAGGTGAGAGGATCTCTTGAGCCTGGGAAATTGAGGCTACAGTGAGCTGTAATTGCAGCACTGCACTGCAGGCTGGGTGACAGAGCTAGACGCTGTCTAAAAAAAAAGGATTAAATAGTCATAGCAAATATGACTGGTAAGGCTCTTTTACATTAAAGATAGATTAAAGAAAACTACATGATCCTATCAATTAAAGCAGAAAAGGTATGTGACAAAATTCAACATTCATTCATGATAAAAACTCTCGGTTAACTAGGAAGAGAGGAGGTTCCTTAACATAATAAAGGACATCTATTAAAAAAAAACCCATAGCTAAACTTATACAAGTCTGAATTCTTTGCTTCCAAAACTGGAAACAAGGCAAGGATATTCATTTTCACCACTCTTTTTTTTTTTTTTCCTCACTCAGGGTAAATAATACATTCTCAGCACTCTTATTCAACATTATTCTGGAAATTCTAGCCAGTACAATAAGACAACAAAACAAACAAAAAAAACCGTATATATTAGAAAGCAAGAAATAAAACTGCCCCTATACAGATGACATGATTATCTGCATAGTTCCCAGTGAGTTTAGCAAGGTTGTAGGATGCAAGGTCAACCTACAACAATTATTTTTGTGTCTATATATGAGCAGCAAAAGATTGAAAACTAAAATTCAAAAAAACTCATTTACGATAAACTCCCCAAAATGAAATACTTTAGTATAAACCTAGCAACATATGTGTAGGATTAGTATGTAGAAAACTATAAGCTGCTCATGAAATAAGTCAAATAAAAACTAATTAAATGAGAAATATACTATATTCATGGGTTGGATGACATTATAGTCAAATATACATTTTCAATAAATCTATGCATTTGTGCATTTCCACTTTTTGTAGATACAGACAAGGTGATAATAAATTTATATAGAAAAGCAAAGGAACTAGACTAGCAAAGCAATTATGAAAAAGAAGTTAGAAGCCTCACATTACTTGACTGTAAGACTTACTATAAAGGTTCATTAATCAAGCCAATATGGTATTGGTGGAGTTATAGATACATGAAATAATGAAATAAAATAGAGAACCCACAAATAGGCCCACATAATATTGCCAATTGATTTTTACAAAGATGCAAAGGCAATTTCATATAGTGAGGATAGTTTTTTTCAACAAAACATATTAGAACAATTGGACATCCATATGCAAAAAAAAAAAAATCCTCAGCCTATACCTCACATCTTATGGCAAAAATTTTTTTTTTTTTTTTGAGACGGAGTCTTGCTCTGTCACCCAGGCTGGAGTGCAGTGGCGTGATCTTGGCTCACTGGAAGCGCTGCCTCCCGGGTTCATGCCATTCTGCTGCCTCAGCCTCCCGAGTAGGTGGGACTACAGGCGCCCACCACCACGCCCGGCTAATTTTTTTGTATTTTTAGTAGAGACGGGGTTTCACTGTGTTATCCAGGATGGTCTCAATCTCCAGACCTCGTGATCCGCCCGTCTCGGCCTCCCAAAGTGCTGGGATTACAGGCGTGAGCCACCGCGCCCGGCCAGCAAAATTAACTAAAATAGAATATAAGTTTAAATGTAAAACATAAAACTACAAAAAATTTAGAAGTCGTAGGAGAAAATCTTTATGTCATTGAGTTAGCAAAGAGTTCTCCAATAAGACACCAAAAGCACAATCCATAAAAGAAAAAAATGATAAATATAACTTCATCAAAATAGGATGGGTATGGGGGCTCACACCTGTAATCCCAGAACTTTGGGAGGCAGAAGCAGGTGGATCACTTGAGTTCAGAAGTTCGAGACCAGCCTGACCAACATGGTGAAACCCCGCCATCTCTACTAAAAATACAAAATTTAGTTGGGCATGGTGGCATGCACTTGTAATCTCAGCTACTCAAGAGGTTAAGGCACAAGAATCACTTGAACCTGGGAGGCAGAGGTTGCAGTGAGCTGAGATGGTGTGACTGCACTCCAGCCTGGGTGACAGACTAAGACTTTGTCTCAAAAAGAGAGAAAAAAACAAAAAAAAAACTCTGAAAGAGCACAAATTGACAAACAAATGTCACAATTTAAGGAACTAGACGAAAAAAGAACAAACCAAACCCAAAGCCAGCAGAAAAGAAATAACAAAGATCAGAGCAGAACTAAATGAAATTGAAACAAACAAACAAAAACACAAAAGATAATAAAACAAAAAGCTGGTTCTTTGAAAAGATAAACAAAATTGATAGACCATTAGCAACATTAACTTAAAAAACAAGAGAGAAGATCCAAACAAGCTCAATTAGGAATGAAACTGGAGGCAAGGCATGGTGGCTCAGGCCTGTAATCCCAGCAGTTTGGGAGGCCGAGGTGGGTGGGCCACCTGAGGTCAGGAGTTCAAGCCTGGCCAACATGGTGAAACCCCGTCTCTATTAAACATACAAAAATTAGCTGGACGTGGTGGCTCATGGCTGTAATCCCAGCTACTTGGCAGGCTGAGACAGGAGAATCGCTTGAACCTGGGAGGCGGAGGTGGCAGTGAGCTGAGATCGCGCCATTGCACTCTAGCCTGGGCAACAAGAGCGAAACTCCATCTTAAATAAATAAGTAAATAAATGAAACTGGAAATATTGCCAACAATACCACAGAAATACAAAAGATCATTCAAGGCTACTAAGTCCACCTTTACATGCACAAACTAGAAAATCTAGAGAAGAAGTATAAATTCCTGGTAACATACAACCCTCCTAGATTAAATCAGGAAGAAATAGAAATTTTGAGCAGAGCAATAACAAACAATGAAATTGAATCGGTAATAAACAAATTGCCAACAAAAAAAGTCCAAGAACAGATGGATTCACAGCTGAATTCCATCAGATATTCAAAGAAGAATTAGTGCCAATCATACTGAAACTATTTCAAAAGGTAGAGAAAGAGGGAATTCTCCCTAAATCATTCTATGGAGCCACTCATCACCCTAATACCAAGATGAGGAAAGGACATTAAAAAAAAAAAAGAAAAGAAAACCCATATCCCTGATGAACATAGATGCAAAAATCCTCAAGAAAATTCTAGCTAACTGAATCCAACAGCAAATCCGAAAAATAATACATTATGATTGAGCAGGTTTCATCCCAGAGATGCAGGGGTTGTTTAATATACGCAAATCAACAAATGTGATATATCACATAAACAGAATTAAAAACAAAAACCATATGATCATCTCAATAGACAACAGGAAAAGCATTTGATAAAATCCAGCATCCCTTTATGATAAAAACCCTCAACAAAATAGACATAAAAGGGACTTACCTCAAAGTAATAAAAGCCATATTTGACAAACCCATAGGCAACATACTGAATGGGGAAAAGTTGAAAGCATTCCCCCTGAGAACTGGGACAAGACAAGGATGTCGACTTTCACCACTTCTATTCAACATAGTACTGGAAGTCTTAGCCAGAGCAATCAGGCAAAAGAAAGAAAGAAAGGGAATCCAAATTGGAAAAGAGGAAGTCAAACTGTCACTGTTCACTGATGATATGATCATATACGTAGAAAACTCTAAGGACTCATCCAAAAGGTTCCTAAAGTCAAGCCTCAGATTACAAAATCGATGCACACAAATCAGTAGCACTGCTACACACCAACAATGACCAAGTTGAGAATCAAATTAAGAACTCAATCCTTTTTACAACAGCTGCAAAAAAGTAAAAATAAAATACCTAGGAATATATTTAACCAAGGAGGTGAAAGTTCTCTACAAGGGAAACTACAAAACACTGCTGAAAGAAATCACAGATGACACAAACAAATGGAAATAGAGTCCATGCTCATGGATGGGAAGAATCAATATTGTGAAAATGACCATACTGCTCAAAGCAGTCTACAGATTCAATGCAATTCCCATCAAAATACCATCATCATTTTTCACAGAACTAGAAAAAAATCCTAAAATTAATACGAAATCAAAAAAGAGCCCACATAGCCAAAGCAATACTAAGCAAAAAGAACAAATCTGGAGGTATTACATTACTGGACTTCAAATTATGCTACAAGGCTATAGTTACCAAAACAGCATGGTACTGGTATAAAAATAGGCACTTACACTAATGGAACAGAATAGGGAATGCAGAAATAAAGCCAAATACTTACAGCCAACTGATCTTCCACAAAGCATACAAAAACATAAATTGGTGAAAGGACACCCTATTCAATAAATGGTACTATGAAAACTGGCAAGCCACGTGTAAAAGAATGAAACTGGATCACCATCTCTCACCTTATACAAAAATCAACTTAAGATGGATTAAAGACTTGAATCTAAGACCTGAAACCATAAAAATTCTAGAATATAACATTGGAGAAACTCTTCTGGACATTGACTTAGGCAAAGACTTTATGACTAAGAACCCAAAAAACAGGCCAGGCATGGTGGCTCACGCCTGTAATCCTAACACTTTGGGAGGCCGAGGCAGGTGGAATACGAGGTCAGGAGTTCAAGACCAGCCTAGCCAACATGGTGAAACCCCGTCTCTACTAAAAGTACAAAAATTAGCTGGGCATGGTGACGCACGTCTGTAATCCCAGCTACTCAGGAGGCTGAGGCAGGAGAATCGCTTGAACCCGGAAGGCAGAGGTTGCAGTGAGCCAAGATCGCACCATTGCATTCCAGCCTGGGTGACAAAGCAAGACTCCATCTCAAACAAAACAAAACAAAAAAACAAACAAATGCAATGCAACCAAAAATAAATGAATGAGACCTAATTAAACTAACGAAAAAGCTTCTGTACAACAAAAGAAAGAATCAGCAGAGTAAACAGACAACCCATAGAGTGGAAGAAAATATTTGCAAACTATGCTTCTGACAAAGGACTAGTGTCCAGAATCTACAAGGAACCTAAACAAATCAGCAAGAAAAAAACAAATAATCCCATGAAAAAGTGGGCAAAGGACAGGAAAAGATATTTCTCAGAAGATATACAAACAGCCAAGAAACATGTGAAAAAATGCTTAACTAATCATCAGGGTAAAACCACAATGAGATACCACCTTACTCTTGCAAGAATGGCCATAATTGCTAATTTTTTTTAAATTTTATTATTATTATTTTTGGAGTCTCACTCTGTCGCCCAGGCTGGAGTGCAGTGCAGTGGCGCCATCTCAGCTCACTGCAACCTCTGCCCCCCAGGTTCAAGCAATTCTCCTATCTCAGCCTCCCGAGTAGCTGGGACTACAGGCACACGCCCCCATGTCCGGATAATTTTTTGTATTTTTAGTAGAGATGGGGTTTCACCATGTTGGCCAGGCTGGTCTCAAACTCCTGAGCTCAGGCAACCCGCCCACCTTGGCCTCCCAAAGTGCTAGGATTACAGGCGTGAGACACAGCGCCCGGCCAAGAATAGCCATAATTAAAGTCAAAAAACCATAAATGGTGGCATGGATATGGTGAAAAAGGAACACATTTACACGGCTGGTGGGAATGTAAATTAGTACAACCACTATGGAAAACAGTACAGAGATTCCTTTAAAAACTAAAGGTAGGCCGGGCGTGGTGGCTCACACCTGTAATCCCAGCACTTTGGGAGGCCGAGGCGGGCAGATCACGAAGTCAGGAGATCGAGACCATCCTGGCTAACATGGTGAAACCCCATCTCTACTAAAAATACAAAAAATTAGCCGGGTGTGGTGGCAGGTGCCCGTAGTCCCAGCTACTCGAGAGGCTGAGGCAGGAGAATGGCATGAACCCAGGAGGTGGAGCTAGCAGTGAGCCGAGATGCGCCACTGCACTCCAGCCTGGGCAACAGAGCGAGACTCCGTCTCAAAAAACAAAAACAAAAACAAAAACAAAAACAAAACAAAACAAAAAAAAACAAAGGTAAATCTATCATTTGATCCAGCAATCCCATTACTGGGTATCTACCCAAAGGAAGAGAAGTCAGTATATGAAAAAGACACATGCACACGCATGTTTGTAGCAGCACAATTTGTTTGCAGTTGCAAGGATATGGAGCCAACCTAAGTGCCCACTGACCAAGACGTAGATAAAGAACATATGGTATATATACACCATGGAATATTACCCAGCCATAAAAATGAATGAAATAACGTCTTTTGCAGCAACTTGGATGGAACTGGAGGCCATTATTCCAAGTGAAGTATCTCAGAAATGGAAAACCAAATACCGTATGTTCTCACTTATAAGTAGGAGCTAAGCTATGAGGACATACAAACATACAAAGCAATATAATGGACTGTGGGGACTCAGAGGGAGGTTAGGGGTTAGGTGAGGGATAAAAGAAAATATATGGGGTGCAGTGTACACTGCTCGGGTGATAGCTGCACTGAAATCTCAGAATTCACCATTAAAGAACTCATCCTAGGCCGGGCACGGTGGCTCACGCCTATAATCCCAGCACTTCGGGAGGCCGAGGTGGGTGGATCACAAAGTCAGGAGTTTGAGACCGTCCTGGTCAAGATGGTGAAACCCCGTCTCTACTAAAAATACAAAAAAAATTAGCTGGGCGTGGTGGCGGCGCCTGTAATCCCAGCTACTCAGGAGGCTGAGGCAGAGAATTGCTTGAACCTGGGAGGCGGAGGTTGCAGTGAGCTGAGATCGTGCCACTGCACTCCAGCCTGGGCGACAGAATGAGGCTCTGTCTCAAAAAAAAAAAAAAAAAAAAACCTCATCCTTGTAACAAAAAAACACCTGTACCTCAAAAACTGTTGGAATAAAAAATAATTGGCTGGAAGGTTAAAAAAAAAAAAAAAAAAAGGAAAAAGAAAAAAATTGGCCATGCACAGTGGCTCACATTTGTAATTGTATCATTTTGTGAGGCCAAGGCAGGAGGATTGCTTGAAGCCAGGAGTTCAGAAACAGCCTGGTCAACATAGCAAGACCTTGTCTCTACAAAACAAAAAGTAAGAAAAGTTAGCCAGGCATGGTGGCATGTGGCTATAGTCCTAGCTACTCAGGAGGCAGAGGTGAGAGGATCACTCGAGCTCAGTAGTTCGAGGATGTGGTGAGCTGTGATCACTCACGACACTCCAGCCTGGGTGACAGAGTGAGACCCCATCTCTAAAAATAATAATAAAGAACTCTCAAAAATCCACAGTAAGGAAACAAGCAAAAATGGGCAAAATATAGGAACAGATACTTTACCAAAGAAAATATATGGATGACAAACATGCACATAAAAAGTTGCTCAATATCATAATCCATTATGGAAATGCAAGTTAAAATCAGTATGATATCATTACACACCCATTAAAATAGATTAAGAAAAGAATGGCAATACCTAAGAAAAGAATGGCAATACCAAGTTTTGGCTGGAATGCACAACAAAGGGAAATCTTATTAATTGCGGTGGGAATATAATATGGTGTAGCCATTCTAGTAAACATTTTGGCAGGCTCCTATAAAGTCAAACATATACTTACCATATGACTGAGCAATCCCGTTTTTAGGTATTTACCCAAGAGAAATGAAAATCTATGTTCACACAAAACCCTATGCAAATATTTATAGCAGCTCTCTTTGTAATCACCCCAAACTGGAAACAACCCAAATGCCCTTCAAAGAGAGAATGGATAGACTGTGGTACATTTAAACAATGGACTATTAATCAACAATGCAAAGGTACAAATGGGACGGGTGCGGTGGCTCATGCCTGTAATCCTAGCACTTTGGGAGGCCAAGGTGAGTGGATTGCTTGAGCCCAGAAGTTCAAGACCAGCCTGTTCAACATTGTGATACCCTGACTACAAAAAATACAAAAATTATCCAGGCATTGTGGTGGGCACCTGTAGCCCCAGCTACTCAGGAGGCTGACATGGGAAGATCACCTGAGCCAGGGAGGTCAAGGCTGCAGTGAGCCATGACCTCCCATGCAGCCTTGACCTCCCAGGCTCAGGAGGTCTCATTCTGTCACTCCAGCCTGGGTGACAGAGTGAGACCTTGTCTCAGTAAAAAGGTACAAAAAAAAAAAAAAAGGTATAAATGACTCATACATGCAACACTTGGATGAATTTCAAAGGTATTATCCCAAGTGAAAGAAGCCAGTCTCAAAAAATTACATTCATATGCTTCCATTTGTGTAACATTCTGGAAAAGATAAAACTATAGAGATAGAGAACAGATCAGTAGTTGCTAGTGGTTAGGGGTATAGAAAGGGTTTGATCATAAAGAGTCATCATGAAGAAGGGCGTTTTTTTGTTTTTGTTTTTTAAGAGACAGAATCTTGCTCTGTCACCTAGGCTGGAGTGCAGTGGCATGATCATAACTCACTGCAACCCCAAGTTCGGGGGCTCAAGCAATCATCCTGCCTCAGTCTCCCAAGTAGCTAGGATTAAAGGCGTGCAACACCATGCCTGACTTCTGTGTGGTATGTGGTGTGTGTGTGTGTGTGTGTGTAGAGGACAAAAGTCTCACTATGTTGCCTAGGCTGGTCTCGAAATCCTGGGCTCAAGCAATCCTCCCATCTAGACCTCCCAAAGCACTGGGATTACAGGAGTGAGCAACTGCCCCTGATAGGAGGGAGATTTTTGAGGTGATAGAGTTGTTCTTTATTTTAATTATAGTGGTAGGTACACCACTATAATCAAATATATGTATGTACTACAACTCATGGAACTGTGCACCAAGAAATGTCAGTTTTACTGTATGTAAACTTAAAAATAATTTTTTTTCAATAGGACACTGCCTTCAGGAATGGTTAAATCCAGGAGCTTAAACAATGTCAGCAAGAGTTATCCTCTCTGCAATTCTTGTCTCTCTTACTCTAGGCTAGATTTATTCTCAGATAGGCCTTCTTTCTCTTTGATGGGGCTGACTCTTGTTGGATCAACATGGGTCATGTGTCCCTGGAATCCTGGAATACACCAGCCTGTGGCCAGAGGAATGGAATAAGTTGGTTGGCTGGGCCTGGATATGTGCCCAGTCCTGGTGGCATGAGGATAAGTGAGGGTCAAACTGATCCAGTCCACCTGGACTGAGAATGAAGGAGAGTGGTTCCCCAAAGAAAAAATCAAGTTGCTGCTACTACAAGAAAGAGAAGACATACTAGACAGGCAGAAACTATAGATGTCTCTGGCTTCCACTTTGTATTTCTTTAATTCTGGATTATATTATACTGTGTTGACTATGTGATATCTTACCTATAAACTACAAACTCTTTGAAATGGAGGATTCTGCCTTATTTTTCTTTTTAGCTTCCAATACCATACACATTTCCTTCTACATAGTAGATGCACAAGAGTACCATGCATGATAGAGAACTAAATATTTACTGGTATGTTTATAAAACTATACATTTGTATGTACATCAGAAGCCTCTGAAGCTACATTATTTCATATTTCTCCACAATCACATTAATAGCCACGTTTCCATTCAATCTTGCTTCTCTCTACTGAGGTTTTAACATGTACAGCTCCATTTTCCAACAATGGCAAATCAATCATTACATCATCATCCATCATGTCTGAGTTCTTAGTAATGAAGGTGTCTTTCTTTCCACATTAGCAATTTGGGTGGGCGAAAGAGCCATAAAGATGTATGACAGAAGGCTGGAGAATTGGATTAAACAAGGTTAAATAAGATTCCATTTCCTGGGTCCCTCTTGACTGCAGGAATTTTTGTTGATCCATAGGATGAATGGGGCAATTGTTTAGAAGTTCTTTTCTTCAAGCTCTCAGAAGAAAATTGTTCTGAAATCATTTTTTGGTCTGCTACTGGAATTGCAGAGAGAGCTGGGAATAGCGACCATAAACTGATTTGTTTATTTTAAAGTCTTTAAAGGAAATACCTTATCCACCTAAAAATTATAAATTGTAGCAGCTATAGGAGCCAGTTTAATTGCTCTAAAGTAACACAATTAGGTGGGCTCATTGCCACAGCCAACATGGTCCCAAGTGATTCGGTCGGCACCTCTAACGCCCTCATCACCTTCTACTCCTCCCAGACCTCAGAATGTTCCCTCCACATCAGCCTGCCTCCAGTTTTTCAGACTTAACAGCTATCATAACTCCCATTTCAGGGTCTCTGCAGTTGTCCATTTCCCTTGCTCAGGGTTTCTTACCCTTGGCACTATTGACATTTGGGACCAGATAATTCTTTGTTGTGGAGGGGCTGGCCTGTGCACTGTAATATGTTGAGCAGCATCACTGGCCTCTACCCACTAGATGCCAGTAGCAGCCCCTCCCCTAAGATGTGACAACCCCAAATATCTTCTACATGCCAAATTCCCAGCTGCGACCACTATTTTAGCTGGAGTTATTTTCCTCAATGTTTGGCTGTGCCATTTTCCTCATTTCTCAGCTCGGCTTCACAGAGGCTGTCCCTGACCACTCTATCCAACTCGTCATTTTAAAAAAATTAATCAATTTATTTGTTGAGATGTGGTCTCACTTTGTCGCCCAAACTGTAGTGCAGTGGCGTGGTCTCTGCTCACTGCAACCTCCGCCTCCCAGGTTCAAGTGATTCTCTGCCTCAGCCCCCTGAGTACCTGGGATTACAGGCGTGAGCCACCATGCCCGGCTAATTTTTGTATTTTTTAGTAGAGACAGTGTTTTGCCATGTTGGCCAGGCTGGTCTCAAACGCTTGACCGCAGGTGATCTGCCTGCCTCCCAAAGTGCTGGAATTACAGGGGGTCACTGTGCCCAGCTTTTCTCATTTTTCTTTTCTTTTGAAATGGAGTCTCTGTCGCCCAGGCTGGAGTGCAGTGGCATGATATCGGCTCACTGCAACCTCCACTCCTGGGTTCAAGCGGTTCTCCTGCCTCAGCCTCCCAAGTAGCTGGGATTACAGGCACCCACCACCATACCTGGCTAATTTTTTTGTATTCTTAGTAGAGACAAGGGTTTCACCCTTTTGGCCACGCTGCTCTCAAACTCCTGACTTCAAGTAATCCGCCAGCCTTGGCCTCCCAAAGTACTGGGATTACAGAGGTGAGCCACCACACCCGGCCCCAACTGGTCACTTTTTTTTTTTTTGAGACTGAGTCTTTTTTTTTTTCTTTTGAGGCGGTGTCTCGCTCTGTCACCCAGGCTGGAATGCAGTGGCGCGATCTCCGCTCGCTGCAACCTCCACCTCCTGGGATCAAGCGATTCTCCTGCCTTAGCCTCCCGAGTAGCTGGGATTACAGGCACACCTCACCAGGCCTGGCTAATTTTTGTACTTTTAGTAGAGACGGGCTTTCACCACATCGGCCAGTCTGGTCTTTAACTCCTGACCTCAAGTGATCCACCCACCTCAGCCTTCCAAAGTGCTGGAATCACAGGTGTGAGCCACCGCGCCCGGCCCAACTGGTCACTTTCTATCACAGCACCCTGTTCTTCGCTTCCCAGTCAATTATCCCATCCTGTGTGTGGATCATCTTCCTGGTTTCCTTAATTATTGCCTTTGCCCATGGGAGTAGGCGCCTCATACAGGCAGGAAGTTCATATATCCTCATTCTTCTGGTCCTCAGAACCTGGAACAGAGCCTCCACAGAATTAGGGCTCAGTACATACAATTAAATACGTTGGGTTAGTGAACAAGAGAAGATGGCTTTGCCACCAGGACTTTTACCAGCTTAGTCACTGGCATTTCTACTGCAGAGTGTTTCTGCTTCTTAAACTCTCTCTCAAAATTTCTTAGTGTTTCTATCCTGGACTTGGTAGGAGCTGCAAATACACGAATTACTTCTCAGATTAGTCCTGCCACACCGGCCTCCACTCTGCTCCTTGTAGCTTCTCTTGAGCCTGAATGTCTTCTACTTCATTTTTACTCAACAGAAGTCTTACCAGGTTTGGAGACTTATATTTCACCTCCCTCAACAGGATCTGAATGCCTGGAGCACAGGCACCATTTTTTTCTTCTTCTTCTTCTTATTTTTTTGTAGAGATAAGGGTCTCACTTTATGCCCAGCCTGGTCTCAAGCTCCTGGCCTCAGGCAATCCTCCCGCCTAGGCCTCCCAAAATGCTGAGATTACAGGTGTGAGCCACCAGGCCCCACCTATTTCGCAGCTCTAAGGTCAGCTCACTCCCAAGTTAGCCTCTCTTTCTCTCTTTCTCCTCCCTCCCTTCCTGTCATTTATTCATAAACACCTTCAAATACCAGGCTCTGCTTAGACCATAGAGATGTGAGATAAGGTTTCTGACCTCAGAGTTCTTATAGCCCTCCCAAGGAGACAGACAGTAGGCAACCAATGATAACACAATGGATAGTGTTTGCATTGTGAACAGAGTGTACAAGGACAATTGGACCTGGGAAGGCTTTGAGCAACATCGCTGTTTTGTTTTGTATTGTTTTGTTTTGTTTTGTTTGTTTTTTGAGACAGGGTCTCGCTCTGCTGCCCAGGTTGGAGTGCAGTGGTGCAACCATGGCTCACTGCAGTCTTAACCTCTGAGGCTCAAGCGATCCTCCCACCTCAGCCTCTCGAGTAGCTGGGACCACAGGTGCATCCCACCACACCCGGCTAATTTTTGTACATTTTGTAGAGATGGGGTCTCACTATGTTGCCAGGGGTGGTTGCAAACTCCTGGGCTCAAGCGATCTGTCAAGTGCTGGTATTACAGGCATGAGCCACAGTGCCCAGCTAGACATTTTTCACATGTGCTTACATTATAGGTGCTCATATATGTAGATTTGTCTCTCTTTCTAGGTTCTCAGGTCTTTAGAGACAAAGATTTTATATTCTCATTACTTTCATCTCTGTTGGTTCCTTCCCTGACACTCAGCATGGCTTTTTTAACAAACGAAACACCCAATAATGGCTTATTGAATCAGTTAATACATGGCTCACTTTAAAAATACTGATATGGAGAGGCTGTATCTTTTTTCCTTCCCTAATTTGAATAGAAAACACATTTTCAGTCACTTAGCATAAAGACATTTCTACAGGAAAACAAATAAAAAGTCTTTTAATTTATTTGATCCCTCAAAAGACACAATGGGAACTTGAAATTGAGAGGGAGTCAGGTGCCTGAATGAGGAGCACATGGAAGAAACAAATATTAAAAGTAATTCAGATAGGACAGGGCTGTTGAACTGGAAAACTATTAATGGTGTTAATCAGTTTCCACTGTGAACTGTTAACACTCAGACCAATGCTGAAAGCACCCGGAAGGCACATCTGTGAAGTCAAGAAGCCACAGCAAACTGTTTTGTCTGTCAATTTTAGAAAACAGAATAAATATAACATTCTTTTTAATGTGAAAAGGAGGTAGTTTTGGTTTGGTTTACACAGTTATGTGATTTATAGCCTTCCAAATTATTCCATATGGCTAAAAATAGAGGATCTGAACTTGTAGTTCATAAGTTATGTTAACAGGAGAGTTTCTTTTCTCAGCTTCACAATAGATGAACTCTTGGCGTTTGTTCTGAGCACTGAAAGTCAGGGCATCAAGAACCTGCTGAGATTCAGACATGAGGGTAAGCTAGGCAGATGGTGAGAAAAGAGGGATTTTATTTCAACATAGTCATAGAAACACGCGGTGCTGGCTGTGATTTATGACATAAAGACAATTAATCCAGAGCATCAGGAGAAGCAAAGTGGGGGGGAAAGGGATCAGAGGAAATGAGGACAAGAGGTGAGGAGACAGCACGTCATGAATCACCTCAAATTCTGCTTTGCCAACCAAAAAGTCTGGCACCATGTAGAGGAGTATTGATGCTGGCCTCAGAATACTTATTTAAATGCTTTGATCTGGCTGGGCACAGTGGCTCATGCCTGTAATCTCAGCAATTTGGGAGGCTGAGGCGGGTGTTTCACTTGAGGTCAGAAGTTTGAGACCAGCCGGGCCAACATAGTGAAACCCTGTTTCTACAAAAATACAAAAATTAGCCAGGTGTGGTGGCGGGCGCCTGTAATCCCAGTTACTAGAGAGACTGAGGCAGGAGAATTGCTTGAACCCGGGAGGCGGAGGTTGCAGTGAGCCAAGATCGCGCCATTGCACTCCAGCCTGGGCAACAAGAGCGAGACTCCATCTCAAACAACAAACAAACAAACTCTTGATCTGTCCTTTTTAACAAAGAGTCTGCTAGAAAGCCAAACAAACCTCTTGGAAATGATCTAGCCTCAAAGGGTGAAGATCTTAGAGAAACTCCGCATCCAACTAGCCTCTCTATGCTATTCACATCAGGCAATGATAGGGCAGTGTTTAATGAACACCTGGCATGGGATGGGGTAAAGGTAGGCATTTTTTTTTCTTTTTTTTTTTTTGAGACGAGATCTCACTCTGTCGCCCAGGCTGGAGTGCGGTGGCGCAATCTCAGCTCACTGCAAGTTCCTCCTCCCAGGTTCACTCCATTCTCCTGCCTCAGCCTCCCAAGTAGCTGGGACTACAGGCGCCCACCACCACGCCCAGCTAATTTTTTGTATTTTTAGTAGAGACGAGGTTTCACCGTGTTAGCCAGGATGGTCTCCATCTCCTGACCTCATGATCCGCTCACCTCGGCCTCCCAAAGTGCTGGGATTACAGGCGTGAGCCACCGTGCCTGGCCAGGGTAAAGGTAGGCATTCTTATTTTCACTAGTTTGTGGGTGGAAAAAAAGCTCAGAGGAGTAAAGTGACTTGCTGAAAGCCATACAAGCTAGTAAATTGCAAATGCAGAATTAAAAGGCAGTTCTTTCTAGCGCTGTAGTGCATATTATCCGTCGACACCCTTGATGCTCAAATTGTTGTCCCAGCAACACCAGCATTACCTGGAAGTTCATCAAAATGATGAACCTGGGACTTAACCCAGACCTGCAGAATCTGAATCTGCATTTTAACAAGATGCCCAGATGACTTATTTAAATTCAAGAAGTACTGTCCTAGATGTCAATCCCTGCCATACCTTAAAATCACCAGGGAGCCTTTCCAAACAAACCAGGACCCACTCCAGAACAATTCTATCCGATTCTCTAGGGAAAACTGTGGGTGTTGGTATTTTTTTAAGCTCCCCAGGTGACTCTCGATTCTTAGCATGACACTGTCTCTGAGGCTCCTTTGCAAAGTTAATTATAAAATGAAAAATAATTTTTTTTTCTACAAGTAAGACTTGCAAGTGTGTTCTAGGCTTTGCTCTGGGAGCATTTCAGTGATTTCTCTTCCTGTTGGAATAAGGGGGAGGAGGAGAACTTCAAGACAGGAGGTGGAATAGTCAGAGTGATAAGAAGGTGGAGAAGACCTACTTTGAAGCCTTTAGGGAAAACGTACCTTGTTTCAAGCCACAGTTTGTCTAATTCAGTGGTTCTCCACCCTTGCTGCACACCAGAACCACCCAGAAGCTTTTAAAAATCCTGTTGTGCACAACATACCCCATACCAATTACATCAGAAGCTCTGGGGGAGGAACCCAGGCATCCGTAATTTATTTAAAAAAAAAAAAAACACGAAGTCTTGCTCTCTTGCCCAAGTTGTGGTGCAGTGGCACCATCATGGCTAACCGTGGCCTCAGCTTCCCAGGTCAAGCAATCCTCCCACTCAGCCTCCTGAGTAACTGGGACTCAGGTGTGTGCCACCATGCTTGGCTATTTTTATTTATCTGTAGAGATGGAGGGCTCCTTATGCTTCCCAGGCTGCTCTCAAACTCCTAGCCTTAAGCCATCCTCCTGCCTCGGCCTCCCAAAGGGCCAGGATTATAGGAATGAGCCACAGTGCCTGGCCCATCAATAATTTTTAAAGCTCCCAAGTGTTTCCCATGGGGATCCAGGGCTTAAACCCCTACTTTAATTAGGATCTCTGTGACTCTGAATCTCATCAGTTCTCCAGCAATAAATGCCAGTTTGCAGAAAATATGGGGAATATAAGAACAAGTAAACAACACTATAGGGAAGCAATCAGCTAAATCAAGGAGAAGGGACAATTCGCCCAAAATAATTGTTTCTCTAACAACCACATCAATGGCATGAAAGGAAGGGAAGAGGTCTAATATCCTATTTTCTCTACTCTATGTATAGATATTCACATTTTTTAATAATAAAAAGTTTTGGGGCAGGTGCAGTGGCTCACACCTGTAATCCCCACACTTTGGGATGCCAAGGCAGGCAGATCACTTGAGGCCAGGAGTTTGAGACCAGCCTGGCCAACATGGCAAAACCCCATCTCTACTAAAAATACAAAACAATTAGCTGAGGATGGTGGTGGGCAACTGTAATCCCAGCTACTTGGGAGGCTGAGGCACAACAATCGCTTGAACCAGGAGACTGAGGTTGCAGCAAGCTGAGATTGCGCCACTGGACTCCAGCCTGGGCGAGGCTCCATCTCAAAAAACAAACAAACAAAACAAAACAAACAAACAAACAAAACAAGGCTGGGTGCGGTGGCTCATGCCTGTAATCCCAGCACTTTGGGAGGCCAAGGCGGGTGGATCAAGAAGTCAGGAGTTCAAGACCACCGTGGCCAAAATGGTGAAACCCTGTCTCTACTAAAAAAAAATACAGAAATTAGACGGTCATGGTGGCAGGCACCTGTAATCCCAGCTACTTGGGAGGCTGAGGCAGAGAATTGCTTGAACCCAGGAGGTGGAGGTTGCAGTGAGCTGAGATCGCCCCACTGCACTCCAGCCTGGGCAACAGAGCGAGAAAAAGTTTGGGATTAAAAAATATATACCTAGGGGTAAAGCCCAGGAATCTACAATTTAACCCTGTCCTCAGGGAATCCTGGTGAATAATTAAACATTGAGGACTCTGGCTCAGTGGCACAGAATTCATTATGGCCCTGGGTTTTCTTGGATCTCACCCAAGTGGGTTTCGGTACTAAAAGCACAGTTATTCTTAGCTTGCCAATGGCATTTGGACGATGCTAAATTTTTGTAAATATTGTCTAGACCTGCACATCCAGTGCGGAAGCCACAAGCAACATGTGGCTATTGAAATGTGGCTAGTTCAAATTGAGATCTTTTTTAAGTATAAAATACACACTTACACACTGGATTTTAAGACTTAGTATGGAAAAAAGACTTAGTATGGAAAAAAATTTTTATATTGATTATATGGTAAATATATAACATTTTGGATTTTAATATAGTATTTTAGATATAGTGTATTACACAAAATATACTTACTTTTCCTGGTTTCTTTTTTGTGAGGTAGTGGCTAGAAAATTTTTCATTATATATGTGGCTCACATAATATTTCTATTTAACAGCATAGTTCTGAGCCTTGCTAATCAAAATGTGGTTCACTGACCAGCACCAACACCATCCTGTAGGACCTTGTTAGAAATGCAGATTCCTGCCCCCTTGTTAGAACTGGAATCTGCTTTTTACCAAGATCTCTGTGCTTCTGCCCACCTCTCAGGCTCTCAGTCTAAAACCCAGAGACTCACGAGGCCCAACAGACTCATTGAGTCCTTTCTCCTGCCCTAGGCAGCATTGCCTTCAAACTTCCCTAAGCACATTATCATCATCATCATCAAGTTATCCACCTTTCTGCTCAGAGCCAGGAAACAGAAAATTTCCTCCTCTTTTAACCTCTTTCCTACAATTTAAATCTTTGGTTTCCAGCTCTGTTCTCACTATGCCAGCACCAATGACTATTTTTCCTTTCCTTAATATTTCCTTTTCCAGGCCATCTTTAGATTTTGTTTTTCCTTTTCTAAGTAAATTCCATCCTCGTTGCATAGGTCTCATTTCCCATCCCATCTAAACATCGTTTATCCCTTTTCAAAGGCATGCCATCCCCCTCAAATTCACTAAACGCTGGGGTGTCACCCCCCCTGTTGTTTATGTAAAATCTGAAAATGGCTGGTGCTTGGGCAGAGCACTTAGAGGACTTTGATAAATATTCCTGTCTTTGGAAGGTCAGACCAAAGAAAAAGGAATAGGGAGGGGCTGAACTCCCTCCGAGAGCAAACAGGAAATGGTAAAGTGAAGGGCCTCTGCTTGGAATGAACTGCGTTCAGTGGAGCAAGGAGAGTGGGAGGAATTTAGGGATTCTAATTTTGGCTCGTTCATTAGCTTCCATTACAAACTCAGGAAAAGTCAGTCACCAAGCCCCACTGTCCTGATTTCCTTCAGTGAATGGAGATAATGTCGCTCTTCTACCCCATGGGGGATTTTTTTAAGTTACGATAAAGAAATAAAAATTAACACTTAAAAAATAAAGACAAGCAAGTATCCTTATTACGTCAACATGAGCCATGACAGTTTATCCCCCGTGGCGTTGGGGATTTCATTTTCTTTCTTTCTTTTTTGAGACAGGGTCTCGCTCTGTCACCAAGACTGGAGTGTAATGGAGAGATAACAGCTCACTGTAGACTTGACCTCCCCGGCTTAAGTGATCCTCCCACCTCCTGAGTAGCTGGGACTACAGACACACCACCACGCCCAGCTAATTTTTGTATTTTTTGTAGAGATGGGGTTTTGCCATGTTGCCCAGGCTAGTCTTGAACTCAAGGCCTCATCGGCCTCCCAAAGTGTGGGGATTATAAGCGTCAGCCACCATGCCAGCTACCGTTGGGGATTTCTATGTGAACTTTCCTGGTTAAAAGGATAATACTTCCATTTTGAAAAGTCAAATAGTTCTTTAAACAAGTCATTATTCTAGAACACCTCACCGGTATAAACCAGCTCATAAAATTTATTACATTGATTTGGTGACTTAGGGACCCTCACTTCCGCAAGTGAAATGAGCAATTTAACACTCAACAGAGAGCCCCTTAGTGACAAAGAGAAAACTTGAGTGCTATTATGACCGTATTAAAGCTAGAGATATTCAATAGTGGAAATGTTGGGGAACTGGAAACAAATTCATTTTACTAAAGGGATTTCAGAGAAAAAGCAGCCTTATAAAAGTCCTGCGTATGTGTGTGTGTGTGTGTGTGTGTGTGTATGTGTGTGTGTTTTAACTCCAATTTTTAAAAACTTGCCTCATCTCCCAAGGTTCTTCTTAGATCTACTCAAAATGAACCCAGGCTAATCATCACCACTACCGTCTAATGTTTTCCTGCAAAAAAGGATTAAAACAGTTACATTCCCTCTACAGTGTGATCAAATTCCAATGAACTTAATATTTATGTTTTACCCTTTAAAAAGTAACCATATTCTGCATTTCCAAAACCCTTTACTTCTACTAATTAATATCACAGTTGGGAAAGTGACTTTTTATTCTTTTCTCTAGGCAAACAAGCTGAGAGTTTAAGTGATTTACCCTTCCTGAAAGAGGAGGTCATGAACAGAATTCCAGGATTTGGACCTGTACAAATGCCATTAAGGCAATTTTTCAGGGACTTAACAAATACCCACCTGGTGATGTTAAACTACCTTTGAAGAAAGCAGCTGTTGGCCCAAATTGTGGCCTACAAAGAACCCCTTGGATTTTAAGGATAAGAAAGATTTGTATGAGGTGGACTGACTTCTCTCCCAGGAGGCAGCCATATGGAAGGCATGTGGCCCAGTGACAACAATAACTGACATTTACTGAGCGTTGACAATGAATGCGCGTAAGACTTACATAATCTCATTATCTCTCCAATACTTAGGTGCATGTCTAATTATCACCATTTTGCAAATTAAAAAAGAAAAAGCCTGGAGAGATGTAATAACTTATCTAAGATCAAAGGCTAAAATTTGAACCAAGAATCTGAAGCTAAAAACCTATGTTCTAACCAATACCCTCTTGATGTAAATCCTGTGTTTATAACTGCAGAAGTCATTCACCTTCTTAAACCAAATCGCCACACCACTCACTCTGCCTCATTTACAGAATGTCAGTTGAATGGTTTATTTATTTTTTTAGAGACAAGGTCTCATTCTGTCACCTAGGCTGGAGTGCAGTGCCACAATCACACCTCACTGTAACCACAAACTTCTGTGCTCAAGCCTCCTGAATAGCTGGGACTACAGGTGTATATCGCTACATCTTATTTTTAAAAATTCCTTTTTTTTTTTTTTGAGACGGAGTCTTGCTCTGTTGCCCAGGCTGGAGTGCAGTGGTGCAATCTCGGCTCACTGCAAGCTCGGCCTCCCGGGTTCAGGCCATTCTCCTGCCTCAGCCTCCTGAATAGCTGGGACTACAGGTGCCTGCAACCATGCCCGGCTAATTTTTTGTATTTTTAGTAGAGACGGGGTTTCACTGTGTTAGACAGGACGGTCTCAATCTCCTGACCTCGTGATCAGCCTGCCTTGGCCTCCCAAATTGCTGGGATTACAGGCGTGAGCCACTGCACCCAGCCTAAAAAATTGTTTTGAAGAGACGGAGTCTTGCTATGTTGCCCAGGTTAGCATATGATTTCTAATTTAAATCTGAAAGCCTGGTAGATTAAATCTTACTGACTTCAACATTTACCTTTTTTTTTGAGATGGAGTCTTGCTCTGTCACCCAGGCTGGAGTGCAGTGGTGTGATCTTGGCTCATTGCAACCTCCTCCTCCTGGGTTCAAGTGATTCTTGTGCCTCAGCCTCCTGAGTAGCTGGGACTACAGGCCTGCACCACCACGCCTGGCTAATATATATATATATTTTTTGTATTTTTAGTAGAGACAGGCTTTCACCACGATGGCCAGGCTGGTCTCAAACTCCTGACCTCAGGTGATCTGTCTGCCTTGGCCTCCCAAAGTGCTGGGATTATAGGCGTGAGCCACCATGCCCCGCCTAACATTTACATTTTTAAAGAAAGAGATGTGGCATCACCATTTCTAGTTCTTAATTGTAAACTGCAGACTTATAACACAATAAATAATTGGGGAGAAAAACAAATGATCAATTAAGAATATTACTAGCTCTTGCCCGGGCGCCGTGGCTCATGCCTGTAATCTTAGCACTTTGGGAAGCCGAGGCAGGTGGATTGCCTGAACTCAGCAGTTCAAGGCCAGCCTGGGCAACATGGTGAAACCCTGTCGCTACTAAATTTAAAAAAATTAGACAGGTGTGGTGGTGCACACCTGTACTGCCAGCTATCTGGGTGGCTAAGGCATGAGAATTGCTTGAACCTGGGAGGCAGAGGTTGCAGTGAGCTGAGATCATGCCACTACCCTCCAGCCTGGGTGACAGAGTGAGACTCTGTCTCAAAAAAAAGAAAAAAAAAAGTTACTAGCTTTTATTTTTAAGTCACCAAATGCAACAAGTGGGGTCTGTTTCTACCTATTTTTTACATACCATAAATGTTTTATTTTCTGTGAGGGGAAAGGGCAGAAAAGTATCTAGGGTCTTGCGTACTTGATTGTAAATTCATTTTACTTAAATGCAGGCTGTCCCATTTCTTCCACAACATCATTTTTTCCTACTCTTATTTCCCAGAGATTTTTGTTTTTAATCTTTAAAATAATTATCAACATCATTTTAAGACGGAAAAATTAATCAGTATCGCTAAGATAACAGCAGAGCTTTTATCTAAACTTTTATCTAGGCTTTTATTATTTTATGTGAATATTTTTGTCTATTGCTTGAATTAGGCCCACCGACTTTTTTTCCTTATAGTGTTTTATAAATATTTGAAGTAGTCGCTAACATTAAAATCCTGGGAATTCTACATACATGCATATATTTCCACCTTCTCTTGAAAAATCAGAAAGTCTGGAAATACTGAGCAGCCCATATTCCCACACAGAACTTGACAGTGAATGCCTTTCTTAGGAAGGTACTCATCATTTCACCATGGTCCCCATTATTCCATATCCTGACACTTGGCAACTCCCTTCCGTTGCACTCGAATTTGTTGTTAATTAGCTATCTCCTCCATCCTGCTCAATCCTAACCTCCCCTGCTTTGCTCACAGCTGTATTCCTAACACCTACAGCAAGGCCTAGCACATAGTAAGTGCTTGACAAATATTTACTGTAAGAATATGGAGAGGAGAGAATAAATTCCATTTGATATGCAAAAATGAGCATCAAGTAAGTGCCTTGTGGAAGTCTTAAAATATGTCCACAAATTATTTGGCATTTCATCCTATAAAAGGTGGAGACTAATTCTCCTCCCCTTGAGTGTGGGACAAACTTAATCACTCACTGTAAATGAATGTGGCCGTGATGATATGTGCGATTCCTGAGATTGTCTTGTAAGACTTTTTTTTTCTTTTTTTTTTGAGATGGAGTCTTGCTCTGTCACCCAGGCTGGAGTGCAGCGGCGTGATCTCAGCTCACTGCAACCTCCGCCTCCTGGGCTTAAGCAATTCTGCTGCCTCAGGCTCCCAAGTAGTTGAGATTACAGGCGTGTGTCACCACATCCGGCTAATTTTTGTATTTTTAGTAGAGACGAGGTTTCACCATGTTGGCCAAGCTGGTCTTGAACTCCTGACCTCAAGTGATCTGCCCACCTCGGCCTCACAAAGTGCTAGGATTATAGGCATGAGCCACTGCACCCGACTGTATTGTAAAGCATATTGACACCTTCACCTAACTGTGTTTGGATCAGTCACTCTGGGAGAAAGCCAGTTTCAATATCCTGAAGATACTTAAGCAGTCCTATGGAGAGATTCGTGGCAAGGAACTGAAGCTCCTGTCACTAGCCAGCACCATCTTGCAGAGCACGTAAGTGATGCACCTTGGGAGTTGATCCATCAGCCCCAGTCAGGCCTTCAGATGGCTGCAGCCCTGACCCACATCTTGACTACAACCTCATGAAAGACTCTGAGCCAAACCAGCCAGATAAGCCACGTCTGAATTCCTGATCCATGGAAACTGTGAGATAATGAATGCTTATTGTTTCAAGCCATTAAGTTTTGGGGTTATTACAAAGCAATAGATAACTAATACACACCTCAAGTTAACCTAAGTAAATTTGGTTGTTCACAATTCATGTGTTCTTTTTGATGGATATTAGCACCCTCTAAGAGTTAGGGTAGGTGAGGGCTCTAGTTCTTCCTGACAATATCACTGAATGAAAACAATGAGGCAAGTTTCAGATTTAATTCTGGTAAGCAAACAAGCAGACACAAAGCAATCACAGATCCTCTCTTGTAAACTCCCAAAAGTCGCTATTCTGTGTCATTTTAGGCACTTTGATAACATTTTACATGAGTGGTTTATTCCAAGACAAATGCTATCATGTGGTGATGGCAGGAATCCCCCACTTTCGAGTCATCTTGACTACACCTTCAGGTGAAGGTAACTTCACCTGAAGTGACTTCGCTTTCAGGTGAAGGATTCTTCAGTATGTAAGCTGAGATGACACAGAAGTGAACTGAGTTATAAACTTTAGGCACCACTCAGGAGACATTAGGCTTCTGGGCTCGCCAGATAATTAGACCTTATCCATGTCAGAGTGCAGATGCCTATACAAATTTTCCTGCCAGCTTCACGTTTCATCCACGAAAACTTATTTTTAACATCTCTTATGCTAATTATTAAAACTTCTGGTGCTGATTCAATAGGGATATTTGAAGCTCTTGGGGGAGGGGGCTTTTCTGGTGTGTGGATTCCTGATTAGGATCCTTCAGATGCTGACCGAGTGTGGATTCTTGATCAGGGCACTTTGAAAGTTAATTCATTACACTTAGGGTGCTAGAGTAATGTTAACTCGCACATCTATTACATGTCTCTACTGATGTATTTTAGAACATGTTATAGACAAGAATAAGAGATGTTGTATGGGAAATTTCCCTGGTGGAATGACGCTCCAAACACACTACCAGGCAAGCTAACTAAGAGGTCAGTTAACTGAAAGGCTCACAAACCAAATTAAGACGTTCAAATTATATGGTTCATTGAAGCAATTTAAAACACCCAGTGTGAAGCAACAGGGGAGAGTTGGGATAGGTTAACACACTGAATATAGGATGTCAATGGGGTGAAAAGTTCACACTGAGTTCTGGGGATGTTTACATTCCCTCTCTCCCTCCTCCCCTCTCTTCCCCTCTTCTTCTCCTCCCCTTCTCCTCCCTCCTCAATATCTCTTTTCTGGCATCAGTCTTCACAGTGATGGTCTGATATCTTTAGGAGGACCACAGGTGAGGTTTGAGCAAGGCACCCAAAAAACAGAAGGTATCTGGGACCATAACATATACTTGCTCTATCAGAAACACACTTGCAAGTATTCCTGGCCGACATCTGTAGCCTGCCCAAAAGCTGATAAGAAGCCATAGGTGTTTCTTGGGCAGATACTTTGGGTATCAGGATGGATGTCATCAATAGGAGACAATTTAAGACCTCATAGATTGAATATTAAATGCTTCATGCACTTGAAGGCAACCATTGCCTTAATGTGATTTTCTGCACAACCTGACTTTAAAAACTCTTGTCTCTAACTTGTGCAGCACGGCTATTTGGAATTTCTTGGTCCTTCCATCTTTTTCTATGTTTAGTACATGCATTGCTCTGCTTACCTTATCTATGTCTAATGTGTCTGATAAGCTACTTACTTCTTCTATGTTTAGTTTCATCTCTTTTCCTTATTTGCTTGTCTTATTTTCCATTGCAGAATTGAATAATCTTAAATAATACAGCAAACACATATTACAAGAGATTATCACAGAATTAAGAGATTAAAAAAAATTTTTTTTTAGAAATGATGATGGAACCTATTATACAAAATTCATTTAGCTTATCTATCTTTGGAAATAGTCAAGGGAAAAGTCCTTTTGTGGGTGGTTTGTTTATCTAGGGATTTTACCTGTAAAAAGAGAGGGCTGTGAGGAAAGCAGACACTGCAGAATTAAACTCGAAGTTGGTTTGTGCAAATGAAAATTGGAGACAGGCTAATTCAATTAATTTCTATTCATGACATCAGTGAGACAGGAATTCAGAACATCAGATCAGATGCAGGAAATAGAGTGTAGTAGGATGCATGAAACCAAATGTCTTTCCCAGAATTTCAGCTCCAACAACCACAAGAATACTCTTGGTTGATTGTGTTGATCAGCTCAGTACTAAGACCTGTGTGCTTCATTTAAGAGGCCCATACCTGCCATAGAAGACATTCCACAAGGGGGAGCCGATTTGCCTAAATGAATGAGTTATTTCACTTTGCTGGAAATTCACCTGTTTTTCTGGAAATTCAGAGCTCTTCCAGCTTTTTCTGATAATTCTGCATTGAATACAAAAACAGGCTCCCTTGGTGTGGAAGATAACAGTAAGAGGAGAAAGCAGTTACATGTAAGTTTTATTAGTTCAGAGTCTGATAAATGAGTCCCTATTAGGAGATGCAACTGAGCTGTTTTTTATTAAGTTGGTGCCAAAGTAATTGCGAATTTGTCCTTAAAAGTAATGACAAAAACTGCCATTGCTTTTGCATCAACCTAATAAAATTCACATTTCTGGGCCTCACCTCAGACCTAATCTCACGTCCAGGAATCTGCATTTTAAACAAGCTGTCAAGAGAGTTCTTCTGCATACTGAAGTTTAATCAACAGATCTAAGGAATTATTTTACTAACATAAAGATGGAGTAATTTTGTTTGGATTTGTGTAGAAGGTAAAGGCCTTTCTTGTACAGTTGACCCTTTACACTTGGCACTGCAAATGGGTGCGGCCGAAACACAATGAATATTTTTCTATCTTTATTAATAAGACATTGGACCAATTAAAAAAACCTCATCAGATGACAGCTGTGATGTTTGGATTTTGATAACGCTTTTTGGTTAAGTTTAAATGACAGAAGAAAGGCCAGGCGCGGTGGTTCACCCCTGTAATCCCAGCACTTTGGGAGGCCGATGGGGGCAGATCACTTGAGGTCAGGAGTTCGAGACCAGCCCGGTCAACATGGTGAAACCCAGTCTCTACTAAAACTATACAAAAATTAGCTGGGTGTGTCGGCACACACCTGTAATCCCAGCTACTTGAGAGGCTGAGGCAGGAGAATTACCTGAACCCGGGAGGCAGAAGTTGCAGTGAGCCGAGATCACACCACTGCACTCCAGCCTGGGTGACAGAGCAAGGCTCCGTCTCAAAATTAAATAAATAAAATGACAGAAGAAGCTGGAACCTAATTTCCTTTAGAGTAGGGCTTAGTTTTCTTACTGCCAAGCTTAACGACTTTTAAAGGGGCTAAAATAACATTTCCAAATTGAGATTGGATTTATTTAAATGGAAATTTCAAGTTGAGAGTTTTTTCTATCTCTTTAGCTCCCAATAGCCCTGCTCACATTTGACTCTTTAGCAAGCTCCTAACCTCTTTGGGCTTTGGAATCCTCATCTGTAAAATGGTAATAATAACAGAGCATACCTACTATTGCTTGCAGGAAGCTTAACAGTAGCCACCAAATTATGGTCCCTGATCTGCAGTTCTTCAGTTTCCTTCTTAGGCTGCAGCCACTAAGGGTGCAACTCATTCTTATCAAGATACAGGAAATCAACTGGAAGTTGTTTGTGATACGATCATGGCTCACTGCAGCCTCAACCTCCCGGGCTCAAGGGATCCTCCCACCTCAGCCTCCCTAATAGCAGGGACTACAGACATGCACCACTATGCTTGGCTAATTTATTTAGTTTTTGTATAGAGGGAGTCTCACTATGCTACCCAGGCTGGTCTTGGACTCCTGAGCTCAAGCAATTCTCCTGCCTTGGCTTCCTTAAGTGCTGAGATTACAGGCCTGAGCCACCACTGGGCCAGACTTTTTTTTTTAAAGATAAAATAATGAATAAGAACCAGGACCCTTTCAAGTATCCATTTGTTTCAGGAAGTTAATTTGCACTCCAGCAATTTGCCCATCCAGGTGACAACTATTTCAGTGGCTCTCCATTAAAACAAGAACTGTGGCCGGGGGCGGTGGCTCACACCTGTAATCCGAGCACTTTGGGAGGCCGAGGCAGGCGGATCACGAGGTCAAGAGATCAAGACCATCCTGGCCAACATGGTGAAACCACGACTCTACCAAAAATACAACAATTGGCCAGGTGTGGTGGCTCACGCTTGTAATCCCAGCACTTTGGGAGGCCGAGGTGGGTGGATCACGAGATGAGGAGTTCGAGACCAGTCTGGTCAACACAGTGAAACCCCATCTCTACTAAAAGTACAAAAATTACCTGGATGTGGTGGCGGGAGCCTGTAATCCCAAGCTACTCGGGAAGCTGAGGCAGGAGAATCACTTGAACCTGGGAGGTGGAGGTGGCAATGAGCTGAGATCGTGCCACTGCACTCCAGCCTGGGCGACAGAGCTAGACTCTGTCTCAAAAAAAAAAAAAACCAAAAACCAAAAAACAAAAACAAAACACAATTAGCTGAGCATGGTGGTGCACACCTGTAGTCCCAGCTACTCGGGAGGCTGAGGCAGGAGAATCGCTTGAACCCAGGAGGTGGAGGTTGCAGTGAGCCAAGATTGCACCACTGCATGCTAGCCTGGCAACAGAGTGAGACTCTGTCTAAAAGAAAAACAAACAAAAAACAAACAAAAAAACAAGAACTGCTTGCAGGGTAGGGTTTTCCAAACTTCCTGAATTAGAAGAATCACCTAAAGCACTTTTAAAAAAATTAAAATGCTAGATGATTTGGGTATGGAGGAAGAGGGTGCAGATATCCATATTTTTAACGCAATTCCTCAGGTGAGTCCTAAGACATGTCCATTGAGAGTATTGCCAGAGGACATTGCTGTCCCTTACTAATGAAAAAGTTATTTTTCCTCGTAAAAACATCCAGGTGTTTTCTTCTGAGACAAACTGGCTTGGATGGAATGGGGCAGCTAGGGGACTGACTTTTTTATCAGACTGTGACCCTTTCTTGTTATGACTTCCTGCCGGGGTCCATTTCCTGAGTGTAGGCATTTAATGATAGAAGAGCATATGATTATAACAAGTGTTTTTTGAGCATTCATTGGAGGTTTCTCAGAGAAGGTGCTCAAGAGGTGCTCTTCTGGTTCAGATTTGGCCAGCCAGCCTTGGTCTATGGATTCTCCTAGATTCCAGAATTAAGCCACATTCTGTAAAGTTGGGGCTGGCCAGTGGAGTCCTGTCCACCCACTGTGCTTGCTGTCACGTCCGCTATCTCAGCTCGCTGCTTGAGATTAATAATGGCCTGTTGGTAAACCACATGCCAGAACTTGTCCGGAATTTTTCTCATGTTCTTTGATGTTAGATGACCTTGGTGAAACTATTCATGGAGCCAGACGTCTTCTGCACCACGTCCCAGGTTTGTTTGGCAGGTGGCAGCTCTGGGCACCTTTCCCACCGACGCTCCTTCTCCGACTCAGCCTCAGTGACTCCACATTGCCCACTGGGCATTCCAAAGAACACACTTACCTTTCCCAAACCTATGTGGGGGGGTGACAGAGAGATCACTTGGGCGTGGATGGACAGATCTGGATTCCAGGAACACTTCTGTGATCTTGCGTGTTTGGCGCAGATGTTTCTAGGCCTCTGCGTCCTCATCTGTGAAAGACAGAGAGTCATGCCTCCCTCACAGGTACTTAAGATTGAATAAGATAAGGTGTACAAAGCACCTGGAAGACTGTCCAGTAGGTAGCAGACAATAACATTTTAGTTGTTCTTACTATTACCAATTTTATCAATTTCGACACACCTATCTTTTCATGTGTTAGTCTCTTCCAAAATGAGGGTGCATCTTACAAATGGTGGCATGGCACAGTTTAATTGGCAGCATTTTTTCTTAGGAGTACATTGAAAAGTGGCATGTTTTGCAAATGACGTTGTCTTAGATTGGGTGAGAAATGGCAGCAGTAGTAATTTTCATAATAGAACTTAGATTTGTGTCCTGTGGGTTCATGTGTATTTTCTGACGGAACCATTTAGCTCTGAGTAGGTAATTTTTTCATTTTCTGGAATGCTGACTTACCAAGGAACTTGGTGTCTTTTTGACTTACCTGATCAATCTACAGAATGACTTGGAATTCCAAATTCTGGGTGGCTTTTTCGAGACAATGCGATCCACATACTGGAGTGCTTCTGTTCCTCTCCAAAGGAAGCAGACTGCTCTCTCTGGCTGCAGGGACCTTTCTTCTGGCTCAGGACTGAAGTATGACACCTGATCCCTTGTTGTTCCCTCCAGCAAGAGGCATAAAATCAGTGAATAAAACAGGAGTGGTTACGGACCCCTGTGGCAGAAGGAGGAAATAGGTAATTGGTTGTGGCATAGACTAATCATCATGCACTGCCCGCTGTTGTGCTCACCTGGAAAACCAATGTGCCCCTGAGGCCTATGAGCTGCTCATGTCAATCCTGCCGAGAGCCTGCTTGTAGCTGAGTTACACATCTTGACATTCTTGATCCTGGAGTTAGTAAGAGTCTACCTTTATTAAATACCTACTTATCTCATCTACATCTACAGGCTCGCATCAAGCATCTACATTGTCTCACTTATTTGTTCAAAAGGAGTTCATCTCGTTCTGATTTGGACAGCCAGCCTTGTCTCCCTACAGCCATGTAAGGCAGGTGGCTGTAATATGTAATGAGCATTATATAGAGCAGTCATAAAGACTTGGGTTCAAATCCCAGCTTCCATCTTTACTAGCTGTGTAACTTTGGGTAAATTACTTCAACTCTCTAGGTCTCAGATTGCTATCTTTAAAACAGAGGTAGGCTGGGCTTGTTGGCTCACACCTGTAATCTCAGTGCTTTGGAAGGGTGAGGTGGGAGGATCTCTTGAGCACAGGACTTTGAGACCAGCCTGACAACATAGTGAGACCCCATCTCTACAAAAAATTAAAAAAATTAGCCAGGTGTATTGGCACAGCCTGTAGTCCCAGGTACTCAAGAGGGAGAGGCAGAAGGATTGCTAGAGCCCAGGAGTTTGAGGCTGCAGTGAGCTGTGATAGTACCACTGTACTTCAGCCTGGGTAACAGAGCAAGAACCTGTCTCTGAAACAAAACAAACAAAAAAAACAGATGTAAAAGATAATACTTGTCTCTGAGACTTGATATACGGGTTGAACATCGTTATCCCTGTGGGCTACTAGGCACAGTCTGGGTGCATTGTCAGCACTCAATAGCGGTTTCCCAAAAGTGATTACTGCTTTTTCCACCCCTCATGCTGCTTGGCACACAGTAGGTACTCAATAAAAATCTCTTTAAAGAGAGATGGAGAACTAAGAACTAACCTCAGTAGCTGATCAATAAGAAGTATCTTCTCTAAGCTTAACCCTGTCCTGGGAACCACAGGAGTCCAGATGAACAATAATAACAAGTTGTACTTATGTAGATTTTACAGTTTACAAAGCAGTTTAGTATTTTTCACTTAAAACTCCCAACGAATATGAGACAGAAAGGGTATTCTTCTTAGTATCTCATGATGTAGCTGAGGCCCAGAGAGGTTAGACAGCAGTAGGGCCCTGTATGTGCCTCTGACAAATGGAGGAGAATGAGGACAGAGCAGAGGTCAAGGGGTTTAGCAATAAAGAGACCCTTGGTGACCTTCCAGAACACATGTTTGTTAG